>NW_003315944.2:0-300000 GCF_000001405.40 Homo sapiens | reverse complement strand
CTTTGCACATACTGTTTCCTCAGCTTGGAAAGCTCTTCCTGCCACTTACCCCGCTCTGGTTAACTCCTACTCGTCCTGCAGTTCACAGCTTGTACAGACACCGCTTGAGCCTCACTTCACATCCTCTCCCCACCACGTCTTACTCCAGCCCCTGCTGTGGTGACCAGTTCCACACAGGCTTTGACTAGCTTTGCACAGATGCAACCTGATAGGGCCCCACCGCGGCTCATTCCACATACCTCTTGCTTCCTGTCCTGGGGCTTTTCTGACACAGGTGAGAGACCTCTGAGGGAACCTACATGCTAGTGTAGAAGTTCAGGGGTTAACACCAGCAGTGTGGCTGTCCCTAGCCAGTGGGGACAGCAGTGATGGATAAATGCTTCCCCGTCTCATTTCCCGGATGGACCTTTTGGAACCCTCCTTAGGAGTCCAAGTAAGATGGAGCCCAGTTGCCTGCAGCGCTGGCCTATAGCTGTATTTGCTCTCCCTTCTTCTCGGTTCCTCTCCTCCTGAACCTCTCTCTTGCCCTGTGGGATCACTTCCCAAATAAACAACCTGCACACATACCTTTGTCTTAGGTTTGCTTGTGGGGGAACCCAGGCTAGGACACAACCCCGATGTGACTTCCTTAGGGAGACCTTCAGTGACCCCCCAGAGTCCCTGTTATCTGCTCTTACTGTTATATATCCCTGAACTTTTATGTCTTAGAATGTTGTTGTGGACTGATGGTGTCCCTCAAAACTTCAGATGTTGAAGTCCTAATCCCCAATACCTCAGAATGTGATTATATTTGGAGAGAAGGCCTTAAAAAGGTAAGTAGTATAAGATTAGTTCATATGGGTGGGCCCTAAATCCAATATGACTGGCATCATCATGAGAAGAGATTAAGACACAGACATAGAGAGGAGATGGGATCTACAAGCCAAGGAGAGAGGCCTCAGAATGAAACCAGTCCCATAGGCACCCTGATCTTGGACTTCTAGCCTCCAGAACTGTGAGGACATACATTTCTTTCTTTTGTTTTTTTTTTCAAGGACAATGGACATAACTAGACCACGTGCCACTTACGATCTAGCAGGCTAACCCAGGCTTAGCCTGGTTGGCAAGAGCAGCAAGTGACGACAAGCCCAAATGCACAAACGGGGTTCAAAACTTGTCTTTGCATTATGTTTGTTATTTTTTTTAGAAACTACATTAATTTTTAATTTTTATGTTAGTTATTTTTAATTTCATAGGTTTTTGGGGGAACAAGTCATGTTTGGTTACATGGATAAGTTCTTTAGTGGTGATTTCTGAGATTTGGGTGCACCCGTCACCCAAGCAGTGTACACTGTACCCAATATGTTGTCTTTTATCCCTCCCCCTCCCCCTCCCCCTTCTTCCCTGAGTCCCCAAAGTCCATTGTATCATTCTTTTTGTTTGTTTGTTTGTTTTTTGAGACGGAGTCTTGCTCTGTCTCACCCAGGCTGGAGTGCAGTGGTGCCATCTTGGCTCATGGCAGCCTCTGCCTCCTGGGTTCAAGCGATTCTCCTGTCTCAGCCTCTTGACTATCTGGGACTAGAGGTGTGTGCCACCACACCCGGATAATTTCATATTTTTAGTAGAGATGGGGTTTTACCATGTTGGCCAGGCTGGTCTTGAACTCCTGACCTCAGGTGATCCACCCACCTCAGCCTCCCAAAGTGCTGGGATTACAGGCAGGAGCCACCATGCCCGGCTCATTCTATCATTCTTATGCCTTTGTGTCCTCACAGCTTAGCTCCCATTTATGAGTAAGAACATATGATGTTGGGTTTTCCATTCCTGAGTTGCTTCCCTTAGAATAAAGGTCTCCAGTTCCATCCAGGTTGCTGCAAATGCCATTATTTCATTCATTTTTGTGGCTGAGTAGTCCATGGTATGTATACCACATTTTCTTTATCCACTCATTGATTGATGGGCATTTGAGCTGGTTCCATATTTTTGCAATTGCGAATTGTACTGCTGTAAACATGCATGTGCAAGTATCTTTTTTTGTATAATGACTTCTTTTCCTCTGGATAGATACGTAGTAATGGGATTGCTGGATCAAATGGTAGATCTACTTTTAGTTCTTTAAAGACTCTTCACACTGAGGAAATAAATTTCTGTTTGAGCTACTTGTTCTGTGGTATTTATTACATTAAGCAAAGTAGGTGCAGACCCTAAACTCATGGAGCTTACAGTCCTCCAGGAAAGCAATATATTTATAACAGAATAATATAATATAATATATGGCTGTATATTAGTTTGCTCGGCAGCCTGAGCAAACTAATATACAGCCTTCCCTTGGTATATGTGGGACATATACTGTTCCAGACTCCCTCGTATACCAAATTCCACACAAACTCAAGTTCTGTAATTGAACCTGCAGAACCCACGTATACAAAGTCAGCCCTCCATGTCCTTGGTTTCACATACCACAAATACTGTATTTTTGATCTATGTTTGGTGGGAAAAAAATCTGTGGGTAAGTGGACCCTTGAAGTTCATGAGTTAACTGTAAATGTATTATAGTTAGTACTTATATACTTATCTAATTATTCTATTATATTGCTCTCCTAGAGGACTGTAAGCTCCATGAGTTTAGGGTCTGCACCTACTTTACTTAACCTTGTACCTCTTGTGCTTAACACAGCGTCTGGCACTTAGTAGGTGCTGAACAGATTTCTGTTGCATGAATCAATGAATGAAGTCGAAAGCTTTTGAAAGGGTCCAGGCAGTCACTGAGCAGCTATATGAACACAAAGGAGTCAGCTTCAGTCTGAGCCCAGACATCTAGAGGGAGGATGTGAGCACAACATGTAGACTCATAATGGGTTTGGAGTCAAAGAACAGGATTTTTTTCCATAACTAGAAGTACCTAGGAGTCTTCACAAAATGTTAAAATGGTATATTCGGCATGGGTTCTGCCTTTGTATACTGACAGTTTGTTAACACATGGTACTAATCTGAAAACAGAAATGGATTTAAGGATTTATATCGATCCAGGGATTGTTTGGTTCATTCCAGTGAATATTTCCCAATTTAGGGAAGATTGGGATGTTTGGGAATGTCCTTGGTGCTGCCTTGGTGCTGACCTATTCCTCTCCATCACACCACTGCCACTGCCATGTTGCCAATGAATAGCTAGTACCAAATTATAGAATCATTTGATGTTGGTGACATCACAGACGGAGGCAAAATGATATAGTGCAAAGGGCGCCACGCCAGGAATCAGAAGATCCTACCTATTAGCTGATGATTTTAGGTGAATCAGATTCACAGTAATGCTGGCTCCTCATCTCCAATAATGTTGCTCTTCCTGCCTTTATGGGAAGGCTGAGAAGCCTGCCTAGTATTGTATATAGTGGTGGTTAAGGGGCAAATCCTGGCTCTGTTACCTTCTAGTTCTGTGACCTTGGGCAAATTATGTAGCCTTTCTGAACCTCAGTTTTTCTCATTGGTAAATTGGGGTAATTATAAAACCTATATCCTAGGCTCATTATGATGATTTTATTTTATTTTATTTTATTTTATTTTATTTTATTTTATTTTATTTTATTTTATTTTATTTTTGAGATGGAGTCTTGCTCTGTCACCCAGGCTGGAGTGCAGTGGCATGATCTTGGCTCACTGCAACCTCCATCTCCTCAGTTCAAACGAGTCTCGTGCCTCAGCCTCCCAAATAGCTGGGATTATAGGTGCACAACATCACACCTGGCTAATTTTTTTGTATTTTTGGTAGAGACAGGGTTTCACCATGTTGGCCAGACTGGTCTCCAATTCCTGGCCTCAAGTGATCTCCCCGCCTCGGCCTCTCAAAGTGCTGAGATTACAGGTGTGAGCCACTGTGCCTGGCCATTATGACGATTTCAGCATAATGCCTTGTTCAGAGTAAGCCCTCGATATTTGTTGAACTACCATTTATTTAGTAGGTCTTTTTATTTTTCATTTATTTATTTATTTTTGAGACGGAGTCTTGCTGTGTCGCTCAGGTTGGAGTGCAGTGGCGTGATCTCGGCTCACTGCAGACTCCGCCTCCTGGGTTCAAGCAATTCTCCTGTCTCAGCCTCCTGAGTAGCTGGGATTACAGGCGCGTGCCACCATGCCCAGCTAATTTTTTTTTGTATTTTTAGTAGATACGGGGTTTCACCATGTTGGCCAGGATGGTCTCGATCTCTTGACCTTGTGATCCACCCACCTCGGCCTCCCAAAGTGCTGGGATTACAGGCGTGAGCCACCGGGCCCCGCCTAGTAGGTCTTTTTATTAAGATTATAACCCAGGCATCCACTGGGGTCCCCCAGGCCTTTGAAATCAAGATAAGACAGTGTCATTCCCATGCCCTCCTCAAGGGGGCATCTGAACCGGGTTGATGGCTTGCTCTGAGGCCGCTGTGATACCAGGTACTCTCAACTGGTCACCCCTCATCGCTCCTGTGCCCCACCACATCTTGCCTTCCTCTCCCCTCGGGGGAAAGCAGATGAGTGCCCTGCATTGGCACTGCCTCAGTGCTGCTCCGTCTGCGGTTGCCAGACTTAACACCCCCGCAACCCCGACCCTCAGGGTCCAGGTCCCCCAGACAATATATCAAAGATTTTCTTCCCCCAGAGGCATCCTGGTGCCAGCTGTTAAGATAATGGATTTTTCCACCCAACTATGTGATGCAGAGCATCCATTGAAACCCCTGTATAGAAGCTTAGTCAGGAGGGACCTTAAAAGCCGAATCCTTTGTGCTTTGGCCTTGAGAATGTGTCGATAATCAATTAAATGGCCAGCCCGGAGAGCGGCCCTCCCTCCAGCCCGAGCTCAGACTTCACCGTGGTCCCCATTGCAGGATGGGATAGCAAAGTAGGATTTTTGCTGTTTATTTCTTTTGGCGGGGGGAGGGATATAGTTAAAATAGTGAATCTACTGTGTTCCTTCTTCAGAGGCAGCCTTCCATCTTAAGTCTGGCCTGATATCGGGGGAGAAACTTGCTTTTCTTCCATCCCTGGAAGTCCAGCCGGGCTGTGTCCTCACCTCCAGCAGTTTCTCTCCAGGCTGCGGTGTTGTAATAGTCTCCCCTGTGAACACTCCGTGAAGCCTGATGTTAGGTTGGAATACAATTGCAGCAGGAGGGACGATAAATAAGCTAATTTATTTTATCTCACCTGCTTGGAGTTGGGGTCTTTTTTGAACTGAAACAAGCAAATTTATGCAAATGACATGCAAATTAGGCCCTTCCTGGACTAATAAAAAGGAAATTGAAGCCCTGGGTAGTGCCCAGGGCCTGACACAGCATAGAGTGTATTGTGAATCTTAGTGTGCTGTGGGGGGTGAATGGAGGCGCCAGGGAGGGCATGTGTGTCCCGAGATTCAGTGGGGTGAAGGCTGTCAGGTCACCTCTGGAGGTCTCAGGTGGGCAAGGATCTCAGACAGGTCAGGCATTTTGAGGGGTGCTATCTCTTGGCCACCTACAAACCCTCTTCCTCCACTCCTTTCCCTTTCTACCTACCAGGGACCTTGCTTGGTTTAGCCTCAAGTGTGTCTGAGGAGGACCTCTGGAAGGCCCCTGCCCCCTCCTCCTGTTTCCTTCCTTGGTCACAAAGGGCTCAGTTCTGCTCTTACCAATCCCCATAGACACTCTACATCTTTCCTTGGACCTGGCTTCTAGAAAAGCTCACACCTGCGGTCCTAGTGACTCAGGAGGCTGAGGTGGGAGGATCGCTTGAGGCCAGGAGTTTGAGACCAGCCCGGGCAACATAGCAAGACCCCCACCTCTACAAAGCAATTTACAGAAAAGAAAAGCCCCATTTAGTGTCTACCCTAAATCCTTCCAACTGCAGAATAATCCATGCTATTGTGTTGTATCCTAATGGAGACAGATTAGCGCAGAAGTCCTTAACTGTGGCTGCACAACTGGAATCACCCAGAGAGCTTAGACATGCCGAGATTCGGATTTGATTGCTCTGGGGGCCCATATGAGCTTCAGGAGTTCTGAAAGCGTCCTGATGATTCCAGTATGCAGCCCATTTGAGAACTACTGGCTTGACAGGTCACTGGGCTTTATACAATTTATTTTTTGGAGACAAGGTCTAGCTCCATCACCCAGGCTGGAGTGCAGTGGTACAATCATAGCTCACTACAGCCTTGACTCCTGGGCTCAAGTGATCCTGTCATTTCAGCCTCCTGAGAAGAATACGATTGCTTTCGAGTGGGATTTAATGCCCCTCATCTTTCCCCTGTTGCTCATTGGAACTCTAAGGCCCCATTATTTGAGCAACTACTAAGTGCCAGGGGCTTTAGATATCTTGTCCCCCGCAAGCCTCTCAACAGCCCTGTGGGAAGTAGCATCTCCATCTTTTCCATGAGGAAACTGAGGCTCAGAGAGGTGAGGTTTCTTTCCCAAGATCACTCAGCAGGGAAGCAGCAGAGGCAGGATGAGACTCCAGTGGTGCCCTCTCCTGCGCCCCCTCTCATTGTCCTTCCTGGGGATTAGCCCAGCAGAGCTGAGAGGGCTCCTGCAGGCCCCAGGGTTGCAGGGCTCCAGGCCTGGGTTTACTGCTTATCACCTGTGTGACCTTGGGCCTCAACCTCAGCTTCCCCATGTGCGCAATGGGGATAACAACGCAGGCCCCTCCGGCAGTCATGAGGATTAAAGAAAATGAGCAGGTGCTCTGTAAAGCATGAAGTGTGATACCCACATTCGTTATGTTTATTACATGTCCCCTTCCCGCTGGCATCTGTCCCCCTCCCCTCAGCCTCCACCCCACCCCAGCATGCTGAGGGGTTTTGAAGCTTGGATTCCTTGGCCTCCCCTCCCTAGTGCCAGAGGATTCTGCTTAATCCTCCGTGCTCCGCAGAACACAAGTGACTGTCTCCCTGGGAGAACGGGGCGGTAATTAGGTTAAATAATTTAAAGTAACTTTTAATTTTTAAATAATTCTAATTTGCATTTGTGCAATTTACTTTCCTTCTCTCCCCATCCCTCCTCCCCCATGGCTTTCCTTGTATTATTTGTTTGTTTAAAGTTTTTTCTTTTGCTTTTTCCTGGATAACCAATTTGCTTCAAATGGCAACTAGCCAGCTCCACTCAGAATCATCACAGATTGTAAGGCGAAGGTAGGAGGCAAAATCTGCTGACTGGGAAGCATCTGAAAGGCAACTTTGCCCAGCCCTGCAACCCCCTTTAGGAAAACAGGATAAAGAAAAAAAATTGCACATGTGGTTAACTTTCGATTTTCTTTCTGCAAGGGTGTCCACTCAGTGCTTGGTACCTGGTGCTCTGTGGGGTGCTTGATGGAGGCTAGGGAAAACACCAGATGGCTGTCTAGGCTCACTGGGTAGACAAGGGCCAGTAGGTGGAGGGGAGGAGAAGGCCAGGAGTCTGCATACTGGGTTCAGGTACTGGTATCTACTGGTGCTCCCAGCTGCAGGGCCTCAGGCAAGGTGGACCCTCCCTCTGGGCCCTGGGGTCCCCATCTGCAGAGAGGGGAAACCAGAACCAAGCCAGTATGGGGCTTCCATGAGCGTGTGTGCGGGAAGGTCTAGCAGGGTCTGACCGGTGGTTAAATGCCTTCCACTGTGGGATCCCTGATCTGTGAGCAAAGGGAGTCAGGGCCTTGGGGCAGACATAGAGAGGGCTGTAACCTGGCAAGGTTTTTTTTTTTCTTCCTTTCTTTCTTTTCATGTTATAAGTGTTCATAAAATTTTATTTTTTTTGAACAATTTTTATTTGGAAATCATTTCAGACTTACAGGAAAGTTACAGGAAAGATAAAAACAGTACCAAGAATTTATATTCTTTACCCTTCTCTCTCTCATATATATATAGATCCCCAGTGGTTCTCAACAAGAAGCAATTTTTGTCCCCCAGGAGACATTTGACAATCTCTGGACAATTGTGTTGTTTCAAATGCCTGGGGTAAGGATGGGGCATGGGGGGGTGTTACTACATTAGTGCATAGAGGCCAGGGATGCTGCTCGATGTCCTACAGTGCACAGGACAGTCCTCCGGCTCCCCCCAGCACAGAATTATCCAGCCCAAAACGTCAGTAGTGCTAAGGTTGGAAGTGTGTGCATGCGTGTATACTTGAACTGCTTGATAGTTGCAGACGAGATACCCCTTTATCCCTCAACATTTCAATGTGTATTTCCTAAAAGCAAGGGCATTCTCTTCCATAACCACCGTTCAGTTATCAAAATCATGGAGTTCACATTGATACAGGGAAGCCATAGGTATGATGCCGGCTGGCGGATCCTCAGGAAGCACGTGGGACTCTTCGTTAAGGATGCTGGAATCGTACATGGAAATGGACTGAAGCTTGAGCTCTGGGCTGTTGAGATCAAGCCCCACGACCCTGGCCAATTTTGGCATTTTTCTCTCTGTTCCATTGCTCCTCCCCTCCGAGGGTTGTGGATGAGGGGAAATGAGTCCCAGGTAGGAGAGACCGTGCTTTGCGTGTGAGTACACAAGACTGCCGTAATGCCACCAACTCCACCCAGAGCCTTCCTGCTGGAATGAGAGGTGGGGGTGTGAGGGGCAGCCTCTCTCCTGGTGGTTCCTGGTTGCGACACTCCAGCTGTGGCCAGTCTCAGGGTTGTCGACAGGACTTCCACCCTCAGAGGCAGGCCTGGGCTCAGCCACTGAGCCACAGAGAGCAGGTGGGTGCCCCAGTGGACAGGGAGCTGGGCTCCCCTGTGTGTGGAAGAACATGACAGGTATCTGGGAAGGCCTGCTCTTTCTGTCCTTTCACAGAGAGAGGGATGGGGGAACAAAGGAGCTGGCATCAGTGAAGACAGAGAAGTGCTTGGCCAGGCGTGTTCCTAGATTCCAATCTCTTGAGAAATGCTTCCCTTTCCCCAGGAAAGTCCTTTGTAACCTCCACATTGGAATTATCCCAAAACAATATGTTTTAAGATTTGGAATTGGAAAGAAGGAACAAACATTAACTGCTTTCCATGTACCATCACTCTCATATATTTCATCTTAGTTCATCCTTCCTTGCATTTTGAGAGATAGATCATAATTAACACATTTGTTAAGAGAGGAAGCTGGGGTTCAGAGAGGTTAAATAATGCACCTGAGGCCACACACAGCTGGTAGGCAGCAGAGCTAAGACAAAATTGTAGATAGGATTCACTTCAAAGCCAGTGCTGCCTCTAGTTTAAGGCCTGGCTCAGCCATCAGTAGCTCTGTGACCCTGGGCAAGTTTCTTGACTTTTCTGAATCCTAGTTTCCCCTTTTGTAAATGAGGATCATCATGTCTGTTTTCATGGCCAAACAGGACAGAGAGAAAACCTGTCTAGACCATCTCTCAGTTAGATTTTGTCGTTAACACAAATGGTATTTGCCTCTGCATTTGATTCCCTGTCCATGGGGTGAGTGGGTGGAGGCTCAGCAGGGGTGATTGACTTAGCTGGATCAGGACCACTCGGTGATGGACACAGCCCGGGGCTCGAGAGATGGAGACAGGGAGTGCTCCCATAGCTAGACATCTGTCAGGTGCCTTTGCTTGAGGATGATCTCCTAATATATGTAGCTGGCCTGTTTCCTGTCCTACAGTCTCCTTTCTGGAAACTGTCTTGGGTGAGCTCTAAGCCCTCAGAGAATGATGCCAGCTCCTTCCCCACAGGGCAAATTCCAATGGCTTGGGGGCAGAGAAGGGATTCCTCTAAGGCTTGAGGTCCTGGCACCCCAGAGAGGGCCCAGGGGCTGCTGGCCAGTCCCGGGGCAGACAGACCACTGCTGGCTGCCCAGCTCCAAAAACTGCTCTTCTTCCAAAAACTCTAGCCTCCTGGGCCACACTCCAGACCCCAGGGGAAGCTCACCATGAGTCACCCTCTCTGCTTCCCGGAGGGTCTATGCTGTTAAATTCCTCCTCTTTTCCAGTGACATCTAAAGTGATAGAGAAGCCTGAAAATTATGGGGAGTGGTCAACCTGGGTCTGGGGCTCATGGGCATCCATTCCTTTCCATGTCCTCATCTGTCTAGGCGAAGCTGAACCCTATGAAGGAAGGTCCTGGGGCTGCCCCCACCTCTCCCCAGTAGCTGCTGAAGTGGTCCCGATGCCTCAGTAGGATTCAGGCAGGGAAATGATGAGCAAATGCTATGGCACAGAGAAGGGCAGGAGTGAAGGCAACTAGCAGCTTGGAGCTCCAGACCCTCTGAACTGTGTGCCTGGCTGTGTGCTTGACTTTTTAAGCCCCTGCCTGGCCCTGCCTCTTTAATTCCTAGGACTGCCCAGGGCTCTGAAGTTCTGACAAAGACCAAGCCTGCTCCCTGGCTCTGCTTCTGGTGTTCTGGTCTACCTGGTGCCTGGCTGCTGGGTGGGCATCTGACCCACTGCCCCCTGACCTTTGCCATCCTGATGTCGCTGCTGCCTGACACCTCCCCTACCACCTCCCCACACTTTGGGGTGACCTCCTCCATCTCCTGAGTCTTTGACAGGGTCTGGGGAGCAAGTCCAGAGGTTTGGTGGACTCACATGCTCAGGCCAGTGCGTGTGCCCTACTGGAGGGGATTTTTGTCTAAATCCAGATTGTCCTCTGACACTTATCTTCCTACCCTTAAGGCACTGCCAGAGTTTGGGATCCAAGCCCAAAAAGGAAATGATTATATCCAAACACAGCAGTGTTGAAATTGTGGAAAGAAAAAAAAGAAAAAAAACCCCACAAAAGCAAATGTGCTATTTACTTTATGCAAAGTGGCTTTGAGAGGAATGGTAAGGATTAGGGTAGACGTGAGGGAGGCAGGAGTTCCTGCTGGAACAGGGGCGGGTTGTGGGTCTTCTCTGCAGAACTTGAGGCAGCAGGGGCTGGCGGGGCAGTGCAGGGTGGGAGGAGGGTGCAGGGAGCAGGGGTTGTAAATGAGCTGCCGTCCCCACATTCTA
The DNA here is from genome assembly GCF_000001405.40 of Homo sapiens. Lineage (NCBI taxonomy): Eukaryota > Metazoa > Chordata > Mammalia > Primates > Hominidae > Homo > Homo sapiens. Next base: position 289,129 of record NW_003315944.2, on the reverse strand, counting down.
GAGATGTCATTGCTAAGGGATGACCATGGCCCCTTTGGAGGATTTGCTAAGCATTCTTTCAAGAAACGAGTATGTATGGGGTACATCCTGGGTGCCAGGCACTGTGTTGGCTGCAGAACAGACCCGGTGGCCTTCCTGGGGAGTACTATGCAGTGTGAGAGACAAGCAGGAATGAAACACTTGTGTAGGGGGCTGCATGGGACAGATGCATGCAGATGGAGTGAGTGCTTGGAAGGAAAGGAATATGGCTCTAGGAACACGTAAAGCAAAGGAGCCTGCCTTGGTTTGGGTGAACTGGGAAGCAGGCGGGGAGAGTCCTGAGGGAAGGAGAGCTGAGCTGGGATGGAGGATGTGTAGGAGTTCACCAGACAAGAGAAGGGGGTTGGGGGTGGGAGTTACAGAGAGAGATCCTGAGCAGACGGAAACACGGTGCTTTGGGAGAACTCCTAGAAAGTCAGCGAGGCAGGGGTGGAGAGTGAGAGGAGAGGGGTGGAAAGAGGGGTTGAGGGGGAGTAGGTGGGAGGCACCCAGGGCAGGGTGCACATTTTGGTCTTTATACCCTTCCATCTTGAAGGATTTTAAGGTAGGGGGTGGGCAGGTAGCGATGGCGGGGGTGGTTTGGGGTTGTGGGGAGAGTGAGGAGGTGTGAGGTAGCAGTGATGTGGTCAGATCTGTAATTTAAAGAGATCACTCCGACTGCTTTGTGGAGAATGGATGGGGAATGGAGGGTGAAGATGAAATCGGGGCACGGATTCTTAGGGCGGCCCAGGTGAGATGGTGGGAGCTGTGGAAGAGGGAGGGGGATGGGTTCCAGCCCTGGAGACCACAGGCTAGCTGAAAAGCTGCTCAGCTCAGGTTGAAGTGGAAACAGGCATCTTCAGTGTGGGATGCGTGGGGAGGAAGGCCACCTAGATTCTTTTTTTGTTTTCAGTTTTGTGGAGGTATAATTGATGCATATTAAACTGCACATATTTGAAGCATTACAATTTGATGAGTTTTGACATATGTATACACCCAGGAAACCATCGCCATAATAAAGATAGTGAATATATCCATCACCCCCAAGAGTTTTCTTTGTTAATTCATCTGTCCCCCAGCCTGATGTCCAGGCACCCACTGATCTGCCTTTCATTTTTATATATTAGTATGCATTTTCTAGAAGTTTATATAAATGGAAGCATAGTTTATGAATATGTACTCTTTTTTTGCCTGTCTTCTTTCATGCAGCATAATTATTTTGAGATTCATCCACACTGCATATAGAATCTTATTTGGACTTTGCTGCTCAATTTATATCTTGATTAAGTCTCCTGAGACCTTGCAGCGCAAGGTGAGGTCCATGGGACTGCGGCATCTGCATCAGCTGGGAGCTTGTTGGAAGGGCACACCCTCAGCCCCATCCCCACTGCCCAGCCCTCCTGACTCAGAATCTGCATTTTCACAGGATCCCCGATCCCCAGGTGTCTGAGAAGCCCTGTCCTAAGCTCTCTGGACCTCACATTCTTTCCTTGTCTGTGGACTTCAGGTGGAGGGAGTTGAGTCAGTTACACTTAGTTAATAACTCATTGTCATGAACAGCTTTTGTTTGGCCTTTCTTTTGCTTCGTGGCATCCGTTTTCTTTTTTTTTTTTTTCTTTTTGGCAGGGGGGTGTGGGTGGCACGGGGTGTTGGTGGCAGGATGGAATCTTGCTCTGTTGCCCAGGCTGGAGTGCAGTGGCGCAATCTCGGCTCACTGCAACCTCCACCTCCTGGATTCAAGCGATTCTTTTGCCTCAGCCTCCCGAATAGCTGGGACTACAGCCGTGAGCCACCATTCTTGGCTAATTTTTGTATTTTTACTGGAGACAGTGTTTCACCATGTTGGCCAGGTTGGTCTCGAACTCCTGACCATGGGCGATCCTCCCATCTCAGCCTCCCAAAGTGCTGGGATTACAGGCGTGAGCCCCCACGCCCAGCCACCGTGTGTATCTTCTCCTTCCCCTCTCCTCACTCCCGCAGACACCCACTCTGAAGTGTTTGGAATATGTTCTAAAATATGCAAGTAGTGTATCATTGTAAAATATGTAGTGTCATTCTGTGTGTGTGTTTTAAATTAACATACATTTTATTGTGCTACAAATCTTCCATTTCAGCTTTTCTCACTCAACATCGCGTTATTGTGACCACCCATATTGCTCTGCATACATCCGATATGCGGCTCTTTACTGATGGTGAGTTCTCCATAGTGTGTTTCCACTGCCTGCTACTCGTCATGGGTGAGGGACACCTAAAGATGTTTCCAGCTTCTCTCCACCATAAACGGCTTCATCCCCGTGGGTGGAACCTGAGTCTGTGTCTTAGTAAAAGAAGTGTCTTAGACTAAATGACCCATGTTGCCTGCAGCCCTAACTCCCATCGCTTATTTTGCAAGTGGAAAGACCATGGAGACTTGCAGGCCTGCAAACTGTCAGGCAGAAGATCTGAATAGTTATGTTTTCCTTTGAGTTAAGTTTGTAGCTGACACCAGGGATGGTCTGAAATCCTTTGATAGTCAGAGTCCCTGAGACCTTCTCTTGTCCCCTTGAGCTCCTGAAGTGCTTTAACTTCTGATTTTTTTTTCTCCCTGCGAATAATACACCAGCTGCTCCAGGGAGCTCAGTGTTGCACCAGTTTGCAGGTCTGTTTAAAATCCCGATTCTGCAAACTCCTCAGAAGGAAGTGACAGTTCTTACTCCTGTGTGATCATTTATAGATCAGGTAATGATTTCCCTGTTGGCTTGACAGTTCTATTCTTGGGACAGCTGGTCAGCTTGTCAAATACTGCTGATGTTCCCTCTGGTGTGGGCCCCGAGGATCAAACACCCACACACCGTGGTTCTATCTGCCATTCCTGCTTACCTGTGGCACCTACAAGTGGCAGGAAAAGTTACTTCCTTCAGAGGAATCTCAGGGCTTGTGAGAGGATGGGGAGCAGGCCCGTGGAGGGGTATGAGGACTGGCAGACTCTATTTGCCGTTGGTCCCGAGATCATCAAAAGGCATGTCTATCTCCTTCCCTATTCCACCTGCTGTTGTCCTTAGAGGGGGTGCCTTGCAGAGGAGGAGGCTGGGAAATATGGGAGGAGTTCCACTGTGAGGGAGGGGGCCGCCCAATGACTTTTCAGAGGGATTCAGCAACTGTTAATGAGACTCTACCAAATGCCAGGCTCTGTGCTGGTTTGGTGGGGCTTGGGCAGAAGGTCTGGCTGGTTGCCCAAGGGGACATTCCTCTAGGAGAACTTCAGTGGAGCCCTTCCTCATTTAGGAGCAAACAGATTAGTATTCATGGAACTCACAGGATGGGAGGTCAGTTCCTCTGGACTACTGTGAAAAGAACTTTGCTCTCAATTACCAGGGCTGATAAGCGGCAGAGACACAGCGCCCCTCCCCCAGCATTGGCACTAAATAAAAATTTAATTAAGAAAAATTAGTCTATGCCTGTGGTTCCCAAGGGTGGTCTGTAGACCTGTGCTAGACTGCAGCTAACTTTCCACAGATGAGATTAGGAAAATGAGAACAGAGAAAGTGAGTTCTTCATGAAGCTAAACATATTCACTATTAAGGACTATTCTTTCTAAGATTGGCATCCTACATCCCTGGTATTCAGGAAATTGGGATGATAGTAGAAGTTATAGTAGAAGAGAATAGAAGATGACCGCAAAGTCCTTATGTGGCTAAATAAAAAGCTGGCAAATTTCTGCCAGGCTCACTAAAGTGTGAATGTGTGTGCATGCGTGTGTGCATTCAAGTGTGCATAAATCTTACTGTTCTGTGAACCTCCAAATTCTGAAAAAAAACAAAAACAAAAACCTGAGCCTGGGAGGTTGAGGCTGCAGTGAGCCGTGTGAGCCGTGATTGTGCCACTGCACTCCAGATCCTGGGCGACAGAGTGAGACCCTGTCTCAACAACAACACAAATTCTGTGAATCTTCAAAGTCTGATAACAACAGGCAACACCAATCAGACATTGATTCTTAGCTTCTTCCCCAAATGGATAACACATTGTATCTAATTTTTGCCTAGGTAATATGTTACTTTGTTTCTAATAATAACAGATTTTTGTTAAGATAAAAATCTTCCCTTTGGAAAAGGAGCAAATGCTTAAAATTAGGTTACTTTAGCAAACATTTACATTTTAATGAATATATTCTGTTAAAAATCGCATAAGATGTAAATGAGCGCAGCCGGAGGAGCTGGTGAGTGGTCAGCTGAGGGCAATTGAGATGCAAAAGGCTCTTCTGTTGTGGGCACAGGGTCACAGCCAGGGCCGATTAGGGGCCTGGACCAGGCAGCCCAGTTCCTTTGCTGTATTTAAATGGAGAGGCAGAGTGAGAATGTAATTAAATTGTGGCCGTAGAGCTAGACAACTTAACTAGAGCCCCCTCATGCTACATGCTCCAGAATTTAATTTTCCAAATAAACTCAGTGTGGCTTTGATGCCCGGGGAGGATCAATAGAATGGAAATTGCTTGCAGTTTCCCCTAAAGTGTTACAATGGATTACCGCTCTCACATTTCTCCTTCATGCTCCTTTTTTTCTGCCAGAGAGAGCCTGGTATTCATTCTAGGCACATACTGTTTAAGGAAACAGAAAAATAAATGAATAAAAAAGGAAACTACAAGCCACTGTCAGGAGGGGGATGAGACTGTGTCCTTCCGCCTGTGAGGCGAGGGCTCCTGGGTCTCTGTGAAGGAAAACAGCATCACCATTTGGCTCTATGGGGCTGGCTCAGGATGGGGTATGGGGAGGGGTTGTGTGTGGCATTGAGGTTCCCTGAGAAGGGACGTGGAGGGTCTTTGGTTCATCCGGTCACCTTCTCAAGAAAGGCACCCAGGAAGGTGACCAAACCTCAGGTCCTAGGGGTGCAGCTGCCTGGAACCTCACTGCTTGCCCATCTGCTCTGGAGTCCTGGGGAATGTTCTAGCTCCTTCACATTCTCTCTGAAGAGTGGGGTCAGGGCACGGCCCTGGCTACCAGTGGCTTGCTTGTTCCTCTGGGGCTCAGAGTGCAGAAGATGACTGTCAGTCACAGGCTATTTGGAGTTGTAATTTGAATTTTTCAACTGTGGAGAACTTTACAGAGTCAGAACTCTCTCCTTTTTTGTTCCTTTGGGAGATACCAATGAGCTTATAGAGTTGGCAGGAAGAAGGGACTCTTGGGAGCAAGGTTTCTGGATCATAGGTCTCCCAGCTATCGAGGGCTTGGTAAACCCTTGCCTGGTTCTGATGGTGAGGACAGGCCAGGACCAGGAGAGTAGGAGACAGAGCAATCCAGCAGTCCTCTGTTAGGCACCGTTTGTGTGTCGGAGGGTGTTAGGCACTGTGTGTTGGTGGGGGTGGGGGGGTGGTGGCAGGGGCAGGCTTGCAGAGATAAGACAATCCTTGTCTTCAAGGAGTTCATAGATTAGATAAGTATCCACGTGGCTTTAATTCTGGGTGGGGTAACATGGGTTTGGGAACCTGAAACCCGGTTGAGTACAATCTCCTTATTTTGCATTTGGGGAAACTGAGACAGGGAGGTAGGTTTTTCCTGGTTGCACTCTCTACATTCTCGCATGCTGTTCCTCTTGGCCTGAGCAGGCTCAGGGACGTGGTGCACTGCAGGGTGAATGGAGATTCAGAGCTTCACAGGCGGAGAGCCTGTTCCTGAAGGTCTGCGAGTTGCTTTGGGCTCTTCTGCTCCCCTCCTCCCACGTGTGGTAGAAGTTCCAGAATCACCAACCTCCAGCTGGGCGGAATGGCTCATGCCTATAATCCCAGCACTTTGGGAGGCTGAGGCAGGTGGATCACCTGAAGTCAGGAGTTCAAGGCCAGCCTGGCCAACATGGTGAAACCCCATCTCTACTAAAAATACAAAAATTAGCTGGGTGTGGGGGCGTGTACCAGTAGTCCCAGCTGCTCAGGAGGCTGAGAAGGGAGACTCTCTAGAACCTGGGAGGCAGAGGTTGCGGTGAGCTGAGATCATATCACTGCACTCCAGCCTGGATGACAGAGAGAGACTTCATCTCAAAAACAAACCAAAACAAAACAGAGTCACCAACCTCCTAGAGCTGGGGCTGTGATGCTTCCCGGGCTGACAGATTGACCCTGTTTTGAGATATCCGGAGAGTGAAAGTACTGGAAAATTAATTAGCAGCAGTAGACACTGGCTACCCGGAGGCTACAGGAATTTATGGGGTTTTTGTTTCTTTTTTGTCATGGAATAAGTTTTCAGCATGTGTGTTGATTGATTTCCTGCTAAGTTCCTCTCTGTCTTAAAAAAAATAAAACAACTCTCAGAGTTTGGAGTCCGTTGAAGCATGTTAATGACCTTTTTTCCGAATCACTTCTTCTTGGTATTGTGTCTATCCCCCACCCCCACTCTCCTTCTCTCTCTTTTGCTTCTGACTTTCAGACAGGCAAGGGGTTGGTCCCTCTGAAGGGCTGGGACCCAGGACCCGGGTGAGGCAAGCTGAATACCTGGGGCTGAAACATTTAAGGAGGCACTCACTCTCAGGGTCTGCAAATGCAGGGTCAGCATCTGAGAGTGCGGGCTTCCTTAAATGCTGCCCTAGGCACCTGCTTGTCTTACCTAGGTCCTGGATTTGCTCTCCTGACTGCTGTGCATGCCACATTCAGGGGAAGAACCAAACAATATCTGGGGAATTCAGGTGCTAAAACCTCATGGACAGCAACAAACAGAGCTGGCCGTGAGCTAAACAGACCAGGGTACACCACTGCAAACAGGTATTAATAGGAAGAGCAAGTTTTCATTTAGAGGCCTCATGTCCTGTGTTAACTGGGATGGAGCTGGACAACTGCCCAGCGCTCCCTTCTCTGGCCTGTTTGGTTCCTGAGGCAGACCAGAGAAAAGCCCTCAAAAGGGTAGTGAAGAGCCAGGTGCAGTGGCTCACGCTTGTAATCATAGCACTTTGGGAAGCCGAGGAAGGCAGATCGCTTGAGCCCAGGAGTTCAAGACCAGCCAGGGAAACATCGTGAGATTCCCTCGTCTACAAAAAATTAAAAATTAGCAGCGCATGGTTAGCCTGTAGTCCCAGCTATTTGGGAGACTGAGGTAGGATTGCTTGAGCAAAGTGGCGGTGGGGCTGTAGAGGCTGCAGTGAGATGTGATAGTGCCACTGCACTCTAGCCTGGGCAATAGAGTGAGACCCTGAATCAATCAGTGAAAAAGAAGGGCAGGGCATGGTGGCTCACACCTGTAATCCCAGCACTTTGGGAGGCCAAGGCAGGCAGATCGCTTAAGCTCAGGTGTTCCAGACCAGCCTGGGCAACATGGCGAAACCCCGTCTCTACTAAAAGTACAAAAATTATCTGGGCCTGGTGTCATGCATCTGTAGTCCCAGCTACACTAGGGGCTGAGGAAGGAAGATCGTTTGAACCCAGGAGGTTGAGGCTGCAGTGAGCTGTGATTCCGCCACTGCACTTCAGTCTGGGTGACAAAGTGAGACCCTGTCTCAAAGAAAAAAAAAAAAAAAGAAGAAAAAGGCAATGGAATTGGGGAAGGGGGCAGACAGGGTGCTGTGCTCTGAGTTGCTTTTTGGAGCTCACGATACTTACAGTGCTTTGGTGGAGGTAAAGTTAAAAAAAAACAAAAACAGCCGTTACTAATTTAAAATGTGCCGTTCCCCTCATCCCACCCCCTGGAACCAGAGGAGAGGAATTATTGAATATGTGACATCGGAGGAGAAAGATTACTGTGCATATTAAGCAAGGAGAAGAGTGATTGCTGAATACATGATGTAAAAGGAGATAGTCACCACAAATTAAACACAAAAAATTCAGTGGAAAATAATTATTGTCTATACATTATAGGCTTGACTTATGGTAAGTTTTCTACTTTTTAAAGCCTCTTGTAATTTCTCGATAACCCATTTAGCTGTCTGGTTCCCACTACCCCACCCCATCCCTGCCATGCATCTACGCTATCAGAGCAAAGTTATTTTCTTGGCTTTTAACTCCTTGTGGGGATTTTCCCAGCCATATATATGAATAATTTGGGGGAAGATAAGGACCCCAAAAGGACCTCTGGGGTTTTCTGAGCTCCCTTTGGTCATGTCTGCAGAAATCTCCCAAATCCTGGAGTCCCTAAAATGTTCTCTGACTCTTTCTCCTCTACGCCCACCCAAGGTGTAGTATCCTTGAAAGGTGGGAGTTACCAGGGGTTAGATCAAATGGTAAGGGAGGGAGTGGGCTGGCCTAGGCATGGCCTGTGAACTTTGTCATTGCTTGAAGCTTAAGATCTGTGGGGAACTTCTCTCAGGTGCCAGATGATTGTTAGCTTGACTGTTCCTGTCAGGATCTGGTAGGTGGCTGAAACACCCAAGGCCATCTCTCAGGCAGACAGAACCCCTATCCTGTGGTCATCTGGCCCAGCTTCATCCTAAAACCATCTGGGAACCTCCCCAGAGCAGAGGACTGGAGTAAACGGGCTGGCTCAGCAGCAAGAAAAAATCAGCAATGCAAGATGAAGCGCTTTCCAAAAACAAAGTTTAGCTTCTAGACCAGAACTGTCCAAAGGGTCCTCTGCAGTGATGGAAATGTTTTCTGTCAACACTGGCCATTGCAGTAGCCACTAGCCGTGTGTGCCCATTGAGTTCTTGAGATGTGGCTGAGTCACTGGTGTGACTGAGGCTCTGAGTTTTAAATTTTATTTATTTTGATTAATTTAGATCTAAATAGCTACATAAGGCTACTGTATGAAAGAGGGTATGCCTGGCAGACATCTCCTTTATCCCCCCTCCACCCCAGCCTCCCTACCCTCCATATCTTGGCTATTGTGAACAGTGCTGCAATAGACATGGGAGTGCAGGTATTTCTTCAACATACTGATTTCCTTTCCTTTGGATAAATACCCAGCAGTGGGACTGGTGGATCCTATGGTAGTGCTATTTTTAGTTTTTTGAGAAACCTCCATACTGTTTTCCGTAATGGCTGTCATCATTTACATTCCCACCCACAGCTTGTAAGAGTTCCTTTTTCTCTGCATCCTCATCAGCATTTGTTATTTTTTTATAATAACCATTTTAACTGGGGTGAGATGACATCTCATTGTGGTTTTGATTTGCAAATCCCTGGTGATTAGTGATGTTGAACATTTTTATATATGTTTATTGGTCATTTGTGTATCTTCTTTAGAGAAATGTCTGTTCAGATCGTTTGCCCAGTTTTTAATGGGATTATGTGTTTTTGTTGTTGTTGTTGTTGAGTGCCTTATATATTCTGGATATTAGTCCCTTGTCCCATGAATATTTTGCAAATGTTTTCTTCAATTTTATAGATTGTGTCTTCACTCTGTTGATTCCATTGTTGTGTAGAACTTTTTAGTTTGATATAGTCCCATTCGTCTATTTTTGTTTTTGTTGTCTGTGCTTTTGAAGTCTTCCCCATAAAATCTTCACCTAGATCAATATGCTGCAGTATTTCCCCTATGTTTTCTTCTAGTAGTTTTATAGTAATGGGTCTTACATGTAAGTCTTTAATAGATTTTGAGTTGATTTTTCTGTATGATGAGAGATAGGGCTCTAGTTTCATTCTTCTGCAAATGGATATCTAGTTTCCCTAGTACCATTTATTGAAGACAATGTCCTTTCCCCATTGTATGTTCTTGGCCCCTTTGTTGAAAATCAGTTGGCTGCAAATACATGGATTTATTTCTGGGTTCTCTAACCTGTTTTATTGGCTTATATGTCTGTTTTTATACCAATATCATGCTTTTTTGGTTACTATAGCTTTGCAGTCCATTTTGAAGTCAGGTAGTGTGGTGCCCCCAGCTTTGTCTTTTTGCTCAGGATTGTTTTGGCTCTTCAGGGTCTTTTGTGGCTCCATACGCATTTTCGGGTTGTTTTTTCTATTTCTGTGAAGACTGTCATTGGTATTTTGATAGAGATTGCATTGGATCTGTAGATTGCTTTCACCATTCTTATTTAACATAGTACTAGAAATCCTAGCTAGAGATAGGCAAGAGAAAGAAATAAAAGGCATCCAAATTGGAAAACAGGAAGTAAAATTGTCACTCTTTGTAGACAATGTGATCTTATATATAGAAGAACCTAAAGACTTCACCAAAAATCTCTTAGACCTGATAAAAAAATTCAGTAAATTGGCAGGATACAAAATCAACACACAAAACTCAGTAGCATTTCTATACACCAATTACAAACTAGCTGAAAAAGAAATCAAGAAAGCAATCTCATTTACAATTGCTACAAAAAAATACTTAGGAGCAAATTTAATAAGGAAATGAAAGTTCTCTACAATGAAGACTATAAAACACTGATGAAAGAAATTGAAGAGGACACATACAAAAAAGAAAGACATCTCATGCTCATGGGTTGGAAGAATTAATATTGTTGAAATGACCATACCACCCAAAGGTATCTACAAATTAAAGGGACTGGGGGTTTTGACTCCTTTTGGAATGATCTATGTCAGTTCCTCAGAGCAGCTTCTTCCAACAGCTGAGATAGCCCCACAGGTGGGGCTGGGCTGGGCTTCTTCCCTGTGGCTCTATTTCAGGAAGGGCATTATGGGGTTGGGATCATCTAGAATGCAGTACCAGGATTAAAGGCCACTGCTTCTCCTTCTCCCTGGAAAAATGCAGAGTTATATCACTTACAGCACTAAAGCTCATCTGATCCAACCAACCCCACATGTTACAGGAGAGGCCAGGAGGCAAGAAGGGCTAAGCGGCAGGGTTGAGAGAGGATCCAGGTCTCCTGATCCCCAGCCCAGAGGTTTCCCCTACACCATGCCTCAATTCACCGGGGTGAGTTTCTCTTGATTAAGTCTCGGGCACATGCTTAATTCCCCTCTTGGGAGGGATGGAGATAGGGCTGTTACCAGAGGTTTATAATAGAACAGCCCCACCTCCATCTCTCTGCAGCCCCTTTCTGATCTCTGGCCTTATCCTTCCCTTTGGGGAGGCTTTCTGGGTGATAGCCTATTCCATCTCAAGATGACCATGGAAATAGGATTTGCTGATGACTTTTAGGCTTGGGCCAGGTATATATGGACTTGGCAGTTTTCGTGGGTTCTCAATCCCTGTGAAATAATTGAGACCAGGCCAGAATGAAGTGTCAAGTGTGGACCACAAAGTGGTGAGCAGACAACCCATCACCAGGTGCCTTGAAACACAGGGAGAGGATTCTGCCTCAGGAGACAGAGGACATATGGGAGCATGTCTCAGGCTATAGAGGAAGGCAGGGTCGGCCCCTCTGAGGACTGTTCTGGAGCAGAGGCACTTGACCATCCAAGAGAATATTGACTTGAGCTGCCAGGATGGGCTGTTGATTTGTGGCAAACTGTCCAAGGGTGGTCTCTGCAGGAAGCAGGTGGTCAGGGCCTTTTCCCTGCAGTGAATGACTCCTGTGATGGTAGAGGGTGAGTTGGACCCTTCGTGAACAGCTCGCAGGGCTCGGAGTTGTCCCTGTCGACCTCACTGGTCTCCTTCCTGGGGAGGGGAGGGGTAATGGTGGAGGGAGGCAGTTCACAGCTATAGGAGAAACTCCAGTAGAAGTTTATTGACTAAATAATCACCTTCTGTTGGCTGGGTGTGGTGGTTCACACCTGTAATGCCACACTTTGGGAGATTAAGGCAAGTGGATCACCTGAGGTCAGGAGTTTGAGACCAGCCTGGCCAACATGGTGAAACCCCATCTCTACTAAAAATACAGAAAATTAGTAGGGCATGGTGGCGGGCACCTGTAATCCCAGCTATTCAGGAGGCTGAGGCAGGAGAATCGCTTGAAACCGGGAGGAGGAAGTTGCAGCGAGCCAAGGTCGCACCACTGTACTCCAGCCTGGGCCACAAGAGCGAGACTCCATCTCAAAATAAATAAAAATTAAAAAAAAATTGCCTTCTGTCATGAAGGACTTATGTAAAAAAGAGAGGCTTTGGGTGGAAACTTGGACCCCAGATCTATTGGTTTGGTTGGGGTTTGCTTGTGGTAGAGATGGTCTAGGGTTTGGCATTTTCAATAGGTGCACTGTTGCCTGAGGGGACAAATACAAAGACCATAAGAAAGGGTGCTCCAGGCTACAGAGCCACTGAAAGACGGATGTCCCCGACATCTGGAACGTGCTGTGGAGGAGGGCGTTTGAGGTGCATCAACACTGCTGTCTCTGGGCAGGCACAGGTTCTTTGAGCCCTGATAGCACCTTGAACACTCCCCTCCCAGGGTAGCCCATATACAAAGAGATGCATACTGCGGTCAGGAGGGACAGAAAAGGGACGCGGAAAAGTCAGGCTGGTGAAGTCTCATTAGACAGAGTCAAAAGACTGGAGTTTTGGAGCCAGCCCTGCTGTGACTGCGTGTGACCTAGGGCAAGCTGCAGTCCTGTCTGAGCCTGTTTCCTCATTGGTAAAATGAGAGGTATTGGTCAGGGTTCCCGTAGGGTTCCAGTAGGAGACAGATGGCACAGTAAAGCTGGGTAATTTGATGGGAGCTGAATAAAGGGACTTTTACAAAGGTGTGGCAGAGTATGGGGGAAACACAGGGTGGTGCAGCCCCTGGAGTGGGTGACAGTGGGACTGCTGGGGCCTCAGACCTGAAGGGGTGAGGGAAGGGAGCATTAGGAGAGAGGGGGGATCACCTGATGGGAGCTGTGATCTTCATGACACAGGCAGCCTGTGGTAGCCCTGCGGGGAAAGCCCAGTCCAGTAAACACCCAGCCTCACGCCCCTCCCTCCGATCTGCTGCTGCTCCTCATTGGCTGAATGCAAGTAGAAGCAGAGGGCAAGGCTGCCGGTTGATGCTGTCCACACAGCTCTGCCCACCAGGCCACGGAGCAGGCAGGGCCGTGAATGTGAGGGGTGAGTGGACAATACCCAGCCCACGAGGCAATGGACTAGGTAGCCTTCCAGCTCCTGGAGGGAGGCAGGGTGAGAGGAGACATTTTTTGATTCCTGCTGATGTCTTGGGTCTCCACTCTTGCAAGACAGTGCCTCCCCTGCCTGCCCTGTTAAAGGTGGTGGTCATTCTCCTGCCGAGCAAACTTCCGACTCCAGCCTAGTCCTGGAGGAGGCGGAGGACCATCTCCCTCACTGAGCCATCCACCGCCACCATCCGTCACTCTGCCAGCCGTGTGAAGTAATGATAGATTAGTGCACATTAGGCCTCCCATCCTGCAGGCCTAAAAGCCGGGGCTTTACCAATCAGTGTGGGGTGAAGCGGTGTGAGGTGAGCCAGGCTCTGCGCAGGGAGCTGGAGGCGCCGGGAATTAATAAGCACTTGGAGACGGCGGGGATATTGAACTCATTCCTTAAATCAATCCTTAACCAAGAAAGATGAGGGAATGAAATTTTGGACAATTAGTGGGTAATGATGACCTTGTGAAAAGAGCTGTTGACAAAGGGTGAAGCGGGGAGAGGGTGAGCGCTGGGGGTGGGGGGAACTGGAGGAAAATGCGCATGGTAGTGAGTCTGCAGGGCTGGGGGGACCCTCTCAGACAGGAGGGAGCGTTGCGTGGGGGTTCTTGCAGATCGGCTTTGGGGGAGCAGACAGGTGGGAGGAGTCCCCATGTGGTTTTAGAAAAAGAGACAAGGTCAGAAAAAGAGACAAGCTAGAGAGAGCCTCTGGAGACGTGCACAGGGTGACCCAGAATGCAGGTGTCCCTCCTCCTCCCACCTCTCCATTCCCTTCTTCAGGGACCCCCACCCATGTCCCCAGCCCCATGTAGGGTGAGGGACCAGCAGTCCTCTCTGTCCTTGGAATCTTAGAGTACTTGGAGCAAGGGGCGTTTTCATCATCCTCCGTCTGCTCCAGCATTCACAGGAGCAGGACCAGAATCTTAGAGGCAAGGGCCTTGCCCTGGCACCACTGGTGGGACCCTAGCTCTCCTCCCAGTCCCAGCTTCCCCGATTCTCTGTCTTTTTGACCGCCCCCGTGGTTGAGCAGATACCTGCCCCGGCCTGCAGGTCTGGCAGAAACATTGGTGTTCTCCTTCCCCTGGCAGGACATGGCATCCTGCATTGGTGCTGTGGTCACCGTGACTCCAACAAGAGCCACAGCAGCAACAGCGGCCTTCACCATGCAGGAGTCCTCTTCAGCAGCTTCTTCAAGCAGAGCTTGAGACAAGGCTCCAGGACCTGTGACTTCCTGGGGTGCTTTTCAGAAAGAAACCTGAAAGGGAGGGAGGGAGGCAGGGTGGGAAGAGGAAGGAGCTGAGCGAGGACATGGCGTCACATCCATCAAGTCCACCTTTGGTGGTCCCCCGGGGCAGGGCTTTGGAGCCTGAGCTGGACCTCCGAGTGGTGCCCTGGTGGGGAGTGAGCCAGCCTCTGGCATTAGGCAGTTACTGCCTGTGAGCTGTCAGGAAGGGGAATTGACCACCTCCTGGACAGGGGCTGCAGTCAGCTGAGGGCCGTGCTTGTGGGGAGGGAGGTGGGGATGGGGAGTGGGGGTCTTCAGCAGCCCACCTCACAGCAAATGGGGGAAGGGGCATCACAGTGTCCACTTCAAAGGCCCCCCTCCCATTCTATGAGGGATGACGACAATAATAAGAACCTCTTACACCTGTATAGAACATCACAAACTACTGGTTCCTTTCAAAAAATTATCTTACTCAACTCACTTGGCAAGAAGGATTTGATCTCCATTTTACAGACAGGACGCTGAAGCCCAGAGAGGTCACATGGCATGCCCTGATAGGCCAGGAAGCTGGGCCTGAACCCATCGCAGCTACTGAGTGGATTCAGCTCAGATTGTCCACCCTGTAGACTTCCCTGTAAGAGACTCTGCTGTCTTCATGGGAGAAAGAAATGGCCCCAAATAGAGCATGCTATGAGTGTCTTGCACACAGTTCCCCCACCCTACCCACCACCTGCTTAGCCAATCTCTTCTGCAAAACGCAAAATATCCAGAAGAGCTCTCCTCTCTGGAAACGCCCCTGGCAGGCTGAGCGGTGTCAGGAAGGAGGCACAGCTCACCACCCTGGCCTCCACAGGTGCTCTCCATCTGCCCCATCTCTCCTAACACGCACCCAGGTTCTGACTCAGGCCTTCCTCCTGTTGCTATTATTATTGTGATTATAGAGAAGAGGTTATTCTGTCTTTAGTGCAGTCTTTTTGGTAGAAAGATGAACAAAAGGAGCTACACTTAATTTAAAATGACAAGTTAGGTTTCATTCTGGAATTTTTTTTTTTTTCGGCAGACGGTCTCTTAGTAAATTACATCTGACACCCCAAAATAAATTGTGCAGAAGGACACTTTATGCAGTTTCTGTGGACTCATGGGGCCCAGTTCCTGGGATGGCAGGGTGAAGGGAGCTTGGAGAAGGACTGGCCAGTTGTACAAACTGTGTGTATGTGACCTGCCGGGATGGTCCGGCTGCCGCGGTGCTCCTGCTCCGCCTGCGGGTAGGAAGGAACCCAGCAGCGCTGGCCGTCTCACCCAACCACCCGGGGTCAAGAAGGAGCTATCCTGGTCTACGATGCCTTCTTCACAAGGATTAGCTGCAAAAAAGAAAATGAAACAAAATGGGGCAGGGAAGCTTTAGATAAGGAACCAAGGACGTGGCATCTTTGAAAGTTTTCCCAAAGGAGATGTCAGTGCTCGCTGAGACAGCCAGAATTTACTTTAGCTATTACTATGGATGAATAATTATGGGCAAGCCAGCAAGTATGCGGGTTCACCGCAGGTTAATTGGGAATAATGGGTTTCATTCCAAACCATGAGAAATGATATTTCAGAGAGAGAGAGAGAGAAACTGACTCTGTTCTCCCTCACTGAGTGTCAGGACCATCCCTTCCCTGCACATTTGGCTCTGCTGGTCCCGGCCAAGTCTCTCGAGTCTAGACATCTGGGCCTGGGCTTTTGTTGGGCAGACGGTGGAGGGTCGGAGGCTGGGGGCTGAAGCCAGGGAGATCAGGTGGCTCAATTGCATCATTTTCCCTTCTGAAATCAGACTGGGCAGCCTGGCGTTTAATCCTTCAGCGAATGTGTATTGAGTGGCTGCGTCAGGCAGGACGCTGCGGTCTGTGCACCTCCGTGAAACCACATGGTGCTGAACAGAAGCTGCCTGGGGTGATGGAGGCAGCATCGACCAGATAGTGCAGTCTAACAGAAATAAAATGCTAGCCCCACATGCGAGCACATGTGGGATTTTAAATCTTCCAGCAGCCACTTTAAAAAAGTAAAAAGAAACAGGTGACTTTTATTTTATTTTATTTTTTGAGTTGGAGTCTCACTCTGTCACCCAGGCTGGAGTGCAATGGCACGATCCTGGCTCACTGCAACCTCCACCTCCCGGGTTCAAGCAATTCTCCTGCCTCAGCCTCCCAAGTAGCTGGGATTACAGGCATGCGCCACCACGCCCGGCTAAATTTTGTATTTTTAGTAGAGATGAGATTTCACTATGTAGGCCAGGCTGATCTCAGGTCACCATGTTGAACTCCTGACCTCAGGTGATCCACCCACCTGGGCCTCCCAAAGTGCTGGGATTGCAGGCATAAGCCACCGAACCCAGCCTTATTTTAATAATGTATCTTCTTTAACCTGTTATATCCAAAATGGTATCAGATTATTCCTTCAACATGTGGCCTATATATGAAATTAATGAGATATTTGAAACAGCACATCTCAGTTTGGACTGGTGGCTTCCCTCCCCAGGTATTCTCCCTCTGCCCCATCTGTAAGTCACTGAGCTGTAAGTGCTCAGTAACTTACATCAAGTGCTCAGTAACCATATATGGCCAGTGGCCATCATGCTGGATGGTGCAGGAGCAGATCATCACTGATCTCACAACCACACACAACTGTGGGTGTTCTGCAGAGGAGAGGGTCACACAGTGTCCAGTGGGCAGGCCTGATAGTTGGGCAGGAGCTGGAGGGCATCAGAGGAATTACCATTTGATGCAGTCTGAAGGAGAGGCAGCAGTTACCAAGACAAGGGAGTTAAGGCAAAAACATTCCAGGCAGAGGGAAGTGCATGTGCAAAGGCCACATGGGGAGTTGAAGGCTGAGAAGGCCACGGTGGCTGGAATGTGGTGAGCAAGGAGAAGACGAGCTGGAGGTGAGGTTGCTCCATCAGGTAGGAGCTGGCGGGACTGGAATGCACCGTGAGCATTTTGGTTTGATAGGAGGAATCGCGTATAAGCAAGGGTTGATAGGATCAGATGTGGGTTTTCTGAAGCTCCCTCTGGCTGCTGGGAGGAGCCTGGCCTAGGAGAATGCAGGAGGCCCATCTTGGAGGCTGCTGCAGAATGCTGCCTGCCCAGCAGGGGTTCAGGGGGGAAAGGCTACATCCCCTGAGGCCAGGCCAGTGATGGCCTCTTCAGAGCTGCTGCCCCTTCCCCCCGGCCTCACAAAGTCTGAGAGGCACCAGCGTGGTTAAAACTTACCCATGTTTTGAGCAGATCAGTGCAGTTTGACCTGCCTGGAAGTTAGGGCTGTAGATGGAGATTTCAGCTCCAGTTCCTAGCTATGTAACCTCAGACAGATTTCACATTTCTTCTCTCTATCCATGGGCCTTCTTTTTTGTTTGTTTGTTTGTTTGTTTGTTTTGTTTGTTTGTTTGAGACGGAATTTCGCTCTCATTGCCCAGGCTGGAGTGCAATGGCGCAATCTCGGCTCACTGCAATCTCTGCCTCCCGGGTTCAAGCGATTCTCCTGCCTCAGCCTCCCCAGTAGCTGGGATTACAGGCCGGCGCCACCATGCCTGGCTAATTGTTTTTGTATTTTTAGTAGAGACGGAGTTTCTCCATGTTGGTCAGGCTGGTCTCAAACTCCCAACCTCAGGTGATCCGCCCGCCTCGGCCTCCCAAAGTGCTGGGATTACAGGTGTGAGCCACCGTGCCCAGCCATCCATGGGCCTTCTTTAGCTGTATAAAAATGAAGCAGCAGAAGGGCATGTGGACCAAGGGTTTCTGAAACGTCATGAGAGTAGGATGGAGTCTCCCTCTGGGTTGTCTTGGGGCACAACCTCTTCTGCCCCGGCTGGCCCTGGGCTTGGGCACTTTCTTTCTTTACCCCCAGGGTGGGAGCCATGGTCCATCACCCTGGGGCTGTTTGCCTTTATCAAGATGCCCAGCTCCATGGTGGCTCTGCCCACTGGAGCCATGTGTCTATGAAAGGCAGGGCTGTAAGTCAGCGTTCAGGTGAGGAGAGAGGATGCCCCTTGGAACTCTGCATCAACTATGACCTCAAGGGCCATGACCAAGCTGAGTGTGTCCAGGGGAGGAAGGATAGGAGCAGGGAACCTGAAAGGCACATCCTGAGGGGCAGTTTGGCCTGACTCTGCTGTGTTCTCCACCCTGTAGCTGTAAGAATCGAAACCTTTATTCACTTGTACTTTTATTTAGAAGATATTTATTTATCCAGGATTGCTGTGTGCCAGGTGGCGTGCCAGGGCCTGGGATGCCAAAGTGAGTGTAGACAGGGTCAGAGAGAGCATTTCAGAGACGATGACTTGAATGACAAGGCGGAGCCAGCCAGAGGCGGATCTGGGAAGAGAGCTTTCCAAGCAGAAAGGAAGTACATCAGAGGCCATGAGCTGGGAACGAGCTTGCTGGAGGAACAGACAGGAGGACCATCAGGCTGGAGCAAAGGGAACAAGGAGATGCAGCCAGGGAGGACACGAACCAGATCATGAAGGGCCTTTGGGCCTAGTGAGGAGTTTGGGTTTATCCCGGTTGTGAATGGAAGACACTGGGAGGTATTAAGCAGTGGAGCAGTGTGATCTGATTTATATCTTTAAAGCTCTCCCTGGCTGCTGAGTAGAGGGTAGACTGGAAGAGGGGAAGCAGGAGGCCAGTGGGGGTGCTCCTGGGGTGACAGATGCTGGTGCATGGATCAGAGTCTGAGCAGTGATGGGATTCTGGACGCATGTTGGAGGCAGAGCCAGCAGGATTTGCTGATGGACTAGATGTGGGGATGTGGGAAAGAGAGAGGAATCAGTGTGACTCCAGTAGCAGTATGAATGGTGGTGAGCTCCCCATGGCGGCAAACCCTGGGCGGGGAGAGCAAGGGGGCACAGAGTTCTATTTTGTTCCTGTTTAGTTTGAGAAGCTACCAGCCGTCCCAGGGAAGATGTCAAGTAGGCAGCTGGCGATATGGATCTGGAGCTCAGGGGTGAGGGCCCTGCTGATGTAACTATGGGCACCGTCTGATGACATTTAAAGCCCAGAGATGGATGAGATCACCCAGGGAGTGGGGGATATGTGTATAGCTGGAGGGGCTTTGTGACTTCCTCCTCCTGCTTTTCAGAGCTCAGCCACCCTGCCTGGCAGGGCTACCTGGCACCTGGAGCAGTTTTGCTGTGGGCACGGTCTGTCCTGGGTGCAGGAGTCCACCTCCATTCCTGAGTAGAGCTGAGCCTGGGCAAGGTGTCTCTGGCCTGGCAGGACTGGGACAGGGGACGGAGGGAGACCCTGCCTTTGGTCTTCACTTCCTTTCTTGTCATGGGGGCCTCTGAAGGGAGCTTGGAGCCATTCTTCCTGCCTTTTCCTTATAAGTCCCCCACCTGCCTGGGAGACAGGAGAAATGAGGGAGAGGAAAAAAGGTAGGAAATAGAGGAGAGAAGAAGAGACTGAGAGGGCAGAGGGAGGCGAGGCCCAAAAGGGGCTCCCCAGGGATCAGGAGGGGCCAGAAGACTTGGGGCGAGAGCTGGGGCAGGGCAGAGGTAATGAGAGAGGAAGGGGGAAAGAGAAGGACCGAGAGAGTTTTTAAAAAAGATGTTCCTTTCTCTCTTCTGTGCTGGTGGTGGTGACTAGTTCCCCAGAGCCCCTACTCTCCTGAGTAAAATGGTCTGAAGCTGTTTGACAAGGTCAGCTGCCCTGTGGACACCTGCTGTATATCAGGGACTTCATGTGTACTCTCTCCACTCTGCACCAACCCTGTGAGTCCGTGGCTTCACCTCCATTTCCCAGATGACAGACCTGATGCTTGGGGAGGTTTATAGTTTGCCCAGGGTCATGGGATTTTGGGGTGGTGGAAGCAGGATTCAAACCCGTGCCTGCCAGATGCCAAGTCCAGGCCCCTGTGCCATCCCACCTCACTTCTGGTTTATTTCCCTCAGCAGCTAAGCCCAGATTCCTGAAAAATTGTGAACTTTTGGAAAATACTGTTTCTAACGTGCTGTGAGGGGTTGGTCATAGGGGTTGCCCTAGTTTGAGAGATGAGCCCGGCTGTGCTCAGACAGGGAAATCTGCTGTCCGGGAGTCTCCCAGCCAGCTGCCGGCAGTCCTGCCACTGAAGTTTGCCTGTGCTCAGTTGTACCTCCTGCCCCTGAGCCCCCTCCCTGGTGGGGACAGCTGTTAGTAGCTGCAGTCACCTGCCTGGAACTGGCAAACAGATGGACCTGGGTTTCTGGGACAGTTCCAATTTCAAATGTTCTCTGGTTGTCAGACAAATGTACTGCTTTTTAGTTCAGAAATTATGGGGCACCTTATGCATGGCTATAAATCCTGTCAGCTCTAGTAGGTTCTGTCCCAGAAGGGAGTGGCCTCCAGAAAGGTAGCATGGTAATTTTTAAAGGCTGGCCAAGAATTGGGATTGGGGTCTGAGTGGATCCTGGAGGGGTCATATGTAGAAGAAGCTGTCCTCTGTCCAAAACTCCACGAGGCCCACAGGAGACATGCCAGACCTGGTGAGAAAGGTCCAGTGGGACAGGATTATTGTCCCCATTTTACAGGTGAGGAAAATAAAGCTCAGAGAAGTAATGCACTTGCCCAGGGTCCATGGCAAGTCAGGGATGAAGCTAGAACTTGGGCCCAGGTCTCCTAACTCTTGGTTTAATATTCTCTCCACTACCCTATTCTCAAGAAGAAAGACCTGTGATGTAGATCCAGCAGGCCCCTCACGTGCAGCGATCCAGGTTGTGTACTGCACAACTCCATTGGCACAGTGATGAGGTGAAAAGCACTCCAAGCTGTGCAGTGCAACAATTCTGAGTCCAGGGCAGCCTGGCCCTTCTCTGTCCATCCATTGAACTTCTGCCATCAGACCTCTCTGCCACTAATAGAAGATGGAGGAAAGGGGTGCACTTCCAGCCTCCAGAAACATGTGTGGTGGCTCCACCTCTGGTTTAGCTTCGTTCAGGCCACAATGGACCTCCACCCCACCCCACCCCTGCAAATCCAACAACCCTGCCCCCAGGTAGACAACCTTCTCTCATCTGCCCACTCAACACCATTTGCTTAGGGATGGGACTGGAAGGAGGGAGGTTTGGCGGCTTGGGTGAGAGGTGAGTTCAGAGGACAGCTACATTTAGGCCTGCTTCTTCCTCATTCTCTCTTGCCCTCCACCCACATCACTGGAATTAAAACGGTGGCACAAGCTCTTCTCGAATATGACGCATCTGTGCCTCGTGTGCATGCGGGGAGGATTTATAGGTGAGGCCCAGAGGACTGATCTTCACTCTGCTCCAGTGGCCA
Organism: Homo sapiens; assembly: GCF_000001405.40. Lineage (NCBI taxonomy): Eukaryota > Metazoa > Chordata > Mammalia > Primates > Hominidae > Homo > Homo sapiens. Next base: position 267,743 of record NW_003315944.2, on the reverse strand, counting down.
GGCTGCCACTGATTGATGCCCCGTGCACTGCACAGCCAGGACGGATCTTTTTATAGGCTCCGCCCGCCTTCCCATAACTCAGGAGGGAGGCTGTAAATCCTCAGGGGTGGCAGAACAATCCTCTATTAGGACAGCCACCTGGAGTTTCTGGCAGGTTCCTCTAGCCAGCTCCACATCTCATTGTCAAGGCAGCTGTGAGCTGAGGGGACATGCCCAGGATGGGGAGCCAGGACAGCTGGCCAGCTCAGAACTTCCAGGCGGGAAAGGGCCTATAAAGGTCACCTGGTGTGACAGATTTTCAGCCTGTGCCTTCCCTCTGCTGATGGAGAACTCACTATCTACCTGCCCAGTCCATCACTGGAGCGCTCCTCCACTTCAGTTCACAAGCCCTTTCTTCTCCCAAGCTGAAATCGGCCTTCCTAGGGTTTCCATCTTGTTTAGTCTCCTTGGAGCCAAATAGAAGGAGCCTAAAGATAGAGTAATGGTTATGTGCAACTTCTCTGCTAGCTTCAGAACCCAGCTCATTTAATTCTCACAAATCAGTTCTATAGAACAAAACATACTGTGGTGGCTGAATATTAAAGCAGGATGGAGCGAGCCCAGATGGGTGGACAGGAGCTCCAGATTCCCCCTCTGCCCTCTGTTTCCCAACATGGGTGTGGCGGTAACCGTAGACGTTGGGGGTTGCAGGCCTCAGCATCTGGGTCTCCACGTTCTCTTTGTTCTAGGCTTTGGTTGAATCTTGTGGCTTTCAAACTTCAGGGTATATGAGCAGTATGTTGCAGGATCGAATATACCTACATATACAAATCTCTGTGGGTGATTTAGGAGATTTGCCAGGGTGATTTTGACTATATGCAATGTTACCCTTTCGAGATGACTTTTGAACTTAACCTCCACCTGAGAAGTAATTCAATTAGATTTCTTTTTTTTCTCTCTCATTTCTTTTCCTCGAAAAAATTTTTTCTTACTTTTCCTTTCCTGTTGAGGTACAACTGATAAGCAGTAAAGTGCACAAGTGTTAAGTGTCCAGCTGGAGGAATCTTTACAGATAGATACACCTGTGTGGCCCCACCCAGACCAAGATACAGGACATTTTTATCATCCTAGAAGGCTACTTCGTGCCTTTGGCATCAATGCCCTCTCCCCTCCCAGAGGTAACTATTGTTTTTTTTGTTTTGTTTTGTTTTGTTTTTCTATCACCACAGATTACTTTTGCCTGTTCTTGAACTTCTCCCAATGGAATCATACAGTAAGCACTATTTTGTCTCTAGCATCTTGTGCTTGGCATAACGTCATTTTTGTTGTGGGAAGTTTCTTATTTTACAGTGCTGCATAATATTCCTAAAGCAACACAACACTACCCTATTTAAAGGCATTTAAATTGTGGGCCATTCTCTCTCTTTCTACAAGTCAAACTAATGTTTATATTGTGGTAAAATATACATCACATAAAATTTAACATTGGAGCCATTTTTAAGTGTGCAGTTTGGTGGCAGTAAGCACATTCACGTTGTTTCACGACCATCACTGCCATCGGGCCACTCTCTTTTTAAAAATTGCCTGATTGTCCCCAAGCTCCTCTTCTGGGCTCAGCCTGAACCTTACTTCTCAGGGTGGTTGGCCCTGATCCCATCTTTGCTCCCCAGCACTTGTTTGTCCCATATGGTGGCACTTATCACGCATGGTTCACTGTTTTTCATGTTGCTGGCAGCAAGTGTGTCATAGGATCAATTCCGTGGGCCTCAAATCATCTCAGAAAAATAGAAAATATTAGATTGGCTCCTCTGTAGTAGAGGTAAATATTGCTTTGTGGAGCTTTTGTTTCAGTTCCGCGTGTATATGCACACATGTATTTGTGGGTAGTGGGTCATGATGCAAAGCATACTTTTTATTGTGGGTTGTTTTCAAAGACTTGAAAGCCACTGGTGGTGTAACTGCTGGCTTGCTGCTCCGTGAGGGCACTTCTGTTTTCCCAGAACCATGGTTGGCACATAGTAGGTGCTCACTGAGTGCCTAGAAGCACAAGAATCAGTGTTTGTCCCTCTGAGTGCTCATCCTCACTTAAATCATATTCATTAAGAAGTTGGTGGTGGGTGGGTGCAGTGGCTCATGACTGTAATCCCCCAGCACTTTGGGAGGCCAAGGAGGGCAGATTGCCTGAGCTCAGGAGTTTGAGACCAGCCTGGACAACATGGTGAAACCCTGTCTCCACAAAAAACAAACAAACAAAAATTTAGCCAGGCATGGTGGTACACGCCTGTAGTCCCAGCCACTTAAGGGGCTGAGGTGGGAGGATCTCTTGAACCTGGGAGGTTGAGGCTGCAGTGAGCTGAGATCACACCACTGCACTCCAGCCTGGGTGATAGAGCAAGATCCTGTCTAAAAAAAAAGTGGAGATTATGTGACCAGCTTCTCAAGTGAACACATCCTTCTGCTGGTTTCCTGCCACAGGGTACTCCTGAGCTTCTTTCTTCACCCGTGTGGCTGCCTGTCTTTGCTGTGCTGTTGATCCCTTGGATGAGAAGCATAGCCCCTTACATTCATCGCTATTATGTTTCACCTCCTCCCACTCAGTACATTGCTCCGGCCTGTCAAGATTTTCTGAGATCCTCATCTGATCCCATCTGACTTCACGTATTCAAGGATCTTGTGAGCTTCTACTTTAGGTGTTTGTCCCAGTCTTTGAGAAAAAGTTGAAGAACCTAGGGCTGAGGGCTAAGGCTGTGACCTCATGTCACGAGCCACGGGCCTGCCTCCAGGGTGGCTTTGCTGTCCTCGTGGGCACACCTAGACTTCTCTTCCCTGCACCTGGGCACTCCTCCCCTGATCCCTGCATGGCTTCTCCCTCACCTACTTAGGCTCAGATTTCAGCTTCTCAGCAAGGTCCTCCAGGCCACTCTGTTTAAGCTGCCATCCTGCTTCTAGCTCTGGCATACTGGATTCCCTTCCCAGCTTTATTTTTCACCTTAGCACTTATCACCACATAACAGATACATCATTTACTTATTTATGTTCTTAATCACCTCTTCCTCCCTAGTAGAATAGAGCAGAAGGGCAGGAATAAATTCCTAGGGCAAGGGTGTGTGTGTGTGTGTGTGTGTGTGTGTGTGTGTGTGTGTGTCCCCTTAGGGCCTAGAGCAGTGCCTGGCATATAGTAGGCACTCAATAAATGCTTATTGAATGCATGAATGAATGACATTAGAAATTATATTCTACCTTACCCTCATGGATGTGATATCAGCACAGAGTTCAGCTGCAAGTCAGGAAAAGTAAAACCCACCAACTAGAGTATTTTAAACCAATGGGAGTATTTATTTCTCACATGGCAAGATATCTGGAGGTTGAGTGTCTGATGCTGGTGAAGTGGTTCCACGGTGTCACTGGGGAACTAGGCCTTTTATCTCCTTTGACTCTCCTGTTCTTTGCCTGTTGGCTTGTTACCTCATGATCACAAGGTGGCTGCTGCACCCTTAGGTATCACATCCACGTTCTAGGCAGAAAGCAGTGAGAGAGAGAGAGAGAGAGAGAGAGAGAGAGAGAGAGGGCTTTTCCTTGGGAGGCTTTGTCCTTTTGTTTAGGAAACAAAGCCCTTTCTAGCCTACTTCTCCCTCCCAGAATAGGAACATGTGCCCATCCTTACACCATGGCTACCCAAGGAGGATGAGCTTTCCAATCTTAACTCAGCCTTTGGGGCTGGTGCTGGCTCCTGGGGTGAAAGGGTCTCCATCTATCACATGGACAAATTGGAGTTCCATTAGCAAAGAAAAATGGGGAGAGGGAGCGACCACATCATAAGAGATATCAAAACCTTTCAGAAGATCTCTTATGCTGTTTCCTGCCTTTTCCTGATCTAGAAGAATCATGGTTACTCCAACTCACCTTGTCCACAGAGAGCTCATGTGGGTTGTGGTGACCGCTGCACCCTCTTCTAGGGCCTCACTGGTCTCCCTCAATTAACCCTTCGAGAATCCAGCCCAGGTGTGAGGTCCTGGCCATCCTTCCCACCAGGGCTCTCTCCCAGCTCCTCAGCATCCCCCTTCCCCAAAAGGTCCCCAGAAGGTACCACTGCACCAAGATCATGTCTCCAGGCCCCAGGTCTATCCTCATGGTCTGAAGTAAGTGCCATCGTGGCCCCTCTAGCACCAATGCTCATGACTGAATCTTGCCTTTCCCATCCTCCCACACGCTGTAGGTCACTGAGTGTCCTTCTGTGGCTGGGAATGGTGGTCTGGGTTATGCAGAGGGTGTGCCTAGAGTGACCACTATTGTGGGCCAAGTCAGGGTGCTGAAAAGCCTCAAAGGATTTCCTCTCCAATGTATAAAACGTTGGATTCCAAGCATCTTAAACAGCCCTAGACCCCAGGACTAGGAATGGGTCATTCATTTCTGGAGGTTCTTGGTCTTTCCCTGACCTCTGTGGCTCCTGGGTACAGGTCTGCAGTAGAGGAGGGGAAGGAAAATATTTCAAGATGGGCACAGTGGGTGCCACCACAGCCAGACGCTGGCCATCAAGTGGAAGACAAGGCCCTCTGGGCATTGTGTGAGTTCTACTACATGGACTTCAAGCAAATTTCTTAAACTCCCTGAGCCTCAGTTTTCTCATCTAGAAAGTGGAGGCAGCAATAACTGTGAGACAATTGTTTGAAATCAAATGAGATCATGGTCGTGAAAACATCCTGTGAACCTGACAGACTTAGAATCATTATTACTCAAGCTAAGTTCAGGAACGTGGAAGGTCTAGAGGAAGATCAACTCTCAAAGCAAAAATTAGAACCTCATTGAGACATAGGTGTAAACAACAGCTTAAAATGTTGTCCCTTTAAGAGTAAGGACATTTTAAAAGAGGTGCAATTTCAGCTCGTCTAAAGACACAGAGTTTAGAAGCTACTGCATGGAGGACTTTGAGATATTAAGCGGAGACTGGATGCTGGTTGTCTGGCCTGTTTTAAAATGTGGGTTCATGTGGATGCTATGGAAACAGGCCTTGGAAGGGGGAGGCTTCAGGTACCCAAAGGTGAAGGAGATATTTGAGAGCCGGTGATTTTTCTGCTGTTTACCATGCTGGGACTGTTGAAGCCTATGCTTCCCTAGCCTGGCTACTCATTAGGATTCTGGAGAAGCTTTCAAAAATCCTGCTTCCCAGGCCCCACGCTTGGAGATTCCCATCAGTGGGGCTGAGTGGGGGCCCAGGAACCCTGGATCCTCCATGCAACCCCAGATGATTCTGATGTGCAGCCAGGTTTGGGGCCCCGGAGGGGTGCACAGGGCTGTCTGTGCCTAAGGCAAGCAGGCATTTCTGGGACCTGGCACCACCAGCTCTGTTCCCAGCCCAAGGGGCAGAGCAGGCAGCCTCTGAGGAAGTTGGGCTGAGGCTGAGTCCACACGGTTCCATCTGATGGGAAGAGGGGGTTGTGAGCTGGTGAAGCCTTCCTTTTGAATAGGAGAATTTTTAAATGGTTGACTACTGTTAAACCAAATTGCATTAGCTTTCCACACGAAGCTCCTGACTGTCCACTCTGCACACAGGAAGAGGAATTCCTGTGGGTGATGCCAGCTCAGGATTTGCAGGTGTCCTCAGCAGTGCTTCTGGCTAGAGGGGTGAAAATGATTTTAAACATTTAGTCCCTTTTCCAGCAATTTTTTTTTATTATCTAAAATGAATCTGGGAATCTGCAGCCACATACATTTTCAGCCCATTTGCAAGTCATTCACGCAAGTGAACATTTCATCCGACAAATGGGAAAAGCTATGTCTCACCCGGAGAACAAAACATTTCAAGGGGCAACAGCGGGAGGTACATTCATGGATTAATTTAAAATAAAATCCTGTGCCTGTGTTCCTATTACCACCTCAGAGGTTGGCACGTATATTCAACCTTACACCCCTCTTTCATTTAAAATTAAAAAAAATACTTTGCAACAAAACTTTAACCTTCCCTTTAGAAATCAGCCCAAAAGGTCAGAGCTGTGCTCCTGTAGATTTCCTGGGCTCAGCTGGGAACTGATTAAAGCTGCTGGCTTTGGCTTGTCAGCTTTGTCATAGACAACTATATACACTCTTTGTTATTCCCTTTGCTTCATATTATAAATATATTTATCTTCCTCTGTCAGGCGTCTGCAGGACAGGTGCTAGGGGGCTGGGAGTCCTGCTTAAATGCTTCTAACAATGTCCCCTCTTAATGACATTAGTGCAGGAGAAAGGGACGAAGATGGCAGGAGATTCTGGACCCAGGGCTGCTGTGGGGCTAAAGAGAATACCTGGCACAAAGCCTTGTACATAGTAGGTGCCCTTCTCTCCACCCCCAGATTTGATTCCTGTGTGATCAGCAATGGGATTGTTGTGATCCAGGGGTGGGATCTTGTAGCTGCCGTGACATGGGGTGTGTGGGATGATGGCAGGTCAGGACCTTGCACTCCCTTGCTCACTTTGACTAATTAGAACAGAGCTGATTTGTTTTCTTATCAAAGGATGAATAGCACCCTGCTAGCTGTGATCAGGAAAGCAGAGCATGGGTGGAATGGCTCCCTTGGGAGTGAGGAGGGAGGCTGGCTACGTTTGCCCGTGGAGATGTCACTAGACATGGCCTAGGTACTGTTGTCCGTGTGGGGTTGTCAATACCACATATGTTCTGATCCAGGAGCTGTTAGCTGCTGGCACGTCTCTGGTCCCATTTATTCTCTAAAACCTGTAAGGCGTTGGTCCCATTTCCACAGCTGGAGAGTCATAAGCCTCAAGGGTTTAGGAGGAGTGGTGGTCTGGTTGAGTCCGGGCTTCCCCACAAAGCATGGTCAGTGAAGAAGAGAGAGCTTTGGTGGGTGGCTGCTCATATTGGAGGCACCTGACTCAGGGTTCCAAGGCCGGTGGGAAGGGACAGGTTGGGGTTTAGGGGGTTCTGCCTGGCTCTGTGACCTGGGGAAGTTCATTTCCTCTTGCGTTGCTCTGTTCTCTCAGTACAGAGGAAATTGGACTGTGATGATAAAGTCCTCTCATCTTAGACACCACCCAGAGGTGGTATAGGTCCACCCAGAGATGGTGCAGCTGTGAGTTCACCAGACTAGGGAGGACTTGAATTGCCTGCTTTAGTGTCTAGCCCTGGTTAACGAAGGCAGAAGGAACTGGAAGGGGGCACGGACAGGGTGCACAGCCACAGAGGAAAGAAGGCTCCAAACCAAGGGGCTGGCAGGAGTCTTGACTCAGGGAGCAGCATCTTCTCCCTCCTCTCGGGGGCCGGGCTCTGCCGTGTCCTGACACAGGGAGTGGTGGCCGAGCACAGGGCCACCACTGGATCCCCAGCTGTGGCTGTCTTTAAGAACAGGCCTGGGACGTGCAAGGTGAGGCTGCCTGGAGTGGTCAAGTGGGACCGATGACCCACCAGGTGCTGGTGGCTTGAATTTTGAAATTTGGACCTCTCTGTGGAGGCCATGCTGGTGAGAAGGGGGACTGATGTTTAATCATGAACATTCCATGGAGTACAGTAGAACCAAGGTGTGGAAAGGTGGTGGGAGCTATCAGAACCAGCCAGGGGTAGGGGAGATCCCAGCAGTGCAGGTGTCTGGGCCATGCCTGGACATTCACTTCCAGGCTGCTGTGAGAGGACCCATGTGCTGGGCAGGAAGTTGGTTCGGGGGCCTCTGACCCTCCTTCCAACCTGGAGACTTTGGGACTCCAGGCCACATTGGCTGAGGGGATCAGATGTGTCCCCAAGTGCAGGTGTGGCCATCGAGACCCTTTGATTCATCCATACTTCCTTCCCTGAAGACCAACTCAGCAGCTTCCCCACAGGGTCCCAGATGGGAAGCAGCAAATCCCAGGCTGATGGGTCGGTGGGTCTGTGCCACTTGAGGACCATCACCCGCTCCCACCACATGCCTGGAAAAGGGGTAAGGGTGGAAACAAGACCCATGAGTAAGTGATTACTCTAATCCAGGTGATAGCTGGCGTGGCCAGGAGCGGGCTGCAGCAGTGGAGTGGGGAAGAAGAACACAGACTTGGGCTCCACCTTCAAGGTTGAGCTGACAGAATTTCCTGAGGGTTGGGATGAGGGAGGTGAGATAAAGAGAAAAATCAAGGCTAAGTTTCTTGGCCCAAGTCACTGAAATTGGAGAGGTTGAAAGAGGGACAGGCTTATGGGGGAGATCAGGTTTGGGTCATGTTAAATCGAGGTTTCTATTAGACTTCCACATGGAGAGATTGAGTAGGACGCTGGAAACATGAGTCTGGAGCTCTGGACAAAGCCCAACCTGAATGATAAGTTTGGGAGTGGTCCCTGTATAATAGAAGCTATTTAAGGCCGGGAGACTGGAGGAAGTCAGCAAGGGAGTGCCTACCTGAGCCCTTCACCTCTGTGTGCACCCCATCCTAAATTTGGGGTGTGTTTTCTTCCCAGGCTCAGAGAACCCGGTCTCTTAGGGTTCACCCGGCCTCTTTCCTGCCCCACTCTCCCCGCCCTCACTCTGAGGCAAATTCTACAGCCGAGGGCTCTCCCTCCTGTCTTGCCTCTGAGCCCTTACCCCATAGCGGGGGGTGGGGGGCATCACCATGTGTGTCTCCCAACCCACCTGATTACTGCACAGGGGGTGACCTTGCAACACTGAGGCACAGAGCCAGGACAGCCAGAACTGACCAGGAAGTCAGGGGCCAGGGTCTCATTCAGGACCTGCTCATAAATCACACAGTGACCTTGAGCAGCCTCAGTTTCCACATTTGTCAACTGAAGACTTGGCCAACAGCATCTGAATATGATCCCTTCCAACTCTGACATCCTGACTCTGTGATTCTAATTTGGCCTTCAGTTTCCCCTGAAGGGAATCTTGTTGGCTCTCAGAGAGCTTGATGGTTCCTTGGGGAAAACCTGCTAGAGAAACCAGGGTAGGAAGGCGCATGTGTGAAGGTTGTGCAAATATTGAAACACTTGAATATTGGTTGGAACATAGCTGCCTCCCTGCCACCTGGGCCCTTCCCTTCCCCCACTGAGACCCCACCAAGGTTCATCAACTGAAAAGGTTACCTCCTGGCCCAACAGGGGTGGCTGGTTGGTTCCTTTGCCCCCCTAGTTGTTAAAGATTTTGACTACCACCCAGGTGTGTGCGTCTTTCTCTGGCAGGTCTCCAACAGACAGACGGCATTTTAGAAGTGTCTCTGTCTTGCACGTCCCTCCAGCACTTTGCCTTTCATTCTAGGAAAATAAATACAATCCCAGTAAATAAAAGTTAATAACTGCATCTTTATGATGGTGTGTTGAAGGCATCTAATGTTGGAATCACTGTTAAATCCCTGGATTATTTATAACCCAGATGTTGACAGATGCTGGATTGGGTATTTGAGCCCCCGGGTTTTTCCTTCCCTCTCTGCTCCGAAGAGCCCATGTGCTGATTAATTTCGCAGCCCCTTGGCTCTTGCGGGGCAAGTACTCTTTGCTGCAGATCCCAGAAGAGATGGCTGAGAGCTGGGCCGACTTCAGTACAGCAGAATGGAGTGTGGGCGAGCGCGAGGTTGGGGAGGGAGAATGGAGTGAAGCAACAGTTCAGGTGTTAAACTACTGATGTGGAAAATTGCTCTGACAGTTATGATGTTGTTGTTTCGGGTAGCAAGGGTTACACTATCATTTACTCCAGCCACACCTGCTGGCACTGCTGGGCTGCCTGTCTCACGCAAAGCTGCTCATTGGTGGGTGTCAGAGAAGGGTTTTTTTTGTTTGTTTTTGCCTGTCTTTGGAGAAGCAGACCACTGAGGGGCTAGTGGCAGCCCAGCTGCAAGGGTGGCCATGCTCGGGGAGCTGTGCAGTGCCCCCCTGCAGCTGTTGATACCCGTCACCAGGGCCCAGATTGGAACCCAGAGCCAGCCAGTGGGGGGATGAGGGGAGCTGCATTTGGGGAGGGCCCACTGTTGCCCAGGTGCTTAATATGCACGAGCCCGTGTGACCCTGTCTGCCTCCCTGCCAGGTAAGATGACTGAGGCTCAGAGAAGCAGCAGAGTGCCCGGGGAGTAGAGTGGGAAGACAGACCCAAAGCTGGACCCAGGTTCCTGATTCTAAAGCCACAGACCCTATCACTTGCCATGCTCTGGGTGCCTCCTGCTAAGAAGTGACTTCTCTGTGTCTGGGCGCACCTGGGTGTCAGGTATGAGGGCCAAAGGGAGCAGGAAGTGCTTCTTTGGATCACATCATGAGTCAGATCTGCTTTCTTTCTTTTCTTTCTTTTTCTTTTTCTTTTTTGAGATGGAGTCTCGCTCTGTTGCCCAGGTTGGAGTGCAGTGGCATGATCTCGGCTCACTGCAACCTCTGCCTCCCTGGTTCAAGCGATTCTCCTCTCTCAGCCTCCCGAGTAGCTGGGACTATAGGTGCCCACCACCATGCCCGGCTAATTTTTGTATTTTTAGTAGAGACGAGACTTCACCATGTTGGCCAGGATGGTCTTGATCTCCTGACCTCGTGATCCTCTCACCTCGGCCTCCCAAAGTGCTGGGATTACAGGTGTGAGCCACCGCGCCTGGCCCAGAACTGCTTTCTTTCATGGGCGTTGGGTAAGCCATGGAGAGCTTGCCTTGAGATGGGACCAGCCCATCCACTAAAGAGCTTTTGTTGATCACCTGTTTGGCTCCAAGTGAGCTCTGTTAGTGCTGTGGGGAGTGTGGGAGCCACAGAAACCAGGGCCCTTTGTGAGAAGTTTAGAGACTGGGTGGGAAGCAAAAAGGACTGAGTGTGGAAGGATGGTGTGTCCATTAAAGGCTCTCCATTGGGGGACAGAAGGTGGGGCTGGAGGTGTTGGAGCAGGGTCCTGGAGGAGAAGGGAAGGAGCGGAGAGCAGGGGAGAGGGCTGTCAAGGCGGGACCGGCATGGCAGTACACACAAGGCCCAGGAGGGCTGCATGTGAGCAAGCGGTGGCTTCGGCGGGGAGGGGCAGCCTCCTTCAGCCTGGATACCCTCCCATGCCCGGTCCTGGGGCCATGTCCTGGGCTCTGGGTCACCACTGCCAATTGGGCAGGCTGGCCTCAGGAAGCGTGCTGGCCACCCACTGCCATCCGGCCATGTGCATCCACAGGCCACAGTGGGAGGACAGCAGGGGGAGAGTCTCATGTGCCCCTCGCTCTGCATTCTCCTGTCAAGGAAGGGGAGGTTTCAGACCAGTGCTTCTCTCCACAGAGATCTTATCCACATAATGGTCCAGAGAGAAGCATGGTCACATCCCCCACTGGGCCAAGGGATGAAGGTTTCAGGGGACAAACCCTGTCCTACCCACAGGACCCCTGGCAAGGCCTTTCAGATATCAGGGGTCAGATATCAAGGGTCAGCCTATGCTTCTGGATAAGCGAGTTGCAGAATAATTTCTGTTTATCTGCCTAGAAGGTGATGCTGAGAGGTGACTTACACCGCAAAGTCCCGAATCAGTGAGAGGAAGGGTGAGGAGGAGGGGGGAGTCTGGGATCCATGCCCAGTTCCTTCATGAGCTGCTCATACCCTTTATCTTTGTCTCTGAAAACCAGGGACCCTCTTTCTTGCCCTTCCTACCCTCTGAGGGCACTAGGGATGCATTGAGGGAAAGGTGAGACTTGAGACCAAGGTGGGTTCATATTCATAAGTGGGGACACCGAGACACTACCTCTCCATCCCTGGTGACAGGCCCATGTTTCCTGGAGAAGCTGGCAGTGCCCATGAGGGGCTGAGAGCTGGAAGAGCAGGTGGGCAAGGTGGTGCTAGAGCTCCTGGAATGAAAACCCAGGAAGTAGGAGGAGAGGCGCCGAGGCTGGGGCCTTGGAACCTGGAGCTGGGCAGGTGGGAGGGGTGAAGGGCGGTGCTGCTGCATCTGCCTGCACACCCTGCCCCCCGCCCCATGGCAGGCCATTGTGCCACTCAATGCCTATGATTGCTTTCAGGCTGGGAGCCAGGCACTGATGAAGAGCATCTGGGCAGCAGCCGGGTGGGGAGGGAGCCAGCCCTGCTCCCCTTCTTATCCTACCCTCCCAGGGTCAGCGGTCTGTCTTGCTGCGAACGGAGCTGGGAGCTTGTTTCTGGCTCCCAGGAAGAAGGGGGAAGTGGGTCTGGGGCTCCCTGGGGATGACCCTCCCACAGCTACTGGGAGCTCTTGTCTGCTGGAAACAAGAGTCAACCAGAGCTAATGACCTGTTCTTCCTGGGAGAAGTCTTTGCTCTAGGAAGCAGGAAGGGAAACTGAGGACTCCTTAGAAGATCAGGAGACTGGGATTTCTCCTATCATTTCAGAATCTAGGGATATCAGCCTGGAAGGAGATGTAGGGATTGTCTGGTGTGGTGAGCTTCCTTGACAGATTAAGAAACCCAGGCCCAGAGATGGGGAGGGATCTGTCCGTGACTGGTGGCAGAGTGGAACTTGGAGCCAGTGTCCCAACCCCACACTCAGGGTTCTCTCCCTCATCCCCACCTTCCCTTGGGTGCACTGTCTAAATTCCCCCCGAGGTGGCTCAGCCCCACGTGGCTCAGGGAGAAGGCAGGGATCGTTTGTGTGTGCCGAGGAAGAAGGTTGTGTTGGTCCTCTCTTTGCTCTGTCCTCCCTTCTGGTCTAGGGAGGAGTCTGAGGGGCAGGAGACATTTCTGGGGACTTTGGTCAGGGCTTTGTGGCTTTCCGCATGCAGCCTGTGTTTTAGGGTTAGGGTTAGGGGGTGTCTCAGCTGGTCAGGACACTCCTCTCCTACTCAGGGAATTCCAAGTAGTTCAAAGGTGGGAGGTGGGACACTCCTGAAATATTCTGAATGCATTTAGAGGCAAAAAGGGGACCTCCCCAGCCCTTGTCCCTTGACATTCCTTCCTTGCCCCTTGAATCCTTCTCACCTTCTAGAGAGCTCAGCAGGGTGATCCTGGTGGCAAGGGGATGGGATGATTGTCTGAGACCTGAGTTTTCACCCTTAGTCACTGACAAGGGGTGTGGCCTTGGAAAATTCTTTCCTCTCTCTCTCTCTCTCTCTCTCTCTCTCTCTCTCTCTCTCTCTCTCGACAGGGCATTGCTCTATTGCCCAGGCTGGAGTGCAGTGGTGTGATCTTTCCTCTCTTTAGACCTCAATTTCCCCATTTGAAAAAAGAGGTGGTTGGACTAGATAATGATTCAAAGACTGTTCTTGCCCTCATATGCTAAAATTCTAACAGATTCCCAGGTGAACCCCTTCCTTTCTTCCTTCCTTCCTTCCTTCCTTCCTTCCTTCCACTAATAAGTCTTTCTAACATGCCTACTATGTGTAAGTCACCCTTTCCTTAAGGGATAGGCCTGCTTGCCCATGGACAGGGAGGGTGGGCTTACTGCAGTTAATGTCATCACAATTGGGGGAAAAAGCCCCACTCCCAGGCTCTGCGACTCCTCAAAGAATATTAATTACTCTCCAAGGAAGTCTTCATTCTGAGTAGTTCCCTTTCTCCGGTAATTAATATTACATGTCATTAACAGTCAGGGAACATTGTATGATCAAAGACAGCATAATTCCTAGCAAGATTCTGAGGAATAGCACAATATTTGTTAATTGTGTTATTGATTCTTATGGTCTGGAATGCCCTAATTATTCCTGATCCCAACTGGACCCCACCATGCCCGCCAGGCTGGCTTTGAACTGCCGTTCTCCCCTGGGTGGCCTGGCTCCCTGCTCGGGGGCTGGAGGGACCACAGCTTTCAAAGGGATCAGAGAAGCTTTGTCTCCCCAGAGCCACATGAAAGGGGGAGCCGGCTGGGATGTGGGGGCTGCTTCTCCCAGGCTCCCGCCACAGCTCTGACTCAGTCAAAGAGTGAAATGTAGCATCTCGCTTTAATTAGCCAGATGCTGTTAACGGACAGCTCGAGGGGTCCAGCAGGCACTGCTTCCAGGGAGCAATGGGATGGGCGTTCTTCTAGGCCCAAGGCCACTTGCTGCTTCTGAAGAGCCCAGTGCTGAGTGATGCTCCAGTGAGGTCTGGTGGGGCTGGGAAGCCCTGGTGTGGCCATCATCAGGAGTGTCTCAGGTGAACCTCCCCACTGGGCTCTAAAACTGCTAAGTGGATGGTGTATTTCTATCAGTGGCATAATTATTAAATGATGCTTGTTTCTTAATCGGCTGTATTTATGAGTGGGCCAGGCTCCCTCCCTCTTTTTGTTGAATCCTGCAATTAACCTTTGTAACTGCATGACAGTCAGCTTCTCACTCAGTACATTTTGTCTGAACCCCAGTGGGTTGTATTCTGCGTGATGCTGATGGAGATGGGGGAAGAGTGAGGTCTGTCCAGCTCAGAGCTCAGGAAGGTAACTGCTGGGGAGGTGGAGGGGGGTGTGACAGTGGAAAGATAGGCTGAAGAGATCCATGGACACCACCACCAATAATAGTTAGAAATACCTCTTCCCCAGGCTAGGCTGATTACCTATATTGATTCATTCAGTTCTCATAAGAACCCCTTGAAGTAGGTTCTGTTAACATTCCCACTTTGCAGGTGGAAACCAAGGGTTGGAGAGATCAAGTGACGGTCAAGGCCACAAGGAAGGCAGAATCAGAAACCAAGCCCATCTAGACTGTCTGGGGTTATGACTCGCCATGCCACAGAGGACTTTTCCTCTATGTGGCTTTTGGAACGCATCTGGAGAGTTTATGATTCTTCCAGTAGAGGCTCCCTGTCACTAGATCTCCAGGGCGCCTGGGCCTGTGGCCGTGGTTGTGCAGGAAAGGAAGATGAGGGGCCAGAAAGGATCATTGAGTGGGAGCCAGGGGCAAAGGGCGAGCAGGAGGCTGGAGGTGCTCCTGCCGGGCGCAGACCCTTGACTCCATCCCGTCCTGGGTGTCTGCCCTGCCTCCTCTTGTCTGGTCTTTTCAGCATCTCCTTACAGCTCTGGAGACTGAGGCCCCAAATGGTGAGGTGGTTGGCTTGTTAAAAGTCCTCTTACTATTCAATGGCAGAGCCATGTCCAGGAATCAGCCATTTGGGGGACCCTAGGGGAGTGAAGTGGTGGGACAGACGGTTCCTGCCTTAAGCAGCCTCTGCTCTAACAGGAACATCAGACCTCAGAACTCCAGTGGGAAGGGAAGACGACCAGGGACCCCGCACCAGACCTACCCACTCCCTCTCCACCCTCAACCCTGTGCTTGTCAACAGCTGGGCCAGGACAGATGTGGAGAGACTGCCCAGGCTGATAGAGAGGGGGCACTGGCTGGGCAGGCAAGAGGTGGGCAAGAACACAGTGACCAAAGAGCCTGTGCAACCCAATTGCTACTCAGCCTCTGAGGTGGATGTGGGGTTGGCTGGAGTGTCAGGTCATTTGACCACAGAGGGACCTGGGGCCCCAGGCCCACTGTGGCAACCTCCTGTCGTTCTTCCTGCCCCAGCCCCATCCTGTCTGATCCCTCTTTCCTCATCTCAGCCAGTGGGAGAGTGCTGACTTTTCTTTCTCCTAACTGCTTTTGATATTCTGGGGCCATTGCCAAAGGAGCCTGGGAAGGGGCACTGGCCAGAGAACAGGGCAGATAAGACCTGAAGGTCTCTGCGTAAATAATCTCACCTAAGTGGGATTGTCTCAAGCTCATTTTTCAGTTCAATCTTTTAAATGTTTTTTTTTCCTAGTTTGCCTCTCTCCTTTCTTTTCCCTACATCACATCATTACCCCCTGCCCACTCAGGGAGTCCCTGCCAACATTTTGCCATGTATCCTTTGTATCATATAACTAAGAGCCATATACAGACACACACATGCACGCGTGTACACATTTATAGGCAATTATTGGCTTCGTAAATACAGGACTGTACTAGATGGCTTCGGCCTTTTCCCCCTCTCCGGTACCTCCTGGCAGTCCCTCCAAGTCAGCCAATATTGCTCCCATGCATTCTTCCTATGCATGGCTCCCATGCATGGCTCCAAATCGTCCATGGTGTGAATGTCCATCATTAAAACATCATTCCCCTATTAATGAGCATTCACTTTTTTCCACTTAAAAATTATTTTTAATCAGAAAAGGACCTTTTGAAAACACAACTCTGGCCAGATTGGTCCCTTGCTTAAAACCTTTGAATGGCTGCCCATTTATCTCAGAACAGTCCTGGCTCACAAGGTGTGTTGTGTTCTGGGGCTGAGCCCCCCTCCAGCTCAGAAGGCACCACCTGCTTCCTCAAACTCTGTTCCTAGAGTTCCTAGGTGAGAAAGAGCCACTTCTGCTGCCTCGGTGCACCTGCTCTTTCTCACCTCCAGGCCTTGGCACCCACTCTGCCCGGAGCACTGTTGCCCTACCTGGTTAGCACATCTGCCTCCTTCAGGTCTCAGCATGTGTGCCCCTTCCTCTGGCCAGTGTTCCCTCCCAGCAACCGTGGCAATGGCCTTGAAGTCTAGGTCTCCAAAGGGAGGAGACCAAACCACAGGGTCTGTGGTTTTCTGGTAATGTTATTCTCTTTCCCGTTAGAATATGACTTGACGTGTTACATGTGCAGGGCCTTGCCTGACGCCTGGCACTTAGTAGGTACTTCTGTCTTGAGTGAATGACTGGATGAAGGGCATGGCTTTACTCCCTGGGAGGAGGCTGGCAAGGGCCCTGGGCTGCGCAACCATGTAAGGTGCCATTTGGGGAGGGGTCATGAGTCAGAATTTAGGAGGAGGGACTAGGGTGGGAGCCAGATTGATATGGACTGGGCTTCTGTGGGAGGTGGTGGTTTAGGGACAACAACAGTTAGACTGGGGCTTTGGAGCATGTGACATGCCTGAGGCTCACTTTTGGGTGTCAGTGGCAGCAGAAGAGACTCAGGAGACAATCCAGGGACCTAGCGGCTACAATTGGGCTACCGTTTATCCCCAATTCCCAGTGAGGAATGGTGTCCACATTATGCCTGCCTTGGAGAGAATGGCTTCAGGAGTGGTACTGAGTGAGCAAGTGGGGGCATTATGGGAACCTGTAGGAAGCAGTAAGATAAAACAAAGGCAGAGGAGATGGGCAAAGAGCAGGTACAAGGGTGAGGCAATAAGACACCCCCCTGAGAAGGTGCCTACCTTCACCAACAATGCAGACAATGCAGGACCCAGGCCGAGGACCCCGTTTTGTCCCTCTGCCCCCACTGCCTTCCAGCTACTCGGCGTGTGCCTCCGTGGACTGATGCCAGCGCACAGGCCGCTGTCCACAGTGAGATCGGGACAGAATTGAGAGAGAGTCCTTAGACACTTCATGACAACTTGACACGGATCCAACATCCAAGCCTGTGCTCAGCGGGGTCCCCACACTGATCAGGATAGAGGCCTCTGTGGGAGGTGTCGGCGTGCGTGGTGAGTCACACGTGGCAGAGCCACGGGAAGGCATGCACCAATCCGTGTCTTATTGGGAATGAAAAACAACTCGTTCCAGATGATGAGGCCATCCCATCCAAACGGTGGCCTTTGGTTTATCTCCATCTCTCCTGGGAACTTCAGTTAGACATCTGTAGGAATTAAAAGTTGTAGTCTGCTGACACTGTTGTCTAGAAGAAATGTAGACTCTTCCTGTGAGGTCTCGGGAGAGAGAGTCCCTTGCAGCCGGGAGAGGGGAGGCAAACCATGGCATCTAGAACAGCCTTCCCGCTGGAGGTGAATGAGGATAATTCCCTGAACATGTATCATTTAGTATACATTTCAAAGCACTTTCGCTTGCGTTATCTTTTTGATCTTTACAACCACCCTAGAGGTAGATCAGAGCAGGAATTATCATCCTCACTTTGTAGAACGGGCAGTGAAGGATCAGAGAAGTTAAGTCAATTTCCCAAAATCACCCAGCAAATTAAAAACCCAAAAAGGATATGACACAACACCCAGGGGCTTTTCTGGGTGGCTGTGAAGAGAGGTTTAAGGAAACTGAAGGAAGCAGCAGTGTAAACAGTAGCTTCTGTTTACTGTGCGCCCAACGGTAATAGCAGCTACCTTTGGTGAGTTTTTACAATGTTCCAGATACCGTGTGTAATTATCTCATTTAATTTTCACAATGGATACAATTGCTATCTCCATTTGCAGGTGAGGAAACAGATCCCCCGCAAGATTAAGTCATTTGTCCGGAGTCACTCAGCTAGTAATTAGCAGAGCTGGTTTGTGGTTCAGACCAGCTCTGACTCCAGAGCACATTTCCTTAACCACAACATGGAGCCAGATGCCTCCCTCACAGGGTCCTGCCAAGGACCCAGCAAAGTGTGTGTGCTCATCCCCATCTCCGTTATTTGAGCCTTGCCTTTCTGGCACATATTGTAGCCTCTCACAGCCACAAGCTTCGGCCCAGCCCCCTACCCTTCCAGATATGCAGGTGTGAGGCTGGGGATGGCACCCAGGTCCTAGTCTATGCACCTTCCCTCTCTCTCCCTGTAGTAAGAACTCCAAAGCCAAATGCATCCAGTTCAGCACCTGGCTATAGCTAATTATTAATGTCCGAGCTGCTGGCAGCTCCTCGTTATGTCATGTCTCACAGAAGATTTATGGCCACTTTGTAAGTGGCTTTGAAATGAGACAAAACCCAATATTGAATTTTTTTTTTTTACCTCCTTTTCCCTTTGGGTTTTAGGGCATATGATATCAGCTTCCTCCCCATTAGCATATTTCTAATGAGTGCTTATTAAGGTGAATTTCATTGCAGCTCACAGAGTTATCATTAGAAGAGGGAGAGGGAGGGAGAACAGACACCATCAGATGTGGAGACCTCGAGGCTCTGGGGCTTGGGCCTGCTCTCAGCTCAGGCCTCTGCTAAGTGAGTTCTGCTCTCCTATCCTTGCAGGAGGGTCTGGCTGCTTTTCACTGTGGGACTGGAGAGAAGGACTTGGGCAGGTATTCTACAGCAGGGCTGTCCGGGAATTCTGGATCGGCGCCTGCTCTGCCATCACTCCTCTTTGAGCCTCATTCCCCTAATCTGTATAATGGGGCTTACAGTGGATAAGCTCTATGGGGAGAAACAGTGTCTACTTCATTCACTGTTGTATCTTCAGTGCCTGGCATATCAGAGGCACTCAGTACATAATGGCTGAGGAGATAGATAGGGAGAGAGAAGGATGAACAGGTTTGTCTCTACAGATAGGATCTGCCATGGATGCTACGGCACCTGCCTGCAGAGGTGCAGGTAAAGGTTTGTTCATTGACAGTCTATGGTTGGGCTCAGGTGGTGGTGGTTGGTGCCCAGGGCACTTGTACCAGCCCCGGGGTGGCTGGGGGAGCTATGAACCTCTCTGCCCTGTGCCTGTTGCTGTATAGCTGCTAAGGGGAGGGGTCAGTGGGCATTCCTGTTAGAGTGATGTCGCCTTTCCCTTTCACCTGGGCCTAGCTGGCCTTTTGGATGTAACAGGCAACTTCACTAATGGCTTAGAGGGCCCATATTTCTGCCACCCACTGACACTTTGATGGGTTGGGGGACACTTGTGATTCCAGGGAAGAACTAGGATATTGGCAGGAAGGGGGTACCCATGCTGGGTACCTGTGCTGTGGGGTGGGAAGGGAGAAAGAGACGAAGAAAGAACAAGGTCATCCCCTTGGTGGGCTTTCCTGTTGATGCCCTTGCTCTCAGGGAGCTCCTGGTGGGTGGTTCTCCATCTTGGCTGCTCATTGGAATCACCTGGGGGAGCTTTTGGACAACACCGATGCCCAGCTCCACCCACACCTAGTTGACCCCTCCCACCTCGTTGGCTGGGAATGAGGTCACAGCATTGAGAGTTGAAAAATGTTCGTCAGGCCATTCTAATGCGCAGCCAGGGTGGGCATAGTGGCTTAGTGTCCGTGTGTGCTGGGAGCAGGAACGAGATGTTCCCTCCAGAAGGAGTGTCTCCCCCTCCCTATATCCCCACCTGGAGCCTCTGCCCTGAGCTCTCTGATGGGGGAGCTTTGATTTCTGCCTTTGTAGCTCCTCCTGGACAGAGGAGGACCCGGAGGAAAGGCTGAGGTGCCTCTTGCCCCCTCTGTCCCCTCCTGGTCCCCACTCTGCCACTGAAACTTCCTACCCTCCTGAGTCCCACCTCGGGGTCCTCATCTGTAACAGGCTCTTCTGGGATCAAAGGACACGGTGAATGAGGGTGAGCTTTGTTAAAAGCTCACTAGGAGGTAAGGAATGGTCTCTGCCAAAGTCCCCTGAGTCCTGGGGAGACAGGGCTGGTGAAAACAGTTTCTGAGGGCCCAGGAAAGCAGGTAGAGAGAATAGAATAGGATCAGGCTGTGACTTCCCAGCAGAGGTCCCTGGAGAGAAGAAAGTCAACTTCCGGAAGCTTTCCTGAGGCATCTCGCTCTGCCTCTGTCATTAGTTGCCTCCTCTGTGCACATCTTTGTAGGAGGAAAGTAAATACCTGTAAGAAAGCCTGAAGGAGGTGCCAGGGAGAGAGCCTGGCCAGCTGCTGGGCAGCCAGCCCTTCTGTCTGCACCCGAGAAGCACCCCATGGGACAGGGGCTTGGTGAATGGGCTGGACAGGGAGTAGACTGAGGGGCTGGTGGATTCCGGGGCCTAATCCAGCATGCTCCAAAGGGAATCTCATCCCCTGTCCGCAGGCTGCCTCGGCCTGGCCTAGCCCCCACCGGAGGTGCTGCTCAGGGCCTCCTTTCCCTTTCTTGGGAGCATGGTGGAGTGGGATGAGTGCTGGATTTGGGGTTAGCTCTGCTATGATCAGCTGTGTGACCTTCGGCAAGTCTCTTCCCACCACCACCGTCTTCAGTTCCCTCTCGCAAATGCAGGAACTTGTTCACTGATTCATTGATCCAATCATAGATTAGTTATCGAATGTTTATTGATATCCGCACTGTGGCAGGTGCTGAGAGCACTAGGACGCACCCCTCCCTGCTCATGTCTGCTCTTGCTTGGAATCACTGTAGAACTTTCCAGAGCTGCAAGAGACCTGAACTAGGATCCTGATTTGGCTTTCAAACTGCAGGACTGTCAGTCAACCTCCTTTTACAAATGGGGAAGCTAAGGCCTAGAGAAGCTGTTAAGGTTCTTCTGTTAGTCCCATGGCTGGTGGATGCTGCTGGAAAACTCAAACTCAGGCCTTCAGGCCCATGTCCTCTTCTCAAGCGAGACCACCTGCTTGAGAAGTGATTCTAGCTCCTTCTCATCAAAGAACAGCCCAGAGAGGTGCAGTGACTCATTTGGGGTCACACAGCTGATTACTGGCACACCTGGGGCAAGAGACCCACTTCTGTGCTTTTTTGTCCCCGGCCTGTTTCTCCTGGCACTTGGCTGGGGGCTCAGCTCAGGCCGTCCTCAGACTCAGTCTCATCAGCAGATGCTGTCCCCTCACAGGGCCTCCCTGTGGCAGCTGCGCCAGGCTGGCGGTCGTGCCGGCTCACTCACTCTTCCCACGCTTACTCACTGAGACATATATATGCACAGCTCTACCATTTGGCTTTAGTGATTGCTCCACAGTGGGTGAAATTGGCTTGAAATAAATATCTCCTCTGCCTTCCTCCCTCGGGGTGATTTTATCCTCATCTCCACTTTGTGGAATGGTCCAGAGTCTGGCGGGCGCCTGTTCTGTCTAGATATGTCCTTTTTGATGCAAAGATGTTGCCACGGCTACTGCTGTTTCTTGAGAGCCGTGCAGAAGTGGTAGCAGAATTCCACAACTTGCTGTCCCTTCCCAGTTCCCATCGCGGGGGCTCCATGAGCAAAGCCTAAAATTAAGGAGGTCTAGGAGTGCTCTCACTTTTTAAGCTGTTAGAGTATTTTCTGGATGGAGCCCAGAATAGGATGGGGCATTGCTTATACCTGGGGTACAAACCACTGTTCTGCCTTGCTGGGGAACTGGCCTGTTGTGTAATAAAATAAACTCCACATCCTCTAAGGTAGGGGAGGCGCAGGGGGATCATGTGCTTAATTCTTGATCCCCAAGCTCACCTTTCCTATTCAGATCTCTTGCCAGTTATTGCCGCCGATCCCCCCACCGACCCAACACACACAATGCTTGCCCTAAGGGTGGGGAGTGAGGAGTAGGGCTTATCCCCTTTTGAGGCCTATCCCCAGTCTCTCCCTAGATTCCTCAAAGCACAGCTGAGGCACAATCGGCTCATTTAAAGATGATGTTAGGCCAAGGGATGACAGGAGGGAAATACACACAGGATATTGTGACCTAACATGGTTCAGGAGGTCTGGCATCCTCATCTGCAGCCCATCTCCTGAGGTCAGAGCCAAAGGGACCTTCGGGGCCACCTAGTTCCTTCTCAGCCAGGTTCAGGAGAGAATCCTGCCCTCAGGCCCTAATGTGACCACTGCATGTAGCAGATTGACTTTTCTCTTGTGCATCTAGGATGTACCATCCTTGGGAGAACTGAGAAAATTGTCCATTAATCCTCTTCTGGGTGCTGTGGTTCAGGTGGGAGAAACCCTGGCTGACAGAGGCTTCCTCTCAGCTAACAGAGGACAATGAAGCACCAAGCAGGCAGCCTCCTACCCAAGGTCACACAGCCAGCCCAAGCTTGTCTTCTGAGTTCCAAGCCAGTCGTCTTCTCTTTTCTCACAATAGCATTAACATCCTCCCCTCCGCTGCTCCAATCTCGTGAGCATGGAGGAAGCTCTGATCCAAAGAGATGAGCCTATCCCTGTCTCTCTCTCTCTCTCTCTCACACACACACACACACACACACACACACACACACACACACACACACACACACACACCCCTGAGTCTGCAGGACAGAGACATCCCAGAAGCTTGGCATTGGACAAGCCGGTAGTCCTGAATTTGTGTCTAGGTCATCCACGTGAGCCTGCATTTCGCCACCTGCAAGAGGAGATCATAATGCCTACTTGATGGAGTTACTGGAAGGACTGAAACTGGCCATGTACCAAGGCTGGCACCTGGCACAGTACAAGGTCTTGGGAACCATCCATTTTTCTTTTGCCCTGGTGCTCAGTAAGGTGCACAGTGGCTGATGAGTGAACAGCACACTCAATGTTCAACCGAGTCTACATCTAGGTTCTAATCCAACAGGGAATATTCACAGAGTATTCTTAGTAAGGGCTCGCAAGTCCCCGAATATGGCATTAGTACCCAATACCCGGCTGAGCTCAGACTTCCAGGCCCGCTTCCTGCCAGCTGTGCACACCCAGGCCCACAGATGCCTGCTCTCCCAAGCCTGCCAGGCTGGCCTCCCACCGGCCTCACTCCCCACCCCTATTCCTTTTTCTTTCTCCTCTTTCCCTCTTCGCACAGCCAAACATACCTGTGTCAGAGGCCTCCCATGGCTTAGCAAGCTTCTGGCTTGCCTCCCGTTCTTCCTACCCTATTGAGTCCCTGTATGTATTACGGCAAATTTAGAAATTTGTGGGCACGCCACAGAATTAGAACACTGGGGAAGCATGGTTTGGACTTGGTGCAAGCGTCCTGCCTTCTACATAGGGTGATTCAGTGTATTGAGGGTTAGTACCTCATGGGCCCAGGCCTGCCTGAGGAGGGAACAGAAAGCAACTGAGAGAAGCTGGAGTCAGGCGGGAAACCTGCCCCTGCCTCCATTTTGCCTCCAGGAATAAGGAATGGGTGGTTCACATTTCTGAATTTCCTACTGAGTTGGAAGGTATGCAGAAAAAACCTTTCTGTAGTTTCAACACCTGTTACCAAAACGCTTTTGCAATTGTGCCCTTTTCCTTTCCTGCCCAGGGAAGTGGAGTATGATGAATAGGATCAAATTTCTCTGGATTTATCAGGATTTTGTGTGACTTCAGGATCATTGTTCCTAAAGGCCTGTCCTTGTTCAGGAGTGGGTATGAAGGGAGGGAAA
The DNA here is from genome assembly GCF_000001405.40 of Homo sapiens. Lineage (NCBI taxonomy): Eukaryota > Metazoa > Chordata > Mammalia > Primates > Hominidae > Homo > Homo sapiens. The sequence continues at coordinate 244,088 of NW_003315944.2, read as the reverse complement.
TTAAGCTGAATAAGTTATCAGAAGCTAGCCCTAAAAGCTGCTTTTCAGGAGAGGGGAAGAAAAAACCGCACTGGCTTTGGTTGAAATGCGCCGGTGAGGACTGAGCCTGACTGGCACCGGGGAGTGTGATCGGCTGTTTTGGCCACCTTTCAATTAACTGAAGGCTCCAGTTAATTGGGGTTTGGCTACATTTTCTCTTGACACTGGTGCTCAGGGTGGCCTGTGCCCTGCTGGGCCTGACTTAGTGACATGGCTCAAGTCCCCCTGACTTCCTCCTCATAACCTGCCTTGCCTCTCTGAAGCCTAAATGCCTTGGTCGGCATTCTTCCACGGAACCCTCAGAAGAAACTACGCTGACATGTTAAGCTTTTTAATTTAGCACACACAGTGCGTACATGCCCCCAGACAAAACAGAATTGATTGATAATTCTCTTAATGGAAGCACAGGCTTCAGTTGCTCCAGAAATAGATCGTTACCTCGGCCACCTTTTGTAATTTTCTCCCTCCCATTTTTTTTTTTTTTTATCCTACTGTGGTCTAAAAATATGATGTTTCATTTCATCCTTCTTTCATAATCCACTAAATGCCAGGGCATTTCTTTTCAGACCTTTAATTTATAGCATGTTTGTTCAGTTTCACTTCATTAATTAATGCTCTTCCCAGGCTCCCATGACAGAGTCTTTGTGTAATGCTCTCTTACAGTAAGCAGGTGCTTTTATCCTTAATGAACAATTTCCTGGAAAACACTGAAATACACAACGACTAATCAGGCCAGGCACACAGTGACTCTGGGACTTATGTACCATTTTCCAAATTAAACCTGGGGAGATGAGGGACAGATTTTGATCGGCCACAGTACTGTTTTTTAGTGGGTCTTTCCTTTGGGAGGGCATATAGGGTGCTCAAGTTCTGGAAGGTGGGTGAGCTTCTTGCTCCTCCAGGAAATTAGAGTTCAGAGGAATTGTTTGATTGCAAATGCATGTGGCTGTGAGATGGTTGTCAGACACAGCCTAGGCCAGAAATGCAGCCAAATTGGCCTCTGGTCCAGACTTGGAATCATCACTAGCTTAGACTGCAAGTCAGCAGGGCCTGGGCTGGGCCAAATTGCAAACTTACTGAAATTCACCTTCAGTTCCTTTCTTCCCTTCTGGCAGACTTGCCCCACCCCCGGGAGGCAGTCCTTATCAGGCCCAGGACCCTAATATACTCATTCCCCCTGTGCACCCCCAGTAGTATCTGTACTGCATCCCATACGCCCCATCAGAGAGGACAATGCCAAACCCAGCCATGCTGATATTTTCCCTGGGGCTATGCTGTTCACAGGCCCTTCTCATAACCTGTGTCTCTTTGGCATCTCAACCTTGGGAGTCAGGTTTATTACTAACCCCATTTTGCAGAAGAGGAAGCTGGGAGCCCGGGAGGTTAAATGACCATCCTTAGGCCATGCAGTTGGTAAGAGGCAGAGCTGGGATTAGGACTCAGAAACCTCCTGAGATTCCAGGGCTCCCTGTGCTTGCTGTTCCAGGGAGGAGCAGAGCCAGTGTGAGAGCAGAGGAGGGAGGTGAAGTGCCGGCCGTGACCCGACCGGGCTGCAAGCCAGAAGTTATCAGTGTCATGGACAAAGAGCCTCAATAAATTGCTTTAAAAATCTGAATACCTGACTCATTTATTATTCTGAATACAGCTGACAAAATCGTGCTTTATCCATCTATTTTTCTGTGTCGTGAGATCATTTTGGGTCTTTGAAACGGCATAATGTTTTTCATCATAGCATGAGTATACCATCACAGCGTGGACACATGCCACACCATTGTGATAGCAGTCTCACCGCAGCCAGATGGCTTCAAGGGCTGGCTGGGAGGCTCCCCTAAGTGGCCTGTGTCCCTAGGGGTAGCAGGTTTAGGGCTCAAGTCCTCTGTGAACCCCTGCTCTTTGGGAAAATGTGCCCTAAGGAGCAGAGGGGGAGAATCTGGGCCTGGAGGAGGGTAAGCTGTGGAGGAGTTGCCTGTAGGGCCCTCCCTTTTTTGTTTTCAAAATGAAGGTGGCTTTATTGTGGTTAAAAAAATTTTTTAAGATGGGATCTTGCCATCTCACGCAGGTTGGATCTCACCCAGTGGCACAATCATAGCTCACTGTAGCCTCAAACTCCGAGGCTTAAAACATCCTCTTGCCTCAGCCTCTTGAGTAGCTGGGACTGCAGGCATGCATCACTGTGCCTGGCTGGTTTTTGAAATCTGAAAATTGAGACCTGCTCATACTGAAAATATATAGAGAAGAAAGTAAGTTGGTTAGGCAGAGTGGCTCATGCCTGTAATCCCAGCACTTTGGGAGGCTGAGGCTGGAGGATCACTTGAGTCCAGGAGTTCCAGACCAGTCTGGGCAACAGTGAGACCTCGTCTCTAAGAGAAAAAAAAAAGCCAGGTGTCGTAGTGTGAACCTGTGGTCCCAGCTACTAGGAAGGCTGAGGTGGGAGGCTCTCTTAAGCCCAGGGAGGTCAAAGCTGCAGTGAGCTGTGACCGTGCCACCGCACTCCAGCCTGGATGACAGAGATGCTGTCTCAAAAAAAAAAAAAAAGAAAGAAAGTCACCCAAAATATCATCATCCAGACATCTTTGTTAATGTTTTTAACATACTCCGAGCATCTTCCTGTCCTTCCTCCCTCACTGTTGGCACACGCACACCGTATGCCCGTGCACACACAGTTTATATAAATGTGATCATAATGTTCATGCTGCTTTGTAACCTGCGTTTTTCACATAATAAGACTTTAGGGTCATCTTCCCACGTCGGTGAATTTACACATAATAATCTTAAAATATCTTTGCTTTTCTGACTATAGTGATGATAATGCTCTTTGTAAGAAATACTAATGTAACAAAAATGTTTGACTTAGAAAGCACAAATCTTCCATCCCTTCCCCAAAAGATGACCAATATTATTAATGCTCTGGTGTATGGGCTTCCATACTTTTCCACATCAATATTTTTAATGATTGCATAATAGTTTGTTATATAGACATGGTGGAATTTATTTAGCAAAGGCCCCATTCATGGGCATTTAGGTTGCTTCAGTGCTGTGGCAAGCATCTCTCTTTCTCTCTTTTTTTTTGGAGACAGAGTCTGGCTGTCACCCAGGCTGGAGAGGATGCTCACGTCTCACTGCAGCCTCAGCCTCCTGGGCTCAAGTGATCCTCCCACCTCAACCTCCCTAGTAGTTAGGACTACATGCATAGACCACCATGCCTGGCTATTTTTTTTCCCGTATTGTTTGTAGAGATGGGATCTCATTATGTTGCACAGGCTGGTCTCGAACTCCTAACCTCAAGTGATCTGCCTGCCTTGGCCTCCCAAAGTGCTGGGATTACAGGCCTGAGCCACTGTGCCTGGCTCAAATATTTCTTTATCAAGAGAGAATGCAACAAACGTTCTTGAACCTGTCTTTGGACCCGGCCAGTTTTTAAACATGAAATTGCAGAAATGGAATGCTGGGTTAAAGATATATGTTAAAACATGTTTATCTATATTGACAACCTTTTTTTAGAACATGTGTAGGGCACTTCAAACTTTGAAACAATTGGTTTCTGGCTTCAGAATCCCCTGGCCTAGGTCGGTCGGGAAGGTTCTCTAAGGAAACCTGGAGAGGCTACCCTTGTCTGATGCCCATGTCTGTGGGCTGACAGCCAGGCTCTTCTGTTTATCTCCAGACTCAGGGGGTCTATTGACTGGGGAGACGTGGTCCCTGAGGTGTGGCGGGAGAGACCCTGTCCTAGTGTGGGCTCTTGGCTGGAATGGAGCACACAAAAGAGGCCCATCTTCAAAGGGTGCCGAAGATTGGACAGAGAGGTGGGCAGCAACTAAGGATCCCGACCACGACAGCAATACTGATCTCCGCGTTTCACCACTGGGCTGCAGTTTGCAGGGCACCACCTGCATTACCTGTTTAATCCTCACAAGAAACTGTTGTTCTCTCACCCTTCCTATTTGTAAAAGAGGAAAAGGAGGCTCAGGGCAGTTAAATGAGTTTTCCAGGATCAAAGACTAGAATCCAATTCTGCTGCCTCCTCTGCATTATCTCCCTGCAGCTGGGAGATGGCGCAAACCTGAAGTGCAAGGGTGAAGAGGGAGGAGAAGATGAGGAGGGGAAGGGCAGGGAAGGGTGATACTTCATAGGTAAGCTTACAGAGTTGGAAGGGCCCAAGAGATGATGTAGTCTGACTCCAGCCCTGTGCACCAGCAGAGTGAAACTCAGAGAGGTTAAGCAACCTTTCCTGGGTCACACAGCAAGGTAGTGACTTAGGAGGCAGAGGGGAACTGGTACTGACTTTGAATTCAATAGGAAAGACCCAAGGGCAGGGGAAGTATGGCTCTCTGAGCCCCTACAGGATGGAGTTGGGAGACTGGATGAGCTTGTGAAAGGTTCTCTCCCTTCAGAGGCAGCCCTGATCAAGAGTGGATCCAGAGGCATCTAGAATGGAGATGGGCCAGACTCAACACACAGGGGATCTCCTGGGACATTAGCATCAATACCTGCAAAGGCCTCTGATTTCCCATCACACTGGCCCGAGGCTTCCTGCAGGGAGAGGCCTCTTCCTGCAGGGAGGGGCCTCGGTGCTTTGAATTAAGCCACATCCTGGGTCTACTACCCTCTCCTAGCCATTCCCACCTCCCCTCGAGCAAGTGTTCAGGGGCTTGGGGCAGGGCCCCGCCTGAGTCTTCTCTGTGTCACAGTGACTGATGAGCATTCAATAATGTTTGCTGAGGGGATGGATGAAAGATGAGATCTGCCTTGATAATTGTACAGTTAAGACTGATCCAGGGGTCTCCCAAAACATACAGCCATGCCTAGATTCTCCAGCAGAGTATTTTTCTGTCATTGTCTTTTTTTTTCTTCCAGTTCCTTAGAAATTCTAAAAGTACAGAGTTAGAAGAGTCTTTGAGGTGAAGGATGTGGCTGGGAAGGAAACTAATAGTTCATTGGGTACCATCTATGTGCCAGACCTTGGGCCAACCACGTTACCTGCGTTCTCATTTACTATCTTAACAGCCCTTGAAGTTGGTCTTCCTTAATGTGCAAGACGTGAAACACTCAGCCCTGGAGCAGGTAAATGACTCTACTGGGTTATACAGCCAGGAAGGCAAGGGTAGGATTCGAACCCAAGTCAGGTGGACTCCACCATTCCCTTCACATGAAGACTGCAACCAAGTTTTCGTGTGTCTTTGAGCAAGTCACCTCCCTTTCAGGGAACAGTTTCCCCTCCTAGAGGATGAGGTGTTGGACTCTTTCTGCTCCCAGGTTTTTCTCGGCACCAGTTCTGACACCATGTGGCTTGCTGTCCAGCCCATCATCCTCACAGCTCAGCTCCCGTGAGAGGCTTGGCCTTCCAGGGATTCTCGAGGGCTCCCTCCCTCAGCGCCCTTCTCCCCGCTGGGCCCCTGTAGCTGCACCTTGTTGTTTAAGGAATGTTTTCTTTAAGGGGGCAGGAATGGGGACAAATCCCCATGGAGCTGAAGGGCCCTGGGAGGCTGACTTGTCTTCAGAGGTTTTGTGGATGTCACCATGATTTAATGCAGGGCATGAGGGACACCTACAGTTATGAGAACTCCATAGCCCTGGGAGGAGGTGGGAGAGGGTGGCTGAGAAGGCCAGGAGTGGGCAGATTGCGGGTGGGGAGGGGCCAGGCAGGTGTCCGGGTTGGTCAGGCCAGCTGAATGTGTCCTGATTTGCAAAGAAATGGAAAGATGGAGATAATTGCTTTGTGAGAAATGGAATGGCCTAAGAACATAGATAAGTTTTCTCCCTTCATCTTCGAGGGGCTGGAGGCTGGGGGTGCAGATGCTGCCTGCTTGGGAGTTGGGGCGAGCAGGAGGCGGTTTGAGGGCCCAGAATTCAGAGGCTGTGCCTGTTGTGGGAGGGAGGCTGGCGCTTTATTAGTTTGGCGGTTTCTACTGCTCTGCTCCAGGGTAGGCTGTGATTTTTCTCTGGGCCTGACTGATGTCAGGGCCACTTGCTCTCTGCTGGGCTTGAGAGTGCAGGGGACAGGACAGTCTCTTGACCCTGATTAATGGTGGCTGCAACCCTCATGGTACCATTTTCAGGATTTGCAGCCCGAGGCTTCCCAGGCAAGGAGAAAGCAGAATTTATCAGGGTGGTGGAGCAGGGACTTGGAGGGGGACATTTAACTTGTCTCAGGAGGTGACTCCAATCCCCGCTGATTTATCCCGGGGGCCAGGCACCTGGCAGAGACTCCACATTGGCGCTGAGAATTTTTGCTGTGCTCCTGCAGTCAGGGAATCACTCTTTAGGAGATTAAGAGCTGTGGATTTATTTTTAAAACTTTTTTTCTTTTTTTTTAAGTACAGGAAGATTAGAAAGCATTCAACATAAACCCAACCCCTGGTGGGATTGCTGCAGGGCAGGAGGCTTCATCAAGGCAAAGGACGAAGCTTCTTAATTACGAGGGCTGATCCAACTCCTCTTTTCATCTCGCACTAATCAGGCCCTAGCAAGGCCAGTAAATAGAGAGGGCTGGGGACTGGGAGCCAGCTGAGAGAGCCAGGGCAGAGGAAGGGGAAGGCCACTAGACGGGGCGATAACCTTGGCATTTGCCCCATTGTGTGCAAACTTGGCTTTTTGTTTTATTCAGAAAAAAGTAGAGAAGTGTGTGTGTATCTTCTATAATTAGAAGATAGAAAGCTCTTTCTCCACCCACATGCCGGGAGAAATGTGAGGCGTTTGCTTTATCAGCTCCAGTTTGGGGTTTGCTTCTGCTGCTTCCCAGACCTGAAAGCGCCTTTTCATGAGGCGTCTGGAACACCCAGTCCCCAACTGCAGCTTGAGCTACTGCCTGTGCTTCAATGCCTGCCTTGTGCTGGTGTGGGGAGCAGACATGCGCTGGTGCTGATGGGGTGGTCCAGGCAGGAGTCTTTGAATTGCTCTCAGGATGTCCTGGGTGCCCACTGTACAGTATCTGATGCCACCAGATTGGTGTCTCTGCAAATGCAATGTTAACACAACATGGAATGCCTTGTGCAGTGTGACCTGCTGTTGGGATGGGTCTTTGGTGTCCTCTCTCGGGCCAGACACAAGCAATGTGGCTGATCCTGAGGCTTGGGATGGTTGAGAGGTTGGGGTGGAGGTTGGCTGCAGAGTCAGTAATCAGTTGACAAAGATGTCTTGAGCTGCTGTATGTGCAGGCAATGCTCTTGGGGCTGGGGACATAGCGGTGAACACAAGAGATGGAAACCCCTGCCCTCATGAAGTATATGTTCTAGTGGCATGGTACAAGGGGAAGGAAATAATCCTTAGGTCCTAGGGTCCAGAAGGAAGAGCCAAGGCCATATCTAAGTGGTAAATATAGGAGGGGAGAAATTTCCAAAGTGGTAACACCTGTTCAGCAATATAGGCACGGTACATGGCACCTGTGTTGTCCCTCCCCAGAGTTTAAGACAGACATTACTAATCAATCCTGGCAAGCTTTCCCACTCAGCCCCCCTTCCTCAGCACAGCATTCTAAACAGCCACTATAATAGATCCCCATTGTTGTGGGAGTGGGAACTTCCCTGGGCCCACAAAATAGTGTCTGACTGCTGCCACTCCTGCCGCCAGTGCAAATATGTTGAGAAGCAAAGGATCACGGGAAGATGGACTGGGATTGACAGAGAGCAGGCTGCAGGCACGTTGGCCAGGCTCCAGGCTCCAGCGTCCAAGATTTAGGCACAGTCAGGAGGATGAAGCCAGTGGTGGAAGTGAAGCAGGTGGGGTAGGATTTTTGCTTAGATGGATCTTAAGGCTGTAACAGCTGATCCCAGGGCAGAGGCCATCTGTCTGTCTGCCTTCTGCCCCAATTTATGCATCTTGGATAATGTGAGCAACTAATGTCTGGACAGGTGTGTGCTGCCACCAGAGAGAGAGACTGGCCTCCACAGGTGCTGGTGCTAATGATGGCAGGGTCCTAGGCAGAGGCAGGGGCCTCCAGAGGATGCTGCCATCTCTAAGATCTGCTCAGCCAGCAAAGCCGATCCAGGCCGGAGCAGAAGCCCTGGACAGGAGGAGGGATCGTTTGCTATGATGCCAGTGTCCCTTAAGCAACCTGGCGGCATTTTCCTTTAACACCAGGTGCCAGGCATAAGAGGCCCTTGAGTGTTAGAATAGACAAGTGCATGCAGACTCTCAGGACACAGCTTGACATGCACCAGGCCTTTCTTCAGACTTGGTGTTGAGGGAGGGGAGCAGAGTTTCCTAAGCCGCTATCATCAGGAACACCGCTCTTAGAGCTGTGTCACTGGGAAGAGTTCCATGGGAAATATTGGGTGAAATAAAAAGTCAAATGGTCTCTTTATTTTGGGTCTTCTCAGAGTCTAAGCTATGCTAAAATGCTTAGACTGAATATTTAGGATGAGGACATAGCGAGCAGCATTTCCTGAGCTTATTCACCCTTGGAGATCTTTGTCTGAGAGATTTCTATCAATGTCTCATGGGACTAGTGTTCCACAGAACCCAGCTGTAGAGAATGCCCTCCAGAGGTGCCCATGCTGCCCACCACTGTACTGCAGTGCAAGCTCTCCGCTGTCTGGTTCCTCCAAAGTTCCTGCACATTCCTGCCTCCACACACTGCTTGGGCTGGACCTGACCCAGAAATGCCCTTTCTCTAGCCTCCACCTTTGCATACACCATCCAGTCCAAGTCCCACCCACTCCACAAAGGCTTTCACAGCTCTGCCAGTGGGACTTAATCACTTGCTGCTTTGAGAGTCCTCAAGTGCACTGCAGCTGATGGCATCTTATTTCTTTGTGTCCTCCACAGCACGGCCCAGGCCCGGGCAGGTGGTGCACCAAGAGTGCTCAGTTTGGGCCATGGCCCATGGGTGGCCATGTGGGCTGACAACACCCTGTCTGCAGGTGTGAGAGGTACGCCTCCTGGGCACTTTCTCTTCCCTTTATCCGCCCTGCCCAGTCCATCAGGGTTTGTAAAGCAGCCATGGTGCCCGATAAGGAAAGAAAATTTTCCACCTCTGCAACTTCCTCTGCTCCCTAATATGTAGAGAGCTGGACCAGAGGGAAGAGAACCAGCAGATCTATTTACATGGACTCTTCCCCTGAAGTGAAACCAGGGGCATTTTCTTATTTAATTATTAATGCCCTAAATCAGATGGTGCCCAATATGTTAACCTCTGTCACTCCAAATGGAGTTGGCCTAATAATCACTGCAGCACGATTGATTTTCCCTCAGTCATCTCATAAGCATATGTCTTTGGGATCTGTCCTCAGAGAGATCCTGGAAAAGTCCCATTAAAGTTAATGGGGATGAGTTGCCCCCATGTGGTGATGGCTTCTTTCTTCACTGCGCCTGAGTGAAGTATCGGAGACAAGGAGAATTTCCTTCCTTCCTTCCTTCCTTCCTTCCTCCCTCCCTCTTTCTTTTTCTTTCCTTCTTCCCCTCTCCCTTCCTTTCCTTTCCTTTTCCTTCCTTCCTTTCTCTTTATTTCTTTCCTTTTTTTCCTTTTCTTCTTTCTTTCCTTTCCTTTCCCTCTCTCTCTTTCTTTTCATGAGGATTTTAAAATCTCACAAATTACAGCAATGATCCAAGTTACCTCTCTCTCCCATCACATGGGTCAAAAGGGACCAGAGGAACAATCTTCTCCTGTCCAGGTGGCCTCATCTTTTGATACTCTTGGTGTAATAAGTTTGAAGATGCTGTCAGGAGGTTCTCTCGGGAGAATGCTGGAGATTATAGGAGTGGCCCAAGTAATGAGTCAGGGCCACAGAGAGAATCAAGACAAGGCAAGGCATCCCCTACAGCTGGCATTCAGACTCCATGCCTTCTGGAACTCTGTGTCCCATTGTTTATTTCTTTATTTGATGCCTGATTAGCCCAAACCCCACTTGGAAGAAGATGCTTGTTCCACTTTTGACTCTCCGCATAGCTCAATGCCATGTCCCGGGCAGGCTCTTTCTCTGCTCTAGGTTGAATCTCCCAGAGGAGAATGGATTGAAATGATCGCTGAGCTCCTCTGCAGCCCTGGCATTGCACAGACTCCAGTTTGTGTGGAGCCTTCTGAGGTGCTCATTGGGTCTCTGGGGATGGAGGAGTGGGCTAGGGGGATTGGGTGGGGAGCTCTGAGCAGCTGTGCTTTGCATACTCCTGGACTCTGCACATTGAGCAGAAACACCAGAATCGCTCCCCTCTTTCTGATTTTCAGAATGCATTCATTTGAAATCTGGCTAAATCTGCATTTCAGTCAGATGATTTCCAGATCTCAAACAGGAACACCTCATTAATCATTAATTTAGACCCCCACGGTTATACAGAATTGGTGACAATTTGTTTATCTTTGAAGGAGCTGCTGAGAAAGAGTTTAACAAGGAAATCATTGTGGAGCGAAGGAGAGTGTTTGACCTTTCAGAAGAATGGCACTCCATTTAGCTTCCCTGAGGGTACAAATGGGGGTGTGTGCAAAATACATGCCGGCTTGTATCTGTTCTCCTAAGTAGGTTGAGCGCTTCCTCATCTGCGAACCCAGGGCCAGCGGGATAGATCCCCAACCATTTCAAGCCTGTGACCCCTTTCCAATGTCAAAATATTTTCTATGACACCCCCACCCCCAGTTATTAGAAGTTGTAATTTTTAGTGTTGCTGATTAAGAAGAAAAGCTACTCTGAATTCAGTAAAGCTTTTAAATAAATCACGATAGCATCTATGTACACATGAAAAATAGTTCTGTCTTTCTGAGTCGCAGCGTTCATTCAGCCTACAGATGATGTTTGGGTGCGTGTGATTTCCAGCTCCTCTGCACCCCTCAAGGTCAGCGACCCACCAGGTCGCAACCCTTGGACTGGAAGTTCTCTGAGGCAGGAGGACCACAGAGTCCTGGAGTGCCAGGACAGGAAGGAACCTCAGGAGGCACTTCAGCCACTCCCACTGGAAAGGTTGTCTGCCCTCTGTGAGGACCCCCTTGTTGGGGACCCCAATTTAGTGAAGCAAGGGAGTTGGCATCCCACGTAGGCACATACCTGCCATAGGCTGTCACTTCAGGGGCCTGGATCAAAGCCTGCAAACTGATTCCTTACGGTCCCTTACCAGGTGGTCTAGGCCTGGCATCCCTCAGTGGGAATGGCATGTGATGACTGCATCACTCTGGGCAGAAGTAGCTGATACCCCATAGGAGACAGAAGAAGCAAGATCCAGTCTTCCATGGCTTGTGGGCCCAGAGCTCAGGGTTTTCTTGGCTCATTTCCCCCCAGGTCCACACCAGACATCTTTTTTCTCTTTCTCCTTGGCAGGAGGGAGTAGGGAAAGGAAGTAGATGGGCAAAGAATGTCAATGATGAGGGATAAGGGAATGGGGAGGGCATTCCCTTTAAAGCAGTCCAGATCTGGGGTCCCTGGGTCCAAGGATGGGCCCGGGGGCCTGAGGACACCCTGCAATTATAGCCGATTTTGCACTTGTGGGCATTTTCCTGGAGAGAACATCTATACCTTTCACTGGATTCTCAGAGCAGTCCCTGAGTCAAAAAACATTCAGAACCCCTGGCCTAGAATTTGGACTTTTTCCTGACTCAGGCTTCCCACTCTCCTGTTACTCAGAACCAGTGAACTGTTACAGTGTTAGTCAAAGCCTGCAATGTGAAATATCAAATGCTCATTACCCACGACGATGGGAAACTAAGTAGTTGCCAGGAACATGGTCTGATCACAGACGCAGCCTCCTTTGTTCTCCTGTGCAGGGCCCGGGATGGTGCTCTCCCTGACGGGGCTCATTGCCTTCTCCTTCCTGCAAGCCACCCTTGCCCTGAACCCCGAGGACCCCAACGTGTGCAGCCACTGGGAGAGGTAAGGTGTGGGCCTCAGATGGCCAGGCACTCTCTGGGGGATCGCCCTGGGCATGGCAGTAGGGGACAGAGGCAGTCAGGAGATCCAGGAGCTGCCCTCTAAGGGTCTGCAGCCTGGCTGGGGAGATGGCCCACATGCTGAGAGACAGGACAGAGATGTGTAGATTCTGTCTGGAAGGTCAGGGTGGAGGCAACTCACATTAACTTCAGTTACGATGCACTGTCCTACCCCTCCCTGCACTAGCACTTCCCAGCCATTGCACAGATGAGAAAGTAGAGACACAGAGGGGCTCAGTCCCTGTCCACAGCCAGATGGGGTGCAGTAAGTGGGGGGATGCGGACTTTGGTCCCAGGTGGCATGCTCTCTGATGCTGTGATGCCTTTCCTGGTCTCCCAGGACTGGCAGCCCCGTGGCAGCTTGGATGTGTGGCCCCAGCAGCCTGCCCTGAGGAGGACGGGTGAGGGGGTCCCACTACTTCCAGTCTGGTGGGGGCAGGGTGTTGCTGGGGAAGGGTGGCCAAAGCTGCAGCGGAAGAGCGGGCTGCATTCCAGCTGCGGCGCTAGGTCCTGGGGGAATGGGCCGGGTCCCTGCAGACGGCCTGACTTTGAAGCACAAGGTTAAAGTATTGACTTTGGTGAGCAGAAAGACAGTGACCAGAGACCCAATCAGGAAAAAACCGAATTAAACCCCGGAATTGATTGGCCATGCTGACCAGGATGACTCTGCCACTTACATGTTAATAAATCAAATGAATAAAATTAAGATGAGGGCCCTATGGGAGAAGTGAATGGTAGAAGAAGAAAGGCGGGGGACTCGGAGCGGGGGTCCGTGCTTCATGCCCATGAGGGTGGATAGCCCAGCCCTAGGGCAGGGAAAGGCACCTCAGCCAGGCAGGACCTGGCTCTGGGGTAGCCTGGACACTTGTGGGTCAGGAAGGATCAGCTGGGAGGCAGAGGGACAGTGCCTGCACTTGTGTGATCCCTGGAGACCAGATCCTGTGTGTGGTGTCCCAACAAAGTTGAGGATGGAGCAAAAGGCAGTACTGTGGTGTGTCCCTTTTTGGTGAAGTGGGAAGAAAACAAGATCCGTGATGAGAAGACCTCAGTTCATTCCAATCTGGATTTTTCCACCTCTAAGCTGTGTGACTCTGGGGAAGTCTCTGAACGGCTCTGAGCCTACTTCCACCTCTGTAAAGTGGGGAGAATCATTATCCTTGCCTCACAGGCTCATTGGAGGATCAAGGGCAGCCGTTTCACAAAAGTGCTTTGAGGGCCATAAGCGTCAGTTACTGTCTTTTCTTGTTGACAACTGTGGCTTTGCAGGAACTGGTTATCATGGACCTTAGTGCACATCAGACTCACGGGAGGTGCATTCGAAAAAGTCTCCTGGGGCCTATCCCGGAGATGCTGATTCAATATTGCATTTTTCATAAGCTTTCTACGTGATTCTGAGGTTACTCAGGCCCCTTGCCCGTTCTGGCTTTGGTGAATTTAAACCTTTATTTCCCAGTGGGTCAGAGAGGTATCGGGAAGAGCCCCACGTTATTCTGTGGGTTTTGGACTCCAGCCTCAGAGGACCCCTTTCATCCCTCTGGTCCTGTTAAGACACACCTGCTTCCTGCTACTGTCTCTGCTGCCTCACAGCCCCTCGAGTGCCTCCTTTGCAGCTGCTCACCTCTGCCTGCCCTAGTGGCTCTATCCAGAGTCCCTCTCTTCCAGGGAGCGTCCCCCACAGGGAGGGCCCCCTCTGACTTCTCTCTCTGTCTGAGCCCCATTTGTACTCACTAATTTTGTACACCTGCCCAACATGAATACATTTGGAATGTGAAAATATTCTGAACTGAGCTGAACTGAGCTGGCATTTCAGGCTTCTTAGGCTATCAGCCAGGGTTACAGCCTGGATGGGAAGACAAGGAGTGAAACCTAACAGCTGGAATGAGGTCTGGGGACTCTCTGGGCTTCTCCGGCCCCAAGGGGGAAGGCTTGTGGGCGATGCCTGGTGACACCAGGTGCTTTCTTCTTCTCAGTCTTTCCAGCTGAGCTCCATTGTAAGTTATATGTGGAGGGATCTAGCCTGTGTTGTTCCAGAAACACACCCCGGTCCCTGGAGACCACTTAGGGAGAATTTCTCAGCTGGATTAGTGCTTCTGGCGGCTCCTCATTAATTATGCCCCTCCACCATAAAACCCAGTGTAAAGACCTCTCCCGGCTAGTAAAGCCTGGCCGTCCAAGATTAATCTGGCCCCTCATTAGCATGTTAGCAAATGAGCAGTGTTAAGCCACCCAGCCATGAAACCAGGGGTACACACTTCGGGTCAGAGAACTTGGAGTTGGTACGAGGCCTGGTTGCCAGACTCGTTCGGCCCAGGGCATCTTGCAAAGCCTGGTCCCTGCCCTGTGACTGCCCCCTCCAGCCCTCTGCTGGGCTTCTCTCTGGGCATCCAAGGTCTATGTTAGGGCTGAAAAGGGAGGCTGGACCCCAAAGTGCTTAACAAAGGTGGGGAATCCATTCTGTGTGTTGGTCTTGCTCCCTCTCTCCCCACCTTGGTCAGGGAGGAAAGATCCTTCAGTGCCTAGCACGGGAAGTGAATCATTGCCTGTCAACATCTATTAAACACTTACTGTTTAAGCATGTTACGTGTATAGTGTATCTCGTTTTATTTTCCCACTGCCCTGAGAGATAGAGAATATTACTGCCCTCCTTTAATCCTCACAGTAACCACACAACCTGGTTAGACTTACAGGTGAGGAGACAGAGGCTTATATGAGTCAAACAACACATCTAAGAGCATGCTGCTAACAGGCAACAGGCTTCAAACTCGCCCTCCTACTGCCTCCGCGTTTGGATTCCAGGGCCCGTGCACGCTCCCCATTCATCCTCTTGCTCTAAGTGAGGCATTCAGGAGATGTGCTGGAGCAAAGATTCATGCGATCCCAGAGCTGGAAGAGGACTCTGGGTGGCTGGAGTGAGGCTCGAGTTGCCTCAGTTTCCCCAAGCCTGGAGCTAAAACAGGGTTTGGGCTGTTTTTTTCCTAGATGTGTGCCTCTGAGGCATATCTCAGGTGTGCCAGCTGGTGGGGGCACACCGAGAGCCCTCCTTACATCCCCAGTGCTTCAGAGAAACAGAATTTCCCACCACCCAGGCCTCTGAGCATTGTTGACTGCTTTTGGCCTCCTCCTTCTGGATGCCAGACCTTTGACCTTTCAGGCATCAGAGAGCCTACCGTGGACCCACTTGGGGAGCTGGCCTGCCCAGCCCCCTTGCAAGGTAACCAATGCAGTTTCCTCAGGCAAGGCAGACGTGCTTTACAGCCTGGACCCGGCCATCTGGCCCAGGTCAGTGAGCCTTCTGGGAAAAACACTGAATAATACCAGCCTACATAGAAATTAATTCCTTAGATCTCAGCTGAGGTCCTCTCTCCAGCCTGCTTAGGAAACATGAGTCCTCACTTCAGCATCCTGGCTTGAATGACACTTCATGCAACCCCTGCCAGGGGCCAGCAGGTAGAAAGGCTTATTTTGGTTAAGCTGAGATCTGCTTCCCTGTGGCTTCCACCTGCTGGTCCAGGTTTACAGCTAACAGGCAGGATGACAAAAACCAATTCTATCAGGGACATATCCTCAATGTACCCCCAGCTATACTAGAGGCAGAATAGAGTAAAAGGTAACTGGGGGAGCTTGTGGAAGCCACTTATGCCCCCTGATGCTCAGTTTCCTGGTCTGTAAAGTGAGAACAATTCCACCTGCCTAAGATTGTGAGGAATGAAACGTATTGAAACACTTGACACAGGGTGCTCGATAAATGTTAGCACCTATTGATACTGCAGTGTGAGCTGGGCAAGTCACTTTTCTCTGAACCTTAGTTTCTTCCTCTATAAAATGGGGCCACTTACTTCACAGAGTTGCTGCAAAGACCAGCTTCCAAGCATGTTCTTTGAAAACCATAAAGATATGAACAATCACATATTTTTAAACTTGTTGGCTCTGCCTTCCAGAGCCACACAGAATAAAACTACCCCCCGCTTCTTTATTCATTCTCTGTTAAATGAACAAATGAACTCGAATTTTAGAAAATGATCTGGGCCAAAGGTCAGTAAATATGTCCTGGGGCCAACCTGGGGTCGGGGAGGCTGGAATATGAGGGCATTCAGGGCAGGGGGAGGATAGTTGGGAGGGGGGAGGTCAGAGCCTCCGGACACTTGGCTGTGGAGCTTGGCCTCAGGGCTGTGGGCTCAGATGCCCTGCGGAATATCAGCTCAGCTTCCCAAGTGCTAATCATGGCTCCTATCTCCCATCTGGTTCTCAGCTATGCTGTGACTGTCCAGGAATCGTATGCACACCCCTTCGATCAGATCTATTACACACGATGCACAGACATCCTCAACTGGTTCAAGTGCACCAGGCACCGGTGAGTACCTCTCTCAGATGATGGGGCAGGGAAAAGGCACTGGGCTCTCAGGGCTTGCCTCTGTGCAAGTTAGAAAAAGGCCGCTGGAGCAGATGTTGTCACGCGCCTCCACTCTGAACACCCAAGATGCTCTGCTGATGGCTTCTTTCTGGCCAAAAGAGCTTGCGGGTAGTACAGGCCAGCAGTGCTGGAGAGTTAATGCTCTTGAGGGCATCCCTCAACCAGGGATGGGGAGATGGGGAGGTGGTGGATAACTACCCCAACTTCCTCACACTTGGGATGGCAGGAACATCTCTTAGCCATGTTCTACATGTATCCTAGAAGTCTCCAGTGATGGAACCCCAGTTGCCGTAGAAGTAACCTGCTCAATAATATACCATAGATTGGCTGCCTTTACTTCCCTGTCTCACTTTTCCATCCTCCTACCGGTACTTCCTAGGATTGCCTCCAAAATAAACTACTTGTTCTTGAATCCTTTTCTTAGGGTCTGCCTTTGGGGGAAAACCCAACCTAAGACAGCCCCCTGCCCTGAGCAGATGTAGCCCCATATCAGGGCATCTGGCTTGAAGAACAGAGTGCAGGCTAGAATTCAGCAACCTCTCGGCACCTTGACCAGGCTTTCCTTAGCAGTGCTCAACATGAACAACTGCACATGGCAGTCTTGTACCCTTGTCTGCAGCCCTCCTGCAGATTATATGTTATCATGTCACTCAGGGAAAGGCAAGAGGAAGGAAGAAACAACATGCTTTAAGGGATGACCCTGGGAAAGACACTTTATTTTGGGATTCCCAGTGTACTCATCAAACTTAATAATCTGGCCAGGCACGGTGGCTCACGCCTGAAATCCCAGCACTTTGGGAGGCCGAGGTGGGCGTATCACAAGGTCAGGAGAACGAGATCATCCTGGCTAACACAGTGAAACCCCGTCTCTACTAAAAATACAAAAAATTAGCCGGGCGTGGTGGTGGGCGCCTGTAGTCCCAGCTACTAGGGAGGCTGAGGCAAGAGAATGGCATGAACTCCGCCATTCAGGTGGAGCTTGCAGTGAGCCGAGATCATGCCACTGCACTCCAGCCTGGGCGACAGAGCGAGACTCTCTCTCAAAAAAACAAAACAAAACAAAACAAAAAAGCCTTAATAAACCTTGTTCTACCTACCCTGCAGTGTCCACGGAGGTCAGGAGTGTGAAAATTACTTTGAAAAATACAGGGGAAAATGGAGGAAAGTGTGAGATATTAGCCACATGTGAAGCGACACTATTTGAAGGGTGAGAGACTAGCTGTTGAAGGGTAAATAAGGTAGTAAGGGAGAGACCCCAGGGTGGGCCCTTTTCCTAGTTGCTGAATATCTGTTGATTCCAGATTTCTCCTTTGCTTTCTCCTATGAGCCCAGTTCCTCTTTGAGGATAATTCAGGAATCATGCTGGGCGGCAACATAGATGAGAAAACTCGTTCTGTGCTGAGAAGCCGAAGTCCTGGTTTTCTTTGAGGTTTTGCTACTAACTGGCTGTGAGACATTGAGCAGAGCTATGCTTGCTGCTTTAAAATCCTTGCCTGCTAATTCCAACATCTGGGTCATCTCAGGGTTGGTCTTCACTGATTGCTTTTTTTTTTCTGCATAGGTAGTTTTTTTTTTTTGACAGAATCGCACTCTGTTGCCCAGGCTGGAGTGCAGTGGCGCGATCTCAGTTCACTGCAATCGCTGGCTTCCTGGTTCAAGCAATTCTCCTGCCTCAGCCTCCTGAGTAAGCTGGGATTACAGGCACCCACCACCACACCCTTCTAATTTTTGTATTTTTAGTAGAGATGGGGTTTCGCCATATTGGCCAGGCTGGTCTCGAACTCCTGACCTCGTGATCTGCTCGCCTCAGCTTCCCAAAGTGCTGGGATTACAGGTGTGAGCCACCACGCCTGGCCAGTGTGTTTCTTTATATGCCTAGTAATCTTGGATTATATTGTGAGCATTATGAATGACATGGGGAGACCGGATTCTATTATGTTCCTCCAGAGAATATTAATTTGTTGTTGTTTGTTTATTTCTTTAGCGGCCTGGTTACTTGGCTAAACACAAATTCCAAACTCTGAAAGTTTAATATTTTTAGCATTAGCTAGGCTGCTTGGAATATGTCCTCCATAAGGATAAATCAGTGGCCAGACGCTTGGGCAGGGATTTTACAAAGATGTTGGGGCTCCCTTTTTGTGACTCTCACCTTTTAAGGTTTCCCCTTTCACCTGCTACCTGCTGGGTCCACCCTGGCCTTGTCCTGTGGTTCTTCAAACGAGCAAGGTTGTGTGTTTTCTATCTGAATTTTAGTTGCCCGGAGTATTGTTGTGCTAACTTGCCCAGGACCATTCCCTTCTCTTAAATGTCCACTTGCCTCCAGTATCAGCCTGCTTTTGTCCTCCCTCAAGTGCCTTCAGGTAGTTGTTTTGTATATTTCCCCCTAGATTTTATAGTTGCTATTTGCAGAAAGGTGGTCCAATAGGAGCAACTCAGCTATTACTGCATCCCCTTCCTCTAGCATTTGACTGTGGAATGAGGAGGTGGGACTAAATGCTCTCTTTCACCCCACCAATTTTGCCAGAGTTGGCTGCTTGCGGCCCTGGTCAAAGACAGAGGCAGAAATAGTAGTGCTGCTCCTCCCAAAGCCCTGGCAGACCCAGTGGGAGAGCCAAGTTTGCTCAGGGGTATGGCCCTTTTGGGTACTTGGAGGCTAGGGCTGCCATCCATCACCACTGAGGTGGTGGCTGCTTATTAAAATAGGCTGTATTCCTAGAACATGAATTATTTTGCTAAATTATTAAGTTGCCTTGCAGCTTTCCTGATGACCTAGAGTGTGCATGCTAACAGCTTGCACCCTCCGTCAGCTTTGGTTTGGAATGGCATGTTTTAACCCAGCATCCTTCCCCTGAGAGCAGCCTGGCACCTGGCCTTGCTTCCCTCTCTTGCTTTCCAAACTGCACAGGGACAAACAAAGATGGGTGAGCTAGAAACAATTGGGTGGCAACTCTTTCCTGAGGGGCGTTAATGATGCCCAGACCACCCCCCATTGCGGGGCTTGGGGATAATCCTGTTTGCTGGGGAGAACAGGCTGGATGACCTCTGAGTCGATTCTGAGTTATTCTTTACCTGAGAGGCTTATACAACCCCTGAAACTGTCGGGAGCTGCCTTCTGTGCTAGGGAAGTAGCTTTACTTTGAGGCCAGCTTTCCTTCCATTATGGGTTTTTGACAAAGTTGAATGACCTTAGCTTACGACATTCCCAAATATCACAGATTTCCCCAGAGTTCTGCACTGTCATTTGTTATGAAGTGAGGGCTTTAAGGTGTGGGAGGGTTGTCCCAGCCTGTATTACAGGACTCTCTTCCCAAGCTGGCCTGGCCCTCCATGGAACGCAGCCTATAGGCGTCTCTGATGACCAGACCCTGCTGCTGTGCTGCTGAGGAAGAGTCCACAGGGCAAGCTCCCCTTGGGTGCTGATGGAAAAGTGGAAAGAGGTCTGGCTTCAAGGCCCAAGGACTTGGGGTTGGGTCCAAGTTCCACTCCATGACCTTGGGCAGGTCACTTCCTCTCTCTAGTCTCTAGTAGCCACTTCAAATCTCTTCCACTTTGACTGTCCGTGTGAAGAAGGGGCTTTGCCTATGAATACCCCATTTTGATTTCCTTCTAAGGACTCAGTATTTCTTTTTACTTACTCCTTCACTGTGGCCGTCTGTAAGGCCAGAATCTACCCTGTGAAACCTGGTAGAGGGCAGTAGGTTAAGCCTAGCAGCTTTGAAATTGGAGTGAGCTAGGTTTGAATCCTGGCTCTGACCCTGATTAGCTGTGCTGGTCACTAACTTCACTAATTTTAGTTTTCTTATTCATAAAACAAAGGGTGGGGAGTTGAGGGGAACATAAAAAAATAGAATAAAAGCTCTAAAAGAGAAAGAAATAAAATAAAGGGGGATAGTAATGGTGCCTGCCCCAGGGAATGGAATGAGATGTTGATCATAGTCCCTCTGGCATGGGGCTAAGCCTTAACACTTGTGTCAGCGTAAGGTCTGGAACCCACATGTCTGACTCCCAGTGCTGCAGCTCCATGGGCCTCAGCTTCTTCCTTTGCAGGGTGAAGGGTCAGTTCAGGGCCTTCCCAGGGATGGCATGCGAGGCTCCTCTCCCGGAGGTGTTATTTTTGGTGTGGGGGAGATTAATCTACTCTCCGGGACTGAGTTGGACTCAAAGGGTCCTTTTGCTGACTCTGCCTCAGTTCTTCAAGTGGGGGGACCAATACTCAGGGGGCTGTGAGCAGTCTGGCTTGTTAGAGGGGTGGGACAGGGCGGGCACAGAAACCCTCAGGGCCTGACTCCTATCCAGGTCACCCCGTGGGCTCTTCAAGCCCAGAATCTGGGTGTTTTAAGGAACTAAGGAGAAGTTCATGGTTGCCCTCCACAATGTCACTCCAGAAAGTATCTTCTGCAGCCCTTCTATTTAGAAGTGACTGGGGAAAAGTCAGCAGGTTTAGTAAGTGCCATGTTAGTAATACATTCTGCATCACAACAGCCCAAATCCCACTATTGATTTTTTTATTGTGTTCCTTCATATTTGAAGTCGCCATGCATTTTAAAGTAATTATTGAATGGCATCCTCAATATAGCTTAACACAAATATCATTCTAAATGGGAGTGATTGATTTTCAATACTTTCAAGTGGCTTTCTCCCTTGTGCCTTAGGATCAGTTATAAGACGGCGTATCGGAGAGGCCTCCGGACCATGTACCGGCGGAGGTCCCAGTGCTGCCCTGGCTACTATGAGAGCGGAGACTTCTGCATACGTATGTAGGGGCTGCTGCTGTTCTGCCCTCAGTGGGGAAGGGAGGAGAGGCAAAAGGAGGGGAGGGGAGGGGAGGTGGGGCTGATATCCACGGCCCCTAGGCAGCAGTCCTCAGCCAGATGGCTCCAGAAGTCCCTGCCTGCTGCCAGTGCTCAGAAGGAATAATGAGTTTGGTGCAAATACAGTAGCAAGGGTTGGGCCATCAGATCAACCTCCTTACAGGGTGGATGGAAGTGCGTGAGTTCAAGGCCTTGATGGGGGATAGGGGAGAAGTGGCTCCTTCTGGAGTGGGCACTCTGAGAAGCAAGGGAGAAGAAGTGCTGGGTGCCTGGCACAGGGTTAAGATGTGCAGGTGCTCAAGACAGCTTTGCTGGATGGAAGGAGAGATGGATGGGTATGTAGATGGACAGTTGGATGGGTGGAAATGGGAAAGGGAGGAAGGAAGGCTGAGTTGTTGGATGTCAAAACCACAGTAAGAAAAGGATGGGGGCAAAGATGAGATGGACCATGAGGAAGTGGTTCCGGGAGCTGGGAGGATTTCCAAAAAGGATTTGGGGGACATTGGAGAAGAGGTGGGTGCATGAAAGACAAACATTGCCTCTTTTCCTATTTGCTTAGAGCAGCTCAGAAAATGCAGGCCTTAGTGTCCCCTAAGAAAGACAAGAGCTGAGTTGCTGGCAGCTGCAGGCCCTCTGGGAGAAGAGCAGTGTGGTGCAGTGGAGGCACCCCGGAGCAGGAGCCTGTAGATCTGGGCTTCCTAGCTATGGGGCTTTCGGCAAGACACTTAATCTCTCTGGGAGGATGATCGTAGGGTCCCTGTTGGGTTCTAAGGGACTCTTTCCCCACTCACCTCTGACCCAGTGACATGGGGCCAGTGGACTTTCCAGTGGGCCTTAGAAGGTTCCCTCTACTGTAGGAGAGTGTCAGAGGAGCTGGGAGGCCCTCGTTTAATGACTGAGAAGAGATTCCACCCCCAAAGCTTCTGCCTCTTCATTTGGAGAGCAATTTTCCTTGTTAGTATTCTCTTTGCCATTCGAGTGGGTAGAGAGAGTTCGCACCAGAGGGAAAATTTGGGCAGAGTGGGTGTGTTGATGTTGGGAATAAAATGACAATTTTCTCCTACTGTTGTTACATCTCCCCCAATGCTGGAGAAACTCAATTCTAATTGCATTACAAGAATGAATGAAAAATGTACCCTCCAATGGGTTCGGTAGTGATGGTTTTGTAGGAAAGATACAAAGCAGTTCACCTAAAAGGCCGTTCCTCAGGGGCAGGGCAGAGGACTGAGCTAGGATGAGGCCTTGGTCAGTACCTCACCTGGGATGGGGTAACTGAGACCCAGGTGTAGATGTGAGATCAGTACTAAGGCTTTCCTGCTGCTGCTCTGTCTGTATGGAGTAGTGCGAAATGAGACCAGGGGTAGGACACGGGACTCACAAAGCCTCAGGGACAGATGTAAGCGGCCCGCGCAAGCTCAGGGCCCAGTGATGGACTCAGGGAAATTATGAAGGGAGTTTGGACGTCAGCGCAGAGATCCAGGAATGGACGAGCACATTTCCTTTCTAATTTCCATTAGTGAACGGTGGCAAAGCTCTTGGAAAATGAAGAGCAGGGCAGAAGTGCTAAGCGTCCTGATTGCACAGGAGGCCCAGTCTTGCTGACTGGCAAGGGCAGTTTATACCTTCCGACTTACTCCTTATGTAACCACTGGGTACTACCTTCTGGCCAGGTGACCCTAGGACGGTCCACCAGGAAATCAAGCTCAAAAAGCCACTTTCAGGATGAAAGACTTCTAGGAGGGGACAGGAGAGTTCTGGCAGGGAGATGGGATGTGTGGCACCCTAGGTGCTGGTAGTAATGACACAGAATCACAGGGGTCTGGGTTTGATCCTTGCTCTGCCACTGCCAGCTTCTTCCTCTTTATCTTCATCATCTTCCCAGCACCTGCCACATGCCAGGCACCATTCTGATCACTTTACATACGCTGATCCATCTACTGCTCCCAACAGCCCTATGAGGAAGGTATCCTTATTTCTCTCATTTGACAGATGGGGAAACTGAGTCATAGAGCTTCTGTAATTTGCCCAAGATCACACATCTGGAAAGTGGCAGAACTTGGATTTGAATCCAGGCTGTCTGGCTCCAGAGTCTCTGCACTTGGATGGCTTGGGCAGGCTGCTTGTCTCTTCACGAACCTAGGCAAGGCTTTACCTCTCTGAACCTCAGTTTTCATTCATGTAAAATGGCAGTAGTAACACCTGCACTCACCAGGCACAGAGTGGGGGTTGAGTAAATGTCAGTTCCCTCCTCCATGGCATTGGTGCTCCACATTGTTTGAGTCCTGGCTTTTAGTTGCTCAAAGAGGCCCATGGACACTGTCCCTGGGAAAATGCATAGTACCTATATAAACATACCAACACACAAAGTCCTTTGCATTGAGTTCATGGGTTCATTGGGTTCATGGATCCCCTGAAACCCTTACAGGGTCCTTGTTGCATGGTAACGTTACCACATGTTCATGTTACCCATGCAGCATGTATTTGTTACTTCTTGCTACGCAAGATGCAGGGGCATAGATACAGATGATGGATAGTTGCTGCCTTCAAGGAGTTTCCAGCCTAGTCAAAGGAGGGGACTTAGAGTATGCTACAGGGTGTACTAGAAAGGTGTTTCAAGCCAGTATTTATTAAGCACCTACTATGGCCCACCCACAGTGCTGTGCTACGAGATAGAAGAGAAGAGTTAGAAATACAAATAGCCCCTGCCCTTGTGGAATCTACTTTCATGACGGGAAGGCGGGACTAACACTCAGTAAAATCATTCCATAACAGCCCAGAGACTGGATGTGAAAAAGGCTAGACAGAGACAGTCAAGCGCGGCAGGAGAGAATGCTGCCACCTGCTTCACGGGGCCTTGAGCTCCACCTTGAGGGTTGCAATGACGCCGTCAGGGGTGGGTGGGAGAGGGAACCCCATCAGCAAAGGCATGGAGGTGGGCGGTGAGGAGGCTGGCCAGACCCCAGAGGGCAGACCTGGGCTGCAGCGGGAGGTGCAGGTGGCTGGGTTGGGTGTGTCAATTGTCTAGGGTGGCTATTACAAAGTACCACAGGCTGGGCGGCTTCACCGGCAGCGGTTTATCGTCTCACAGTTCTGGGGCTCAGAAGTCTGAGATCCAGGTGTTGGCAGGGCTGCTTCCTTCCGGGGCTGGGCGAAGGGTCTGTTCCAGCCTCTCTCCTTGCTTCTGGTAGTTTCCTGGCTGCAACGGCAGGACTCTGATCGTCACATGGTGTTCTTCCCGTGGCTTCACATTTCCTTGTTATGAGCACACACGTCATAGTGGATTAGAGCTCACTCTAATGACCTCATTTTAACTTGATTACCTTTTAAGACCCTATCTCCAAATAAGGGCGTGTCTCAGGTGCTGCGGCTTGAGACTTTAACATAGGAAATCTGAAGAGGCTGGTGTCAGCTGTTTAAGACCCTTGATTGCCTTTTAAGACCCTATCTCCAAATAAGGGCGTGTCTCAGGTGCTGCAGCTTGAGACTTTAACATAGGAAATCTGAAGAGGCTGGTGTCAGCTGTTACCAGCATCCTCCTGTTCTTGTTTATTGTGATGGGAGGAAAGGGAGGGGGCACCAACTGGCCCCACATGGGCTTTGGCACTTGCCCATGAGAGAATGGAGACCCCAGGGTGAGGGAGCTTGTGAGAGGGAGAAATGGTAGTGAGAGGGTGAAGAATGATGCCAGGGCACTGGGGGACAGATGGGAGACTTGTGAGCCTGGGAGCATTCAGGGGCTGGTGCCTGCAGCCCTGCCCTGCGACTTGTCTCTCCAGATCGCTCAGAGGCCAGAGAACCTCCAACTTCACCAGAACCTGGTGAGAACCCATCGGATGCCAAGAGTTCTCTGGATCCTGCACAAGAACATCACCTGTGCCCTGGGCAGGGCGGGAGGATGTCATCTTCCCTTCAGAGTCACCTTCTGGGAGCCTTGTTTCTTGCAGGCTGACAAGGAGCAGGCCCGGGCGTGAAAGCCTTGGCTGACTCAGCCACCAACTTGCTCTGCAATCTTGGGCCAGTCCTTTGCCTCTGTGGAGCAGCGGTGACATAGGACGGACCATCCCTGTGTGTGGAAGGAGGAAGAGATGGAACAGGGACCCAGAGTGTCCTGGAAAACACAGAGCTCAATACAGATGCAGGGGGGCACTGTTTTTCTCCTCTCTGTACAATTTCGTCTGCCTTTGAACTGCCATTCTCATCTGGGAGCCCTCCTGAAACCATCCGTACCAGAGGTTCCCACCCACCCCTGCCCAACTCATACCTCTTTCCGCTTCCATTATCTACAGCTACAGCGGAGTCCTGGCCCACTTTGGTCACCAGGTATGAAATATTTCCTAGAGATCACTGGGCAGAAGTGCCTGCCTGCCTTCCTCCCTCCCTCCAAGCTTCCCTTTCTTCCTTCTTTCAGGACAGAGGCATTTTTGCCTCTGCAGATGGAGCTAGTTTTATGTCTTGCAGAAGCAGACTTTCACATATGTAGTAGAGTTTGAGGCATTTTGGGAAGCTCTGTTCTTTGAAAATATTAGTCTTGTATCAAACCAGATGATACAGGACTGAGTTATGAGCATACTGAGTTTTGCTGCGGTAACAGACAACGTCCAAATCCCAGTGGCTTGAAACAGTGAAGTTTAATTTCTTCTTCATATTAGGTGTCCGCCGTGGGCTAGCTAAGGCCTGCTCCTTGTCAGCCTCACCCCAGGTCCTAGGCTGATGGAGCAGCAACTCTCTGGAATGTTGCTAGTTGCTGTGGCAGAGAGAAGAGGGCTCTAATTAGTCTTGAAGGCAGAGAGGATCAGAAACATTTAGTGAGCAGTATTAGTTGCTATCACAAGTCCCACACAGATGGCCACGGTGCTCACAAACCACAACTCATTCGAATGTATCTTTGGTAAGCACTTAATAACAATATGAGACAGGTTCTGTGTGCTTGACTCCAGCGGTTCTCAAACGTGAGCTGCCGAACCAGAATCACCTGGGGGACTTGTTATACCACAGACTGCTGGGCCCCAGTCCCAGAGTCTCTGATTCAGAAGATTTGAGGTGGGGCCCAAGAATTTGCATTTCTAACAAGTTCCCAGGTGATCCTGATGGATGGGAACTACACTTGAGAACCACTAGGCAACGGTTTCTTTTTCTTTTTTTTTTTTGAGACAGAGTTTCGCTCTGTCGCCCAGGCTGGAGTGCAGTGGTGCAATCTCGGCTCACTGCAAGCTCCGCCTCCCGGGTTCACACCATTCTCCTGCCTCAACCTCCAGAATAGCTGGGACTACAGGCGCCCGACACCGCACCTGGCTAATTTTTTGTATTTTTAGTAGAGACGGGGTTTCACTGTGGTCTCGATCTCCTGACCTCGTGATCCACCCGCCTCGGCCTCCCAAAGTGCTGGGATTACAGGCGTGAGCCAAGGGTTTCTTTACTGACTCAGTTTGCGAATCTGTTACAAAGAGGCCCAGCAGGTGCATCCCCTAAGTACTCAGGGCTTCTGCTGCGGGCGGCAGCAGGGAGAAAGCATGCCTCACTGCAGCGGGCAAGGAGGGGGAGTCTATCTGCCCAATTCCCCGTCTCCTGTTTCCTTTTGGTCGACATAGTTTCCCCCCGGCAAATGAACTCCCTCAAGCTTCCAGGTGAAATCTTCTGGCCCTTTCAGTGGTGGCTTGGAATGCCAGAGGCCACCCTCTGCAGTATGGTTTTCAGGAAATCCAGAAGTGGAGGGATCCACCAGAAACTCCAGGCACGTATGCAGCTGATGGGCCCGGCTGGCTTGGGGAGCATAGGTTGTCCCCAGGGAAAGGGACTGTGCCAACCCTAGGAGGTGGTCTGCACATGGTGTCCGAGGGAGCCAGCAGCTGAGGGTCTGGGAGACTGGCCTCACGGGTGGACTCTGGTTGAGGGGAGAGGATTCTGGTGGGGGGTTGGGCAGGG
The DNA here is from genome assembly GCF_000001405.40 of Homo sapiens. Classification (NCBI taxonomy): domain Eukaryota; kingdom Metazoa; phylum Chordata; class Mammalia; order Primates; family Hominidae; genus Homo; species Homo sapiens. Next base: position 217,060 of record NW_003315944.2, on the reverse strand, counting down.
GGTCAGGCAGTGTAAGATTTAATTCAGTAAATTCGACACGTCAACTCTATGCCAAATTATGTACTCCTGTTTCATTATTGCTGTTGCTTTGCACAATTATTGTTTAAATTTAAATCGAATTCCTATGTTTCCTAATTCCTTTGCTCATCATCTCTTGCATCACTCTCCTAGGTTCAGCCTCATTCTTCTTGAAAGTTCTTTAGTTCTTTCAGGGAAGGTCTATGAGTTACCAATGCTCCTATGCTTTATTTGTCTTATGCTTTGATTTTGCCTTTGCTCTTGAATGATAGTTAAGCTGCCTGTGACATTCTAGGCTTTCAGTCATTTTCTTCCAACAGTTTGAGAAGTGGTGTTCCATTGTGTTCTGGACTTTGTCTTGCACTGCCTGCCCTGCAGTTTCCCTAGGATGTGTCTGGGTGTGGAGTTTCTGGGGGTTTTTATTTGTTTGTTTTATACTCTTTGCTTCTCAGAGGTATATATCATCTTTGAGCTAAGGATTCATGTCCTTCATCAATTCTGGAAAATTGCCAACCACACCTCTTCAAAAATCTCCTTTCTTCCATTCTCTTAATTTCTCCTGTTGGAGCTCCAATATGTTGGATCCTCGTATTCCATCTTCTGTCTCTCCTAAGTTCTCATTTTCAGTCTCTTTATCTCTCCATGCTGCACCTTGGACATTTTCCTTAGATCCATTTATTAGATGCTGTGGTTCTGCTAATTAACCTGTCTGGTGTGGTCTTAATTTCAGTTTCTTTTTTCATTTCTAGGAGTGCCATTGGTTCTTTTTCGGATATGTTGTGCTTTTTCTGTCGTGTCCTATTCTTTCATTATGAATTCCATTCCTTCTTTTATTGCTTTAATTATTTTAAACATATTTCTTTTATAGTCTCTTTCAGATAGTTTTATCTCGAGCGATTAGTTCTATTAGCTCAAGTTCCTAGAGTATCAATTCTCCTGTTCATGGAGCCTGCTGATTCTCCATTATGGCAGATTGTTTCCTTGTACAGGTTGTACTTTTTTTTTTTTTTTTAACTATTAGCCCTTTCTTCCCTCCCTTATGCCCCAAATTGTTCAGCGGCCCTACACATTAGTTTTACATTTTCTTGTCGGGCACTCTAATGGTTTCCCCCGGTTCAAGATCACCCTTTACTTTGGTAGCCTGATTTGGGATTTTATGCTGTGTTTGGTAAAGGCTTGGGGTGTTTTTTCTCTTAATTGATGTGAATTTCACATACCATAAAATCATTTTAAAGTGTGCAATTCAGTGGCATTTAGTATATTCACGATGTGCAAATATCACCTCTATCTAATCACCCCTAAAGGAGACCCCATACCCATTCAGCAGTCACTGCCTGTTCCCCTATCCTGGCTTTTTGTTTCTTGTGGGAGACTTTTTTTCTCCATCCAGAATACCTTGTTTATCTCTAGGTTGGTGGGTAGCATGTTCAAATCCCCCCTACATGGAGCTGGCGACTTCCAAGGCCAAGTCTGCCCTTGAGTGGGTATGAAGTCCCTGGCTCCCAGCCTGCGCTGGGGGTGGGGGGTGGTGGCTGTAGCCAGGTCTAATGTTCCCTGAGCTACCTTGGCTTCAGCATCTCACATTCTGCTCTCCTATAAACTCCCCCTTTCCCCAACACTTAGAAATTTACCCTGCTCTCCTTAGAGCTCAGCTATGCATTTAAACATATTTTTACTGTATTTTGGGAGCACTTTTGTAGCATGAGGAGCTGCATTAGCACTTTCTCCATATCACTGGAACTGACTCTGTTTTACAGAGAGAAGTGGAATGGGGGCTTTATAACCAACCCCTGTGACATTTAATTCAATGCCTTCTTGGAGCGATTGCTAACTTTCGACCATAATAATGACAATTGTGTAATGTCTGGTGGTTTAGCCGGCGCTTTCACCTGCAGTATATCATCTGCTCAGTAGACTGGAGAAGTGAGCATTATTGTTACTGCCCTTTTACAGGACAGAAAACTGAAGCTCAGAGAGGCTAAGTGACTTGTCCACATGGATAAGTGGCAGGCCCAGATTTCAGATGAGTGCGACTTTAAATCCTGTACTTTCCCCTCCTACAGTGGGTTTTCTCTGAGTAGGAGAAACCTGTGGCCAGAAGAGAGAAGTGGGGTCAGTCAAGAGGGCAGGGGAGGAGGTTTGGAGGGGGAGGAGGGGACTGAAGCTATACTGGTTTGAGCTCAAATTTTTGCTAAGGTGTGGGTCCTAACAGGTGCCAGGATCAAGGTGCCAAGAGGGCATGGGGGGTGGAGGAAAGGGCATATGTGTAAGCAGCATGGTGGGGCCTGTCTGAAACTCAGCCTCTCCCTAGCTGCTAGGTAAAAACTCCCTGCTAAACCTCTAAGAGGCTCCCCAAGGAGTCTTGCCTGCTGCCATCACCAGAAACAGTGTTGACACCACTCTCTTGGGTCACCAACACCTGGTGCTGAGCTTTGCTGCCTAGAAGAACAACATCCATCCATCACCATTTATTATTATTAGATATCTATGCCTTGCAGGTACTACTAGGTCCTGGGGATGCAGAGATGAATAAGAAGCACATGGTCTAGCGGGAGAGATGCCATCACAGAAGGATAAGCACAGTTTAAATAGGGAGGCAAGGAAGGCATAGCTGCCCGTCCACCCCCGACAGAGCCCCACTGAGAGGTCAAAGTTAATGCAGCCACCGTGGTCTGGTCCCCAGTCCGTGGGCTTAGAACATTGATTTAGAATGTTCAGAGTAGCTGAGACCCAGGTGATGATTCACACTGACCAAACTCATAAATACGGATGCTTAACCCTGATACCAATTAATTCATTTGCAATGAGAAATGTAACTACCAAGGATTTGTCCTTGTCCACTTGTTAGTGCTTGTCAGGCCCTCAATAAATAATTGTTGAAAGAGTGAATTCATGGTCTGGGCACCCACAATGCCTGGTGGTCTGTCTGGATTCCCCCTTCTGTTAATGCCTATGTTGGATTCCTCCTGTTCCACCCTGGAACTCCGCCTGTTTGGGAGCCACACGGTGGTTGGTACAAGTACTCTGTACCCACCATCCTGTCTCTCCCTTGGCCCTGCCACCCCGGGGCCCCTCTGCACCCTTGTCCTGCTGGTTGTGAAGCTGCTGTGCCTGTCCATCTCTCTCACTCAGAAGTGAGTTCCTGAGGCAGAGGGATCAAGTCTCTGCGAGGCTTTCCCCAGGGCCAGGCACGGTGTCCAGCCCTGAGTACTGATAAACCACTGAATTTAGTGAGTGAGTGAAATAGACTCATACCACAAATACTGAGAGACCTCTTAGGGAGAGGCAACTAGCTTTATCTAGGGATGGAAGGAATGGGGGTCAAGGAGGACCCCTTCAGGGAGGTGAGTTTTGAGCTGAGTCTGAAAGATGAGTAGGAATTCACCAGGAGAACAAGAGATGGGCAGTGGGTAAGATGGAGCTTCAGACCTCAGCCGGCCGGAGAGTGACTCCACTCACTTCCTCTGCTAGCTGTGTGCCCCCGAGCACGTTGTTTTGCCTCTCCATACCTCGGCTTTCTCATCTGTAAAACAGAGTCCCATTGGGTAACTACCTCTTCGGGCTGTTGTGAAGATTCAATGAGTTGCTACAAATAAAGCATTTAGTAGAGGGCCTGGCATGTGAAGAGCTCAGTAAAACTTAGCTATTGTTCTTGGTTTACTTTTGTGAGGGAGGGCCTCGTCTGGCAGAGGGGCAGCATGAGCAAAGGCGAGACGTGGGAGACAGCAGAGGGGTCAGGACACTGCCCGGACAATCTCATGAGGTCAACAAGGGGTTTAAGTAGCAAGCGATGCCGTGAGGTGGTATCAGGGAGTGGTTGCTCTGGGGGCAGCAGCATGGACCACCAGTGAAGGTGGTGAAAGGCAAGTTATGGGGGGTGTGCAGGGATGGGTGAGCCATGGATGGCTGTGTTCAAGGACTTGGTCAAGGGGATGAAGACCTGGGGTCTGGCGGCTGGGTTTTGCTGGCCAAGCTCTAGCTTTCTCTGGCAGGACTTTCCTCCACCCTCAGTGAGCGCCAGCAGGGCCCCTCGTGCTGATACAGCCGTGGGAGGATTGAGGCATCGCTTCTTAATCACCAGCTGTGGATGTAATTAAGCCTCTGCCATCTGCACCGGGCGGCCTCTGAAGGGAAGCCTTTGGTTGTGTCAGAAGCAGTCAGGCATTTATGTAAGCTCTCTTCCTGGGTTTTCCTGGGCCAGCTGAAGCCCATGAAGTGGCTACCCTGTGCCCAGTCTAAGCGCCAGTTTCTCTACGGGAACTTGCCAATGGCCCCCTTTTGATCTTCTGAATTCATACCTTGGATGTCTGGTCCTTGTTGGGCGTTAGCTGCTTGATGCTGCAAGCCCCACATAGCCTGGCCCCAGCTGACTCTGTGCCTCCCACGCTGGCCTCCTGGCTCCTCCTGTACACAGGAAGCCTTGGCAGTTCCTGTTCCCTCTGCCCGGAATGCTCTTCCCCAGATAGCCACACGGCACCAGATGGCCCGTCCCTCATTTCACTCAAATACTGTGTTTCAGAGAGGCTTCCCTGACCGCCCCGTCTGCAATGGCGGCCTCCTCCCTGACATCTTTCTATACCCTCTTAGCCTGTTTTGTTTTGTTTTGTTTTTTTCTTTGCACTATCACTACCTGGCATAGAATATACATTTTTAAAATTTCTGTCTCCTCAATGGAACTATACACTCAACACAGATCACTGTAGAGTCTACAGTGGGTCATGATGTGCCAGGCACATAGTAGGGGCTCAGAAAATAGCCTTGGAAAATTGGAGGCACCTTCAATCCACTCTATTCCTGCCTTGCCCCACTGCTGTGGTTTCTGGCATTTTCTTCCTCTCCGTCCAGGGCTGCCCACTCCAGGTGCGTTCCGCAGGGTCCTTCACATGACACTCGTGATTCTCTGTCTTGCTCCTCAACGTCCCGTTACCTCACTGCTGAGCCTCTGCATCCCACCCAGCTGCCTGAGTTCTCCACATTCTCTCATTCCCTGGGGCTTCGTGCAGGCTGCCCTCGCCTCCTTGAACCCCCATCCTGCTCTTGCAGTTTTTGCATACTGGTCCTTGAAAACTCAGTGTGGAGCCTAACATTCTCTGGGAGCCCCACTCGACACCTCCCTACCCAGCCCCGGCCCTGTCTTGATTGCAGCCCCTTTCACTCCAGGTCCCATTGTCAATGTGTTTATTGTTTCTCTCACTGGCCATGAGCTCCTGAGGGCCCAGAATGTGGGACCCCTCTGTATCTGTAGGGCCCAGTGCTGGAACGTGCAGGCTGGTTGATGACAAGGATGAGTGGGCTGGCTTTTCCAGGGGACACTCAAGGGATACCCAAAGGAGTAGTCTCTGGGCAGGGCCTGAGAGTCCAGAGTGGAGGGTGGCCTGCTTCAGACAGGTCCCTGGTCTGAGGGCTGCTCCTCTCCTCTTTTATCCTCCCCTCCAGGACCTCAGGTTCCCAAAGCTTCTCCCAGAATTCTGGTATCTGTACCCATGTCCCATGTGTGTGAAGAGTCTGGGAACCCTGCTCTGGGGCTCTGTGGGGACTGAGCTTACTGTCGCAGAACCCAGGAGGCCACCTCTGAGTTAGAAGCTGAGCTTCCAGGACGTAGGGCAGCAGTGACTGGAGGGACGTGGGAGGGACGGAGCTCCTCATGCAGTGCCTCCTGGTTTGCTGAGCGCCTTCCTCCCTCCTGGCCACTAATGGGCTTTTGTGGACAATGGGCATGCCGGTCCCCAAATCTCCTCTAATGCTTGCTCTTCAGTGAGGGCTGCTGAGTGGCCCCAGTGAGGGTGACAATGCAAGCTCAGAGCCTCCCACTGCCTCCCAGTAGCTACTTCAATGTCTTTGGAGACCTGTCTTTCAAGAGCCTTGCTCAGCTGTCCATCAAGTAGGCGGGGTGGGGACTGGCTGGGGAGCTGGACACTCCTTACGCTGTGCTGACCTGACAGTGGCCAAGCCCAGTGGAGAGCCTAGGAGCAGGGTCCCTCGTTGCAGGCACACATCCCACCATCCCCTCCCTGTCTATACCTGGGGGGGGGGGGTAGGAATATAAACATTGAACTACAGGCTTGGCACCCCTATCACGAAGTTAGAATGGAATAGGTCCTGGAGGTCCCCTGTGTGGCTAGCTGTTAACCCTGTAGTTGCTGGATGATAGGAAGGTGGGGGTCTTGGAAGGGTAAGCAACCATTTACCAATGAGAAGAGGAATATTTTAATATTTTACCATTCAGTGTCTTTTACCCTAGTCTTAGTTGAACTGGAATCCCTCATTTGACGCTGCAGATGTGATATGTCTGGACCTCTGAGGAAGGGGCATATCTGCTCTGATGTCTGGCTGTGTGTCCACGTGGTGCATATGGGATTGTGAGTCTGCATGTGTGGAGGCTGCTCCCAATCCACGTGAGGGATGTCTGTGCAGGCGTGTTATACCAGCTGATATCAAGGTTAACAGCATAGACCCTAGAGCCAGACTGCTGCCTACTGCCTGTGTGACTCTGGGCAAATTACTTAGCTTCTCTGTGCCTCAGTTTACTCACCTGTAAACAAGGGTAGCAATAGTACCTTCCTTGTGGCCTCATTGGGAAGATTAAGTAAGTGACGGTATGTAAAGAGCTCAGAATGGTGCCAGGCATGTGGAAGGTGCTATGGAAGTGATGGCGTTTATTATTGCATACACACATGTATATTGAGAGCTGGGTTTTGCTGTGTGTAAAATGCTCCCCCTACACATGTGTGCACCCGTATGTTCTGCATGTATTACTTGCTGTATGTGTATATTACATGTCTGTCCATGAAAAAGCCCCCAGTAACCTATGTACCAAGTGCATAACTGCACGCTGGCATGTTCGAAGAGGCTGTGCCTTCACTTCTCCCTAGACTCTCCTGAGAGTCACCTTCCCCATCATTGTTTCCCATCTCCTTTCTCCTTTCCCTTTTTAAGCAGCAGTGGTGCTGAATTGTCACCAAGGGAGCCAGAATCGCTTCTTTGCTCCTGATGGGGTGGGGAAGGGGAGCCAAATGACACCATCAATCTCATTCCCACAATGGACGCAGACCTGGAACCAAGGGCAGAAGCCAGGGAGGCCTCCTCCCTCCCCTGGCCAGAGAACTGCCCCTCTGGTTGCCTTTACCCTGCATTGGCTGGAAAGAGAGGAAAACTCCCAAATCTGGGAGCCAGAGTGGCGGCAACTGAAAGGCAGCCCCTAGCCCTTTGGTGTGGCCAGGTGCAGGGACTATAGCCTTGGCCTCTGTTGATCCACAGGGCTTCATCCACCAAACAAACTGCGGAGGCCTGATAGGAAATCAACAGCAAGTGTGATTTAGAGGACTCTGTTTGCTCAGCTAAACTTTTGGCAAGGTAAATGCATAAGCTGCAGAAATTCTCTCTGAAACAGCCGCAGGGCTCAAACACCCTTCAGTCCTCCATAAAGGATTCTCAAAATTATATGGACTAGATTAGTATCTCTATTACATAAAACCATTTCAGTGCCTGCTCAGGGCTTTGAGAATAAAGTCACCAGACAGACCTTTTGTTGCCCTGCCCCGCCAGCACATAGTAATTGAAGATTTCCCTTTAAAAGTGTGTCAGGTAGAAAGAGCTCCTAATTTACTAAGTGGAGGGGCCTTTGTTAGGGAGACCAATGCTTTGTTCTGCCTGTCCCTTTTAATCTTCTTGCACAATGGACTTATATAAAGCACTACTAGAGGATTAATGCTGGGGAGGGGACCATGGCAGGGCCCGGCCTTGCAGAAGGGAGGCCAGGCAGGGCCTCCTTCTCCCTTTTCTGTCTCTCTCTTCCTCCTCCTCTTGCTTTTTCCTTTCCTTTATTTGGGCCTCCTCCTTCTATCTGGACCCTAGAATCAAGGAGCAGGTGCAAGCACTAGGACCAGCCCTGTGGCTTTGTAGGAGTGGCCGCCCTTGTTTTTCCTAATCAGAGCACATGCTTCTCCTTTGCTCCCCGTTTTTTAATTGCATCTCTGCATGGAAACTCCTGAGGCAAGATCCAGGTTTGGGGCTACATTCTCTGTGGGTTGCCAGATTTGAATCTAGTTGAGGTCTTCAGCCCCAAAGTCAAATGCCATCTGGTCCCTGATGGGACAGTTTTGGTTGGAGGGGTTTCTGCAGTACCCGGGCACTAAGCAGCATTTGTTGTCTGAGATGCCTCCCCAACTCTGGCTTCTGGCTCCAATGAAGAGGAGGAGGAGGAGGCCACTGAACCCAAGTTGAGAGGACTCGCGTTTTGCCTCTAGCAGGGAGCCACCCGCTTCAGACTTGAAACCCCCATGATGCTGTTAGATGTGCGCCCTGACCTGGCTTTCAGAGATGGAATTCACCTGCTCGGCCATCATCTTGCTGTGTGAATGGATGCAGGATTCCACCTCCCTTGGGTCTTAGCTTCTTATCTGTAACGTAAGAAGACCTATCAGCTCTGAATTTCTATGAAATGAGTTCAAATTGTGGTGACTGTAGAGCAGAGGTTTTTCTCATTTTGAAGCCAATGGGCAAAGTTAATGAGACCCAAGACCAAAGGAAAAGTTTAAAATGGAAAAATGCAATTGCCATTCTTAATGAATTAGAGAAAGAACTTAAGAGAGGCAAAGTGATTAGAAAAGAATCATGAAACATCCTTGGAAATGCCATTTGGCTTGTTTCTAGATGGTGTACGTACATAGTTTCATGGTAACTATGGTAAGAGGGTAAGAGGTTCCTAAGCTTTCCCAGGGCAGGGCCATTTCTTCCTAGACTGCATCCCCAAACAGGCTGTCACAGGCCTTCACAGTTTCTTCTAAAGACTTAACTGCTTGGCTGGGGTGGGCAGAGGGGAAAGGTGAGCTAACAGTGACCAGACTGTGAAAGCTGTAACTCCAGACAAGATAGCGAAGCTTGTTGGGACCCATCAGCCCCATGTGGAGCACATTCTAGATGAAGACCTTCCTGGAGGACATTTGCCTTCACAAAGGGAGGGAGGGACAAAGGAGGGGCTCCCATTTTTGGTGTCAGGGCTTCACACATGTTATCTAATTTTATCCTTACAGTGACTTTGCAGTAATGCATTTCACTCTCTACATGTGTACAGCTGAGACTCAGAGGAGTGAAATCACCTGCCGAAGGACCCACAGCTAGGAAGCAGTGGAGCTGGGTTTCCAGGGCACTGATGCAGAAAAAGCTGCGGCTGTGAAATCCACCAGGACCTTAAGTTTAAAAGAATGGGCCCCTACGTCTGGCTGGGGGTCTGTGCTGTAAAGTGTCTAAGCTCTAGCTTAGGCTTAAGGACCATGGGTTGCAGCCCTGCCTTGCACTTTAACTAGCTAAAGACTACGATGTGCTGTTCTACTTTCTGAGTTTCCCTTTCCTCATCTACAAAATAGGAGTAGCAGCCCCTGTGCCACAAGAGAATATGATGGGGCTTTGTCCTCACCAGCCCCTGACCACCCCCACCTTGACCGGCTGGCAGTAGAAATAACAATATTCTACTCCTCTTCCTCATGTTCCTCCTTTGCCTTCTCCTCTCCCATCCTCCTCTTACTCTTTCCCTCTTCCTCCTCCTCCACTGTCATCAACATAGCTAACACTTACATAGCACAAACTATACGCTAGGCCTCATTACTAACTCATTTAATCCTCACAATCCTATGAAGTAGGTACTATTAACATTCTCAGACAATTCTCTGTGTCTCAGAAAATGGAGACACAGAGAGGTTATGTAACTTGCCCAAGGTCACACAGGAATGAAGCACTAGAACTGGGGAGTCAAACCCAGGCATCTGGTGTCATTTTCACGCTCATAATAACCATTCCGTTATAGCCAGTAGCCTGCAGACTTAGCTGCTCCAAGGCTGCACTGGAAGCTTCTGTGTCTGGCATCTCTGGAGGTTGAGGAGGGACAGATTTTAGCTGATGGGATATGGCTGCAGCTGCCGGTCTGACCCCCACTGTGTGCGGTCACCTCATCCCCTATCCAGCCATCTGTCCCACTCAGTTCCTATTCTAGTTCTCATTTGCTGCTGGGATGGAACTTGGTCTGGGGAACCCTATTGTTAATTCCCTCTGTGCCTCAGTTTCCTCATTTGTGTAAAGGGGATAATAACAGTGCTTTCCACTTGTGAAAAGGCTTGGGAAGATTAGGTGAATAAATTCATGTAAGGTGCTTGGAACAGTGTGTGGCACACAGTAAGTGCTGAGTGTCAGCTCTTATTATCCAGTACAGCATGATAACGCAGAGAAAGCTGTACCGCTAGGCCAAGGGCCAAAGGAAACAAGTTTTCAGTTCTGGGAAGGAACCCTGGGTGTATAAGCATAGAGTTGGGAGGTGGACAAGACCCCTCCCTGTCTACCTAAAGAAAATGTTTAGGCTGGGTGTGGTGGCTCATGCCTGTAATTCTAGCATTTTGGAAGGCTGAGGTAGGAGGATCGCTTGAGGCCAGGAGTTTGAGGCCAGCTTAGGCAACTTGGGATCTGATATGAGAAAGACCCTGTTTCTACAAAAAAAACTTTTTTAATTAGCTAATTGTGGTGGTGCATGCCTATAGTTCCAGCTATTTGGGAGGCTGAGGCAGGAGGATTGCTTGAGCCCAGGAGTTGGAGGTTACAGTGAGCTGTGATGGCTGCTCCAGCCTGGGCGACAGAGTGAGACCCTGTCTCAAAGAAAAAAAAAAAAAAGAAAATGTTTAAAATGGTTAGAGAGAACAGCAAATAAATATTGCCAAGCTTCTAGTCTTCATCATGGAAATGAGGTGCAGGAACTCAGCTTGATGAATGGAGAAGCCTAGTCATGGCTCTGCTTGCTCTAGGACACGCACAGATCGTACCACTTCCACCTAGACAGCAAAGATGGAAATTTTAGATCTGCATCATCAAGGTCCTGGGGGTCAGCCTACAGGTGTCCCAGAGAGAAACAATTATTCAGAACCGCAGAGAGGGGTCCGAAGGGCCAGCCTACCTGTGACAAGAACGGTCTCTGGCAGCCGGTGTTCTTGAATTTCCGCTGAGGAGGTCAGTATGGTTCTAAAGCCCAGGTCTTAGCGATTAATAACCTTACAGCTCAAATGGTGAAATATATGTGTGAGATTTGTCTGTCTCCATGTGTCTGGAATGAAGCAAGCCTCTGTCAGAGGGTAAATAGCATTTTTCTCAAGGTCACTTCCAGCCCAGCATTCTGGGGCTTGTCTGGGTGTGGTGAGGGCTAGCCCTGCTGCAAGCAGAGAAACGGCTAGCTGACTTTCTGGGCATCTTCCTTTTCTGAATCTGTGATGGTAGACATTACCCCTGAGTAGGAAGCAAAGCCGGCATGCCTTGCCCACCAGCTTCCTGTATTTACCTTAATGGAGTTTTAAAACACAGCTTCTGACATGTGTACAAACCATGCATGGTACAATGTGGACGCCTCTGTTGGAGGTCTTCATTACCTGCTAAGAACAAGAGATGGTTCTAAGATCTGCGCAGTTGCTCATGGCAAGTGGTTTATTTCCCAGAGCAGAGTACGGAGCAAAGGGAGCCATATGGCCCAGCGGTGGAACAGCTGTCTCTTGAGAAGGAACAATTTGGGAACTTCCACCATCTGGGTGAATTACGAGACTTGCAATTTTCATGCATATGTTGCAACAACTTACCAGCACAGCGGTCAAGTGGGTCAATGATGGAGAGATGAAATGTCCCCGTGCTCTGAGTGCTGGCCCACTGCATGGCTATCCATCCTCAGAAACCCTGACTCGGCAGCCACCTCTTGAGCCTGTCTGCCCTGGGCAGGGCCTGCCTCTGAGGTCACATGGGCAGATGACCTGCCAGCTCCCTGAGGATCCCCACTGCCTTTGCCTGACAGGTGGGCCTTCCACTTCCTCCAGAAAATATACATGTCATTCCTTTAGCTGCAGCCTCCATTTGCCTCTGGCAGGGCTGGGAAAATCTAGTTGAAGAGTGCTTAGTGGTTTGGGGCTGTTATATTTTCTCTGCTCTATGATCCGTGTTAGGTTAAAAGGGCCAGAGCCACTTTTCCTTCCCACAGAAGATAACTCAACCTGGACAGGCTTCCTCTGGGAGAATTAAAGGTGATGAGGGACTTCTGTTGGTTGGAACCGTTAATATCCTTTTCCCCAAATGGTCCTCTCCCTTCCCTGCCTCCCCAGCTGGTTGGAATGATGGGTATATTCCAGTGTGTCTTCATCCCAGTGATAAAACTTTTCCTGTGGTTATTGGTGGCCTCCCAGAGCAAGTGCTGCATATCCAGGGGCACAGAGAGGAGAGTCACGTAGTGGGGTCCATGGAGCGCCAGGCCCCACAAGGGGTGCTCTTCCTCCAGTCCCTTTTTTTTTTTTTTTTTTGAGACAGAATCTCGTTCTGTCACCCAGGCTGGAGTGTAATGGCACGATCTCGGCTCACTGCAGTCTCTGCCTCCCAGGTTCAAGCGATTCTCCTGCCTCAGCCTCCTGAGTAGCTAGGATTACAGGCACGTGTCATCATGCCCAGCTAGTTTTTGTATTTTTAGTAGAGATGGGGTTTCACCATATTGGCCAGGCTGGTCTCCAACCTCTGACCTCAGGTGACCTGCCCGCCTCGGGCTCCCAAAGTGCTGGGATTGCAGGCATCAGCCACTGTGCCCAGCCTTTTCTTCCTCCATTCTTACAGAAGTGCTTCGCAGTGGGGCCTGTTATTCCTAGTTCAGATAGGAGGAAGCAGAAGCACAGAGAAGTCAGGTGACTAGCCAGAGGTCACTGAGCTGGGAACCCGAAGAGATAGGATTCAAGCTTAGGTCTGCTTGACTCCAAAGCCAAGCCTCTTTCCTAGAAACTGTGCCAGACCTGGAAGGAGGCAGATATCTGAATGAAGTGTTAGCAGAGGGTATGCTTTTGAGGAAAAAGGCATTGTACAAATTGCTATGTCTCAGGACCTCTCAATATCTCTCCCACTGACAAGCCAGAGATTTTCCCATTAGGGAGATGCCACTGGGTGATTTCCTGGTCTCCAGAAGGCTCCTGCTAAAATGTAGTTTTGTTCCCCGGGGAGGTGACATTTCTCTCCATGCTCCTTCGGATGGAGAGAGATTGACACAGATAGATGAAGGGTACTGGTGCCCTTCCACCTTTAAAACTTGATCTGAGCTGGGCGTGGTGGCTCAAGCCTATAATCCCAGCACTTCAGGAGGCCAAGGCAGGCGGATCACCTGAGGTCAGGAGATCAAGACCAGCCTGGCCAACATGGCAAAACACTGTCTCTATTAAAAATTACAAAAATTAGCCGGTGTGTGTGGTGGCAGGGTGCCTGTAATCCCAGCTACTCAGGAGGCTGAGACAGGAGAATTGCTTGAACCCAGGAGGTGGAGGTTGTAGTGAGCCGAGATCATGCCACTGCACTCCAGCCTGGGTGACAGAGTGAGACTCCAGCTCAAAGAAACAAAAACAAAACAAAACAAAAAACGATCTGAAGCCAACTGTGTCCCCCGTTCCAATCACCCCACACCTTCTGTTACCAGGACATCCCAACTAGAGTCTTCACAATCCAGACATCACAGCCGATCTGAGCAGGTTGGCCTTGGGTGGATTGCCCAAGCCCAGCACCAGGGTGTCCCAGGAGGGAGGAGTGCAGCCTGTGGCTCCAGCCTTGCCCCTTGCTCCCTGGCTTGTGGGGATGAGGCACAGCCTAAAGGCCACTGTCTCCCCCACCAGAAGAAACCAAGGTCTCTCCAGAAGCCCAGAGGAAACTCAGGGTGCCCCTGCTAGTCACCTGCTGGGCTCTGTGTGGCATTATGTCATGTCACCTGTTCACCCCCTGTGCCTCCTTGGTGAAGTTGTCCTGAAGGTCCCCAAGGCAGGGTTTGAGTCTGAATGTCTCTATGTCCTTGTGGGGCTAACAAGAGTTAGTAGGGTTTGTTGACCATTTCAGTGTCTACCAGGAAGGGGCTTTGGGGAAATCAAAATAGCACCTCCCCAGAAAGGCAGGGAGCCTTGCTCATTAACCTCTGGCAGCAGAAAGGCTGATTCAGTCTTTGGGTGTCACTTTCTTTTGGTTCCCCTCCCTAGAGACGGCCCTGGGCACAAGCTAGTGGATCCAAGCCCATTGAGCCTTTTGTGCTGGTGTCGTGTGACGATGGCCCCTGGCCACTAAAGCCGAGCTGGCTGGAGATCAGAATCACTTTCCTGCTTGACTTCCCCTCTGCCACCCCCGCTTGCTGCTGCTTCATGAATTTCTCTTTTCTTTGGGTGGAGACCATTTGAGAGTCCTCTTATTGGACCCACTGAGAGGGAAGGCTGGGAGGCAGCTACATCAATGACCTTCAGAGGCAGCTGGGAATTGGCATCCAGTTCCCAGGCAGCCACCTCCCTCTTCTCCTTTGTCTCTGGGCCCAGCTGAGCCCCTTCCAGCTGCACCTTGTTCTCTCTGCACAAGGACTCCCATGTGCGGGGGGAAGGTAGGGGCACCTGGGAGATGGCTCTCAGGGAGACAGCTGCCTCAGCACCTCAGGCTAGACTTGGGGATGTGTGAGTGAGATTGTGCCCAGATGGAGGAGGAAAGGAAAGATGTCCCAAGGGGACGGTGAGCATTGGGGTGGATTTATGGGTGGAGGTTCCGTTTTCTGACCCCAAGCAAAGTCACTGGGAGAACAAAGGCCAGAAGTCGAATGGAGTAGCTGAGGCTCAAAGCTGAGTCCTGAGACTTTCTGATCCATAACCCCAGGCTTCATGTCCATGGGACCGGGCTGCAAATCAGGAGACATGGGGGTGAATCCTGGTCCTTCTCTGCACCCAGACCAGAGAATCACACATTCTCAGAGTTAGGTGGGGCCCTGCAGGTCTCTGAACCTGGGCACAGCTCTTCGGATGCTAATTTCTACCCCAGCCTCTGGGCTACCATTTCCACTCTTGGATGTAAACGGGCCTCACAGGTTATGCAACGTGGAGGCCCTGCTGCTGTCACTGCCACAGAGATGCTTGTCCAGGCTCAGTTTGATTACCTTGGTTGACAGGGAACTCACTGTCTCCTAAGGGAGCCCATGTGGGTTTGGACTGTTCTTAGTAAAAGAAAGGTATTTATTTTGGTCCCAGAAATGATTTCTCTCTTTCACATAGTAACTTTTCAGATGTTTAGAAACCTGTCTCCCTTCTCCCTGCCCCCACCCCAACCAATGTTTTCTTTTCCAGGGCAGGCATCATTTGTTGATTTCACAATGGATTTTCAAGCACCTCTTTCTTATGTGCCAGGCTGTTGGCTAGGTGCTGACAAGACAGAAATTTATAAAACAGACATGACCCTTCACTCAGGGAGCTCACAGCCCAGCAAGTCATTATTCCCAGGCTCTCCCTCTTAAATGTAAAAAGGGCTGCAGGTCTGGCTTGATCAGGGCAGAAGGTGACAGCCCCACTTTGTTCTCCATACTTCAGTTAATGTCTGTGTGAAGCTGGGCTAATCACTTCCCTTCCCTGGGCATCATCCCAAGGATAACAGCACTTCCCTACTACCTAACAAAGGTAAAGTGTGGGATCTAACAGGAGTCAGATTTTTACTTTGTTACACACAAGTATGAGATATTACTTGCATTTAATCCCAAGGAGGCAGAGAGACTGGAAAAGAAAGGTGTTTATTTTGGTGGTGTCCCTATGACAGTAATTACTGCATCCTTTCAGACGAGAGGGTCATCCATCCTCAGCAAACCCACTCAAATGGCTAAATAACATCTTCACTTATTTTTTATCTGGGCAGTAAGTATTGAGTGCTTACTGTGCGCTGAGCTCATTGTTGGGCTGAGAGGTGGATGCTGGGGGTGAATAAAAGAGATGAGGTGTCTGTCTCCATGATACCGACAGCCTAGTGAGAGAGGCTGTTAACAGCCATCCTCAAATAAATTGAGGACATTTTCAATGGATGGCATGGAGGAAAAGAACATGGGGTGCTGAGAGCTAATACACCAGGGAGACCTCCTTTAGATGGGAAGCTGGGGGGATCAGGGAAGGATTATGGAGCTGAGACCTGAAGGATTCAGAAGTAAAGCCTGGGGATGGGGAGGGAACTCCTGGCAGGGGAAATTGAATGGGTGAAGACCTTGAGAAGGAAAAGAGTTTTTTGCTCCTAAGCAACTAGAAGATGCTGGTGGCCAGAGGGCTGGAGGAGGAGGTGGCAGGGATGGAATGGAAGAAGTGGGCACAGCCAGATCCCCTGGGGGCTCCAACTAGAGTAAGAACCTGTGGCTGCAGCATCACCAGCTGGACTGGAGCCAAAGCAGGCAGGAGCCTGGAGCAGGGGCTCAGGGATGTGCAGGCACCATTGTGGCTGCAGATACCAACACTTGGCCCTGGGACTGCCAGGCCATCGGGCTGTGTCCTGGTGGCTGTTGCACTTTGTGTTCACTCCCTTGGGGCTCACACCCTTGCCTTGTGGGAATAGGACTCGTGCTTTGGGGTGGTGCTTCACTGACTCCTGACTCCCTCTCTAGATGTGACTTTCCCAGAGCTAAGACCGTGGCACATTCTGGTACCCATGCCTTGCACAGTGCCTGGCTAAAGCGGGCTTTGCTGTACTGGCTTCTGGCTGTGACACTGCCTTTATGTGACCTTGGGCAACTCACCTTCATCCTCTGAGCTGCTTAGGATTCTCATCTGTTCATGTCTGACAAATCATCCCGACTCTTGGACTGCAAGTGGGGATGGGAGCAGAAAAGCAAGTGAGATCATGGGAAAGAGGGGGCTTTGTGAAATGTGAAGTGTGGGCAGGTAGAAGGTTGCCCTGGTGCCTGAGCCATGCCCTCGGGTTATCTTCCACCCTTTCTCCTCTCTTTGCCAAGGCCAGAGTCGCCTTTTCCCATGGTGCCTGTCAGCTGCTTGTTCTCACACACGTGGGGAAACGTCTTATCCAGCAGTGGGTGAGTTGCCCTAGTAACTAGCTGGTTGCCTAGCTCTAAGTGCTGGAGTTGGAATTTGAACACAGGAACCCCAGCTCTAGAGTCCACAGTCTAGCCACTCGACTCTCCTACCACACTCTGTATTCTCTGCAAAGCACTTGCACACATACATGTCATGCTATCTGCGGCACAGGAAAGCTTCATCACTCTCATTTTCCAGATGAGAAAATTGGAGCTCTGAGAAGTGAAGTTCACCTGGGTCACACCGCCTGATCTCCCGACTCCGGGTTGGATGATTTTGCCATCTGGTAGGCCCTAGTTCTGGCCCTGGAAGAATGTGGTGCGTTGGCCTTGGGGTGTGTTTGCACGTGGTGTGTAGAGAGCCGTGGAAGCACGCGGGCTGCAGCCCTGACTGCTGGCGTCCGAGGATTTGTCAGACTCCATGGCAACCCACACGCTGCCACTGTGGGCCTGATATTGTTTTTGTTGCTTTGGTAAAATGTTTTGTTGAGTGTGTGGCATTCATGCCCTCTGTAGGTGCTCTGGGGCAGGGGTGGAAGAAGCAACATTAGTTATGTGTTTAAGGGCTGAATTCCTTGTCACCTTTCCTCTACTGTTCTGCCCCCAGGAAAAAAATAAGTGTCCCGCCTCTCAGGCTTTCTAGTTTCTAGACATGTGTGTTCTCAGGCACCAGAGAAGCCAGCAGCACTGTGGGCTTGCTCATCTCGGGCAGGGTATGAAGTCCAGGCTCCCCGGCCCCCATCCCACCATTGTTCCCTATTGCAGGGCCTGGCGGGGGTTAAGGTTCTTAGTGACCAGTAAGGGTCCACCAGCCACTATGCAATGCCAGGTTCTGGGCTGTGCCTGTGGACTGGGAGGAACAGCAGAGAGGGGTCTCTGCCCTTCAGTGGCTGATAGCCCAGGCCAGTAGATGAGTCCCCCACATGCCAGGAGGCAATTAATCATGCCAGCTGCTCTAGGAGTCAGGCCCAGAGTATGCTACAGGTAATGAGAGAGGCTATGCCAAGTGCCAGGGGCATGGAGCCAGGAGCTCTGGGCTCTGGACCAGATCTGGCATGGATGACCTTGGTCAAGTCTTTTATGTCTTTGAACCTCACTGTTCTCATCTCTAAAGTGGAGACAATAACACAGCTGTCTTGCCTACTTCTTAGAGGAGTTGGGAAAGCAAATTAAATGATAAACATAAGTGTGCTTTAGAAATTAAAAAGCACCAGATGAATAGCAACTATTATATGCTCTGAAAATTCAGAGGTAGAAATCTGTTTTGTCTTTATTTCCTCCCTCCCTCCCTTCCTTCCTCTCCCTCTCTGTCCCTCCCTCCTTTTCTTCCTTCCTTCCTTCCATCCCTTTTCTTCTTCCTTTCTGCAAATACCTGCCAAGTGTCTTCCCCATGTAACTGTGCTAGGTGATAGGTCAAGGTTGGGGGAAGAGAGTGAGGCACAAATAAAGAAGGCCTTGTTTCCCCCTTTAAGGAATTTGAGACTAGTTAGGAGCCAGATGTCACCAGAACTATGATACAAAGGAGGGTGGCAGCTGCATGACCAGCTGTGGTACTGGGCAGGATGTGTTGAGAGCAGGGGCGTGGGCTGCACCTGGAAGAAAGGTGGGAACATGGATGGGCAGCAGTAGGGAGGATAGCCTGCCATTCCAGAAGGGAATTTTCTCCACTGTGGGTGGAGAGATGAAGGGGTCCGGGGACCCAAAGGTGCTCGTGGTGTTGGCACCTTGCTCTCTGCTGGGCTGCAGTGGCTTCTCAAGAGCTGATGCTGGGCCAGTCGGGGGGCCCATCAGCTCCCTTCCCTGCATCCTTCTGACTCTCATCTCCCCTGGGGGGCTCTACTTGAGATGACAGGGCCAGCTGGCACATCCTGCAGCCTCTGCCCCCATCTCTTTCTCCCTCCCTTTGCCCCAATCCCCCAAAGGGCCAGAGTGAGTAGACTTGGATGAAGAACCATCACTGATAGGAAGAAAGGAAGGGAGGGAGGAAGAGAGGAGAGGAGAAAAGGAAGAAGGGAGGGAGGAGGGGGCCAGCTTTGTGGCTTCTGTGCCTGGCCCTGGCCCTGGCCCAGGGGAGGTGCTTAGAGCAGGGCTGTGAATTAAGAAGAAAGGGGAGAAAGGGAAAGTGAAAGAGGAAACAAGAGTAGTGGAAGAGAAGGGAAAAAATGGGAAAAGGAAGGGAGAAGGCGTCTTGCAAGATTAGGTTGATGAAAGTTGGAGTAAGGGAAAACAGGGATCTTATTTGAAGAAATCGATATTGCTCTGAGTGTGCTACAGGAGTAAACACCATCTTGGGGCTCTGTGCAATTATGCTTTATGGGGGCTCTCCGTGTTGTGCTGAGACCAGCAGCTGCTGGGACCTTGCTGCAGCTGCCACCGCCCCTGCTCTGCCAGCCTCAAGGGACCTGCTGTTGTCCTGAGCTGGGCTAAGCAAGGTGTGACAGAGGCCAGGTCATTGCTGGGGAGGTGACACCTCAGGCTCCAACTCAGCAGCAGAACTGACCTTCTGGAAGTGGCCAAGGTTTGGCCCCTTGATCGGAACAAACCTTCCTGATCAATCCCGACTCCCCTTCCGTCAGGGCTCTGCCTTAGTAACAGTTATGCTCACTTGAGACTAATAAGTTTATGGATGCTAGCATGTTTCTTCTCCCAGAGGATGCTTTTCTGTGTTAGCAGAGGCCTTCAGGAAAACGTGCCTTATTTTTTGTAGTTTTAATGGTATTTATTTTCTGCACAGGTAACACATTCTCCTGGCTCAAACTTTAACAGTTATAAAAGGCAGTGCAGTATAAACTTTCTTCCAGACCGCCCTTCCTGGAGGAAATCCATGAGACCAGTTTTGGAGCATCTTTCTGGAGATACTTTATGCATAGATAAGGAAATATACACATATATTCTTCCCCTATACTTCAACATTCTTACACAGATGGTAACATATTCTAAATTCTGCTCTGTACTTTTTTTCACTTTAGCTCTAGTATTGTACACTTTTCAGTACCCGAAGAGCTTTCTGATTCCTTTTTGTGGCTGCATACTATTCCATTGTGTGGCTGTACCATGATTTACCCTTTCCCTTGAGTATGGAAAGCTAGGTTATTTCTAGGCTTTTGCTATTGTAAACAGTCCTGCAGTAAATGACCTTACACATTTGTCATTCTCTCAAGTTCAGATATATTGAGGTGGTGCTTCTTCCCAAAGACACAGAGTCAGACCCCTGGGTGAAACGCTCAGGAGAGAACAGAGCACCTGCCCATCCTCACCTCAACTAATTCATGAAAGCACGAACTCCCTGGAACTGCAAGGGAAGTCAGGGGCCCCCAGGGTAGGCAAAGCTGTTTCTCTGTATAGCTGCAGGGCCGGATGAGGGATAGAGAGTGGGAAGGGGGTGATGGGCAGGGACATCCTGCAGGGTGAGCCAGGGAGGGACAGGATGGAATGTCTGCTCCCTTTACCCTAAGTCTCACGGGCTAAGAGGATGACATGTCCTTTGCCTTGGTGACCCTAATTTGACCACTGGAGTTCAGAGGAGAGAGCCGATCAGGGTTCTGTTTCCACAACCTCAATCTGCGCAATGAAGTGCTTCATGCCACTGCACTTGGGGGTTTCCTCCTCTGCTAGGAAGCCTTCCCTGCTCACCCAGCCTGTGGGCCAGCATCGCTTCTGTATCCACCTGCCCCACAGGCTTGGGTTTGCTGGAGAGGCTGCGTGTGAGAGTTGGGGGGAGTGCGGGCTTTGGGGCTGCACAGTCCTGGGTTTGAATCCTGGCTTAGAAGCAGTGTAATAGGTGATTTTAAAAATAAAGTTATTTAAAAATAAGGGGAAAGCATTAAATGTTCAAGTAGAGTTATTGGACATGTAAGGAAACTCTTTGGGCTTGACCCTGGGCGTAGTTTGGATTGGGGGGAATGGAAATCAACTTCTCGAAGCTCTGGTTAGGGGAGAACTGAACATTCTCAGCTCAAAGAATGTGAGGCTGCAAAAGGACTCTGGGAGTTTGTCTCCTCCTGCCCCCTCCTGCACTGTTCTGGCCAACAGTGTGACCCGTCCACATGAGGAGTTAGCCACAGAGCTGGGGCATGGACAGGCGAAGGACTGTAGACTCTCAGGCCAGGGGTGTTAAAGAGTCTTTTCAAAGAAGAAGTGCGAGTTCCTGGGGAGGCAGGGAATTTGTAAACACAACTCAGTGAGAAACAAATACAGCCGACATCATGAAAAGGATGTGGTTTTGATAAGGACCAATTCATAAAAGCACAAACTCCCTGAGATTGCAGGGAAGTTAGGGGGCCTGCAGGCTGGGCAAAGGCGCTGGGAGGGAAGGTGGGGGCAGGATGGGAGGGGTGACTGACAGTGGCCTCTCACATCCGCTTTGTGTTAGGTTTATTAAAGTGATAAATCAGTGGTGCTAAGTAGCTCCTGATTTAGCTTCTCACTGGAATAAGATTTAAAATCAGTGGGACCACAGGCTGCTCAGTGCTGGGGATGCGGCAGTGACAGCTTTCCTAAACAGGGTGGGCTTCGTGGAGCAGGATGGTGGCAGCAGCCTTGCTGCAGTCCCCAGGACAAAAGGCTAACTTTGAAGGGAGAACACTTCTTCACAGGTGGGCACTGTCCCTGCCACATCCTGCTTAGAAGCCATGGGTTCCTGTCACTCTATCTCTAACTTCTATCAGATCCTAATAGAGAAAAATCCCCTGAAGGCTTTTCACATGGAATCAAAATAAAATGTGTCTGGGGAGCAGGAAAGGGCAGACTTGCTGCCAATACGTGGAAGTTCAAGGAGGCAGATTTCAGCTCAGTGAAGCGAAGAGCTTGTAATAATCAGAGCTGCTTATAATTGAAAGGGGCTTCATTGATTCGCCCATTGACACATTCAGCAAATGATTATTAAGCTTCTGCTCTGTGCCGCTACCGAGCTGGGTGCTGAGGAGATGATGGTAAGAGAAACAGCATCCCCTTTTCAGAGGCTCCTGAGCCAGTGTTGAAGACAATCAAACAAAAACAGTGACATGTGACCCTATGATGGGATAGGGGAGACGTTAGGGGAGCACGAGTCAGGAACGTCTAACCTATGGAGGGTAGCCAGGGACAGCTTCCTAAAGTAGGGAACATTGAAAGTGACACCTGAGAGAGAGTTAGCCAGGTGAGGAGGCGGGAAGAGGGGTGGGATGGGGGATGGGGAGAACAGCATGTACAAAGGCCCAGGAGTTGGAGAGAGCCATTTTCACTTGAGGACACGAATGCAATGGAGTTAGGCAGGAACAGAATGCCTGTGTTTGCTGTTAGCAGAAGCATCTCGGGAGAGGTTTGACATGAGATGAGGGAGAGGGTCTGCAAGCACTGGATGAGGTGGTGGAAGCAGGGACTGTGTTATTACTTGGCCTCTTCTGTCCCTAGATGCTTGGTTTTGAGTCTGCTGAAGTCCCTGAGTTCAGCATGCTTGAGTCTCACAAGTGTGCTGCCTTCTCCAAAGCCAATGATGACAGGAAGAGTTGGGATTTCTGGGGCCCTTGCTGGGAGCCCACTCTGCCAGACACTTCACAGCTGTTATCTTATTTCTCCCTCACTATCATCTATTTGGGTAATGTGATTAGTCCAACTTTATAGATGGAGAACACAAGGCTTTGTGATGTTAGGTAACTTTAATTGACTCAAGGTCACATAGCTGGCTCAGTAGAACTGGGACTCAAACCCAGGTCTGTCCAACCTGAATCCCAGGTGCCTAACTACTTCCCTCTGCCTGGAGCCTCCCTGATGGAGGGCAGGCGGTGGGCACCATCCGTCCTTCTGTCCATCCTCCCAGTGCCATCTCCTTCGGGACTCTGTCATATGTCTCCTTGAGAAGAGGCAGCTCCTTTGGGCAAGGCAAGTTGCAAGGCAGAAGCAGGGGATGAGTTTTTAAATCAGAGCATTAAAAAAATGCTTGACAAGCCTCATGTTTTGCTTTCCTCGTAGGTGGTAAGGATCAATTCCCCAAAGAAAAAAATCAATCAGTTGGAATGTGTCTTTCTGGAGAAAGCCTGGCATCTGTCAAATGGGGAAAAAAAGACCCAGAAAAAGATTTTCTTGGGTGGTGTGCGGGGGGTTGCTGACTCAGGCCGTATGCTCCAATATCATTAACAAGTTGAAAAGCTGTTGCTCCTTGCAGGGATACAGCATTGGTGGTTCGAACAGCTCGGCCGAGAAAATCCTTTGCAAAGCAAGGAAGGCTGGGGTACCAGGAGCCGGCCACGAGCAGATCTGGGGCCCGAAGCATCGATTAAGGGAATTGACTGCAATGCTGGAGCTTTTATCAGGCCCAGTGGCTGGATGTGATTGCTTTATGTGGAAACCCAATGGGAATGTTCTGACAAGTTGACAATTTTAATTGATAAACAATTATTAACAGTTAAGCCATGTTGAGGTGAGGCAGGCTAATACCCTGGGGCGATTAGTAGCGTTGCAAGGGAGGTCCTCAGGGGATTTTGTAATCTGACACTGGCATTTGATGACAGAGGGCCCCCAGGGCTTCAGACTGGGGAGGCCAGAGCCTAGGCTTTGATGCAGAGTCACTGGAATTTTTCTAAAGAGCATTTTGCCATCTAGGGATTTGGGGCTCAGCATTGCCCTGGTCTTATAGCTTAATTATGTATTCACCTTCAGCCAGATGGGCATGGCTCAAGTTAGTACAATTAGAGCCCTGATGAGAGGAGAGGGAGCCTCTGCAGATTCAGATACTCATTTGTTCAGGATGTATTAATATTTATTGAACACCTGCCATGTGCCGGGCATCATGCTAGGTGCTGGGACATAGCCCATTCTTTGCCTTCATGGAGGTATGGAAGACAGACAAGTAGTAGAGAGAAGTCAGTGCTGTGGCCTATGGGGCAAACCAGATACTGTGGGAGCAGTGAGAGGACCTCATCCAGCCTGTGGGGAGGGGGTGGGCAGTGCAGTCAGGGGAAGCTTCCTGGAGGAAGTGACATCCAAGTTTATGTGAAATGTACACAAGTAAGTGGTGGGAGAGCTGGAGATGCAGGTTGTAGATGGAGTTCCAGGCTGTTTGAAGGCCCAGTGTGGGGAGGGCAGGGGCTCATTCACAACCTGAAGTTCCAGTGCCAAAGATGAGAGGGCAGCCGTCCGGAGCGGCAGGCTGGAGAAGTGAGGGCCTGATGAAGGAGGCTGAAGGAGTCACACAGACAAGTGTCACTTTCTCTGTGAAGCTCTTCCTATGTCTTCCCCTGTCCCTGACATGTGGAAGAAGTGTCTACTCTCTCAGGGCCCATCCTGCACTCTGAACTGGCTATGATTTCAGCACCAGTAATGTTCCAGTGCCCTTGCTCGCTGGATCACCCACTCACTGGCTCACTCACCCGCCTGCTCACCCGCTCACCCACCCACCCACGTGCCCATCCACCCACCACCCACTCACTGGCTCACTCACCCGCCTGTTCACCCACTCACTCACTGGCTCACACGCTTGCTCACCTACCTACCCACTCACTCACCCACCCACCCACACGCTCGCTCACTCACCCACTCACCCACCCACCCACCCACCCATCCAGTGGCTCACTCACTCATTCAGGTGCCGTCTCCCTTTCCTGCCATCAGGTTGTTGGTACCACGAAAGAAGGAACTGTGACTTATTTGCTTATGGTATTCCCAGCACAGCATCTGGCACATAGTAGGTGCTTAATAAATGCTTTGGGAGTGAGTGACTGCTCAGAGGAATGAATGACTTTGAAAAACATAGTGAGGTTCCCATGTGCCAGGCATTGTTCTCAGCAGTTTACAAGTGTTAATGATTTAGTCTTGCAATGAATGTGTGAGGTAAGGGACCATTGTCCATGTTTCACAGGTGAAAAAAACTGAGGGAGGTTAAATAACTTGCCTGAGTAACCCACGGCTTGCAACCGGGAAGTAGCAGAATCCAAGCCTGAGTCCCGACAGCCTGGCTCCCGGTCTGTTCTCTGACCTTACACCCTGGCCTGTGGGAATTGAAGTGCGGCCCTTGTCCCTCTTTGGACAGCTCTCTATGGGGTGCCGGAGAGAGAGAATTCTCCCTGCGGCACTCCAGGCCCCTGCTCTTTAGGGGAAGGGTCAGGAGCAGGTAGGGGGAGGATTCACCGCCCAGAAGACCAGGAGGCAGGGCAAGGCCTGGCCCTCTCTGTATTTTGGACTCCTCTATCTAACCCCTGCCCACAGAGCCCAGCCCACAGGAGGTGCCCGGTAAACACTGGTAGAGTGAATGCACATGTACATGGTACTGCATGAATGGGCAGAGCGTGCGCGGGGGCAGGGGGACCTTGGGGTACAAGCTCACATTTCCCCCCCAAAGCGCAACCACTGGGGCTTCATGAGACAAAGCGCCTGAAGGTGGGACTGGGGCCTCCTTTCATTCCACGCTCCTCTTCTCTGAGGACCAGACACGGAAAGGGCTATGCCCAGTGCTGCCCTGGTAGATGATCATTCACCAGTGAGTTGACTCTGGACTGTGTCTCCTTCCCCACTCCCAGTCCCAGCCCTTCTAGTTTTACCAGGGCTCCTTCCTCCCCACCCGCTCCCTGCCTAACGCAGGCCATTCTATCATCCTCTGAGCTGGAAATGAGCCTGAGCATGCTCAGGGGCCATGGTACCCCAGCTCCCCAGCCCAGTCCTGGGAAGAGGAATATTAATAACAACAGCAACATTTTAAAAAGAAAGCAACAGTTATAACTAACCCCTGGTACTTGGTGCTTTGCATGAGTTAACTCATTTACTCTGTGCAATAACCAAGTCAACAGCCATTCTACAGAAGGGGAAACAGGACCAGAGAGGTTGCTCAAGGACATGCAGCTAATGAGTGGCAGAGCAGGGACCTTGGCTTTTAATGCATTGCTGCCTTGGAATACAAATCAGCAAGGGCACCACCAAATTAAAGGAGAGTGGCAGGCTGGGCGGTGGCTCACACCTATAATCCCGGCACTTTGGGAGGCTGAGGTGGGCAGATCGCTTGAGGTCAGGAGTTCGAGACCAGCCTGGCCAACATGGTGAAACCCCGTCTCTACTAAAAATACAAAAAGATTAGCCGGGCTTGGTGGCGCGTGCCTGTAA
Source organism: Homo sapiens (assembly GCF_000001405.40). Lineage (NCBI taxonomy): Eukaryota > Metazoa > Chordata > Mammalia > Primates > Hominidae > Homo > Homo sapiens. The sequence goes on along the minus strand of NW_003315944.2, from coordinate 191,130 downwards.
TCCCAGCTACTCGGGAGGCTGAGGCAGGAGAATCACTTGAACCTGGGAGGCAGAGGTTGCAGTGAGCCGAGATTGCACCAGAGCAAGACTCCATATCAAAAAAAAAAAAAAAAAAAAAGAAAAAGGAGGGGTGGGAGGGATGGGGAGTGGCTCTTGGCCAGGTTGGGTGGGAGTCACACCCTGCAGGCCCCAGTCCTGCAACCCAGGAGAGTGTTTGGCCGTTAATGTCCTTCTACCTTATCAGCCTTGCTGGGGAAGTGCTGCTTGTTAAAACAATAATTGTCTCTTCATATATGGAAGCCCAATGTGGCCACAGCAATTAAAAGCCAACTCTAGGTGGGCTGAGGAAAGGACCAGCCATTTTTATTCTTCCTGGCTATGGAGGGGACTGAGGGCTGGGAACTGTAAAGAATGAGTGGTACACATCTGATGAAGTGTTTTAGAATTCCCCTTGGTGACTCCCTGAGCCCCACTACAGACACAGACACACACTAATACGTACACACATGCCGTGTGACCTTGGGCATGGCAGAATCACTCATGCTAAGCATGTCACCTCAGAATTGGCACTTGGGTCCACGTGGATGTAGGTCATTTTATTTCCAAGCTGAATCCAATGACAGCCTGATCTGAGACCTCTTGCCAAGAATGCTAATGGCAGACTGATCAATGTGCCTTGGAGCACTGGGGAGACTGGGTTCGGGGGTGGCTCTGGAGATGATATGCTGGAGGATTCTGGGAGGCTACCACCCTTTCCCTGACCTCCCAGCCTTCTTGGATCTTAGCTGAATGTCAGGCTAGTTGGCCAGGGGGCGTGGAAGTTGTCTTTATTTATCCTGACCCTTTCATGTAAGTAATTTTTATAGTTCCATTAACTAGTAAGACCATTTGCAAACTTCCAGGCAAAATATATGACCACAGGCACCTCAGGGACTTGTGGGTCATCTTGGGTGGAGGCCCAATAGAAGGGAGAATTGATTCAGAGGGCTTCCATGAGCTGGGGACAGCAGATGGGGCCACCTTTGGTTAGGGAAGGGCCAGTGTTATCTGAGCAGCTTGATTGCAGAGGAGACCCCAAGTCTGACGCACACACACCTTTGCTTGGTGCCAAGATCGCTGTCCTGGGTCCCGGCCTGCTTATGCAAGCTCACCTGCTGCCCCAGAACTGATGCCCTGGCCTTCCATCTGTACCTCTGAACACGTTTGTTCCCGGGCCAAGCTCTATCCTGCATTTGTGGAACAAATTCCTCTCAAACTTAGCTTGAATCAGTCAGCCAAAGAAGTTGGCAGTTGCTATCATGGAGGCTTTTACTCCCAGAGCTGGAGGGAACATTTAGATCCTGTCATCCAACCCTTTCATTTCACAGACAGACAAACAGACCCTGAGGAGGGAGGGAGATGAGCTAAGTTCTCACAGCAAGTCAGTGACAGATCTGCTGCTGGATCTTACTCATCTTACCCTGTGCGAGCAGGCTTTTGGCATCACACGTGTGGGTGCAAACCTCGGCTTGGCTCCTGGACCAGTTAGAGTCCCAACCAAGAAACAGATGGCATTTTTTTTTTTTTTTTTTTGTAGTTTTTTGAGATGGAGTCTCGCTAGAAGGCTTCTAGCACACTGGGAGGTCAGAAGCAGGACTGAAGCAGGGTGGTGAGAGTGCAGTTCATATTTCTTGGTGGGGCCAGGAGAGGGTGAGTGGCTGGCCCCATCACACGGCTGGTGCTGTCAGAGCCCAACCAGCTGCCCTGTCCACGACAGCAGATGGATGTGCAGCAGTGTGAAGAGGGACTTGACAAAACACTCTGTTTAGAGTTGTAAGTTTCCAAGAAGGAGGCCAGGGTGGCAGCACCCTAACCCAACCCCTCCCAGGCAGTCACTGGCATGGGGGTCTGTGGTCTGAAAGAGCTTAGGGCACCCACACGCTCTAGGAGCAGCAGCTGAGTAACCCCAGGCCTCTGGAGATGGGCTGCCAGCTGCTGGCATAGGAGTCAGCCGCCCCAGCGCCAGGGATGGCCACCTCCATCCTCCCTAGGAGACTCTCCCCGCAGCACCCCCAGCCCCTCCCCACCAGGTGTCCAAACACGCGGTGGCCCAATTGCCAAATACGGCAGCCTGAGCCTCGGGTATTTGCTATCAATATTTCATGCTTCAAACAACACTTACGAAATATGAATGGATTGAGGTTTTGACAAGCAAATAGTGCAGGCAAAATACCAGGACGATGAGGAAAGGAGGGAGATGCACCTGCATCCCTGGGGTCAAGCTAAGGGACTGTGGGATGACCGTCCTCCATGAGTAGCACAGAAACTGACCCCGAAGCTGCTGCCTTAGCAGAGTCCTTACCAGGGTCTAGGGGCTGGATACAGGACTGAGCTGAGGTCTGTGTCTGCAGTGTGGGGGGCGGTGTTCTGCAGACTGTCCTGCTGGTCTCTGGGGCTTTGGGAAGTGACCAAGGGAAAAGGCAGTGCAGTGTGGAGCTTGCTCAGAGCACCGGAAGGCTGTTCCCCCACAGCTTGGAGAAGGCACAGGTGGTAGGCAGATGGCCTGGGTCTCTAGGATCGGGAGCAGGGGGCAGGCTGGTCATTGGGTGGTCTTCCTTCTCAAATTACCTGCCCTCCACCCTATCCCTAACCTGTGTGGTGCTGAGCATGTTGAAGCAGCTCCTCCACCCTCTGTCTCTGGTCACCACTGACCTTCTTGTGGGCCTGTCACAGCACCCCTCTGCTGTTCCCTCTGGAACGGCCCCACCGCCAGCCCCTGAGCCATGTGGGCGGGGGAGGCTATCCAGCCTGGGCAAAATGTGAAGTCCCCACAGCCTTGGGCTCTCTCCACCTTCAGAGGCCTCTAGCTCCAGGAGCCACCCCAAGCTCCTTCCTCCCTGTCTGAGAGGCCACACACTGCCCAAGGGGCCATGAACGCTCAGGCCTCAGCTTCTCCAGGTATAAAACAATGGGCCAGGACATGATTTTCTCTTAAGTCTCTTCGAGCCCTGACACTCGGCAGGTTGCAAGTCACTGCTTGATTTCACCGCCCTCGGCAGAGACCCCAGGGATCAAGGTCCTGCTCTCTGCAGTCAGAAAACAGTTGGCGGTGTTAGTGAGCTAATGTGACAAGCTGTAACACGGATGAGCCCAGCTGTGGAGCATGCAGGGACCTCAGCCTGTGGGGGTGGGGATGAGGGACAGGGAGCAGCTGAGGCCAGGGCTGGGAGCTGGCTGGGCTGAGGGGCTGGCATCCCATGGGGAGCCAGAGGATGGACACTGGTGTGTCCTGGGGGCACTGACCCATTTGAGCTTGTTTGGAAAGTCCAGTGAGAACAGGGGGAGCCCGGGCAGCAGGACTGACAGTCTTGCTAGCTGCCGCGTGAGCAGCACATTGTGGTTCTAAGTGGAGCTGTTCCCCGGGGTCAAGGCCCACTGGGTTCTCCAGCACTGGGTTAGCCGCTTCTCAGGGCTGCAAGCGAGCGGGGCTCCAGCACTGGGGAAGCACCACAACCCTCCCCGAAGGCTACCTGTGGCAATCAGAAGGACCCAGGTGCTAGGGATCTCCAGACACACCACAACCCAGGCTTGCAGTGGACAGGCTGACTCCAGACCACTGACCAGTGGGGCATGTGAAATGGCTCTTCTGGGGTCTACCTTGCCTGGGGCCTGGGCAAAGCTAAGGCAGCAGCTTCGGGGTCAGTTTCTGTGCTTAGGAGGGGCCAGAGGACCACATCAGCCATAAAATGAGCCTTGTTGTTTAACCCAACAGCATCTTCCCAGTGGGCATTTAGGCCAGGCAGTGGGTGGGAGGCCATCAAAGGGGACCATCTGCTCCCCTAGCCCAGGCCAGTACTGGGCAGAGAGAAGTCTCTTGCTTTCGGGAAAAACAAAACAAAACAAAAAACCATCTAGATCTGGTCTAAGGAATTGACAGGGTTGATGGTAACTGCTGATTCCCTGAGCTTTCAGACTTGGTGGAGGTGGCACATGGGGGCTTTCTGTAATCCTTCACTGATGGCTTAGATGGTGGGGCAGATCTTTCAGGAGCAAAAGATGACCTTGAGGAAATGTGGATTCTGTCAAAGAAAGAGAAAAATAATTTCCCTTCCTCAAACTGCTGTCAATAAGCCTCAGCACCAGAGTGGTTGAGGGAAACTGCCTGCCGCTGTAACCTCCCACCTCAGGAGGCTGCAGCATTCAACTGCGTGATAAGAAATTGCCAGGCACTTTCTAATTACAATTATCATCATCGTGGATGTCTCTCTTAATTACTTTCTTATAATTAGCTGTTGCTTTTTTCCTCTGCATGTGTGTACTTTGCAGATTTGCTGACATTTGAGAGCCCCAAAATAGGGACATTTGGGGAGGAGGGCAGAAAGGTGGGGGGAAAAGTGAGAAGGGACCTTCTTTTCAGGCAGGCTGATACATTTTGGGGCCTTTTCAGAAGGATACTAGGGAAAGCAGAAGATACAAGGGACAGATCATTTCCTAAGCAGATGGGGAAAGAGAGCAGGGGTGTGGATTTAGGAGCTGAGGTTTGCGGCGGTCTCTGTTGTTAAACGTTGCAGGAAATGTTCTCAAAAAGCCAACGAAGTTACCGCTTCTCCAGCTTGGGTTTCATTTTAAGAAATGAGCTGGGATGAAATGTACTCTTGTAGGATCCATTCTGGAGTTAATTAAATAACTCAGGTCAGGTGTAGCTTGATTTTCCCCCCCAAGCCAGTCATGCGTTCTAAGCATCCCTGGGCACCAGGGAGTTGTGACAAAATGGATTATGCTCCTTGACCAGATGGTTGGTTTTCACTGTTTGTTCTGGTTCTTCCTCCCTCTCCCCATGTCCCCTCAGCCCTGTGTACGGAGGAGTGTGTGCACGGCCGCTGCGTTTCCCCGGACACCTGCCACTGCGAGCCTGGCTGGGGAGGGCCCGACTGCTCCAGCGGTGAGTCTGGGGTTTGGGGGTCAGGAGGCACCCTGGCTCTGACTTGGTAGGGGAGTGGGTTGTGGTGTGTGCATGCTACATTTTTGTGTTGTGCTGGGGCGACTTGGGGTGGGCTACCTGGGCCTGTGTGAACATCAGGGAGGAGGTATACCTACAGTTAAAACATGGTGGCACTTGAGGGATGGTGATTTATGGGGGCCTGTGAGGGCATTGTGTGTTGTATGTGTAGGGAATTGTGGGATCATCTGGACAACTCTGACTTTTGATGGAACACCTCTAGATATGGTCTTTGATGGTTGATGTGAAATTGACACAGTGCCCAGGAGTACACACTGAGGAGGTCGCCGTCGTCTAGCCCTGGTCCCCAGGTTCACTGGTCCAAAAGCTCAGTTTTGTGGGTGCCCACAGAGGCTCAGAGGAAGTGATTTGTGAGACTGGTGGACATTTGGGATGTCTCTGTGTCCCCAAAATTAGAACAGGACACTCGCAGGGGCAGGTCCTTGTGTTCCTACATTTTTGTGGGTGGATGGTTCACCTTCTCCAGGGAAGCCTTCCTACTGAGCCTGGGGTGAGGTGGATGCTCTCCAGGCTGGCCCAGTGACCCACAGTGGCATGGTGCATTGTCTCTACTGTGGGGCTGGCCACCAAGAGGGTAAGGCATACCTGGCAGCAGTTCAGGGAATTCTCTGCCAAGAACCCAGATGAAGATGAATCCTCCTTCCCCTCTGGTTTATTGCCCCCAAATATTTGCAGATGACTTGGCACATTATGCAGTCAAGGGTTGGTTAATATCATGGTCTTGTTTGATTTTCAAAGAGGACTTGACTAAGGTTGAAGCCCAAATTTCCTCCTGCTTTGAGTTGGAGTAGAGTCTCTTTATGGTGACCTGAGTGGATAACATAGCCAAGCGGCTCCACTAGGGATCTAAGCCCGATTATTCGCCCATCTTGGGGAGCCACCTCCATGTTCCCCATCCCATACCTGACTACCATAGTCATGAAAACTTAGGAGAATGTTGGGTCCATGTTGGCCCAGTGTAGTGCTATTGTCCTTTTCCCCTCTCTCTGCTGCAGTGGAAATATCTAGTTATGTTTTTTTGTTTGTTTTCCCAAAGGCCTTGACTGGAGCCTCTCTGTCTATGCAGTGCATGAGAACATTCTGGCCAAAGCCAGTATGTGGCTTTGTTTTGAGCCTGGGTGATTATCTTAGCTCAGGGAGTCCATGATCTGTTTGAGGTATCCAAGAAACCCCCTAATGTGTTAGGACCTCCAGTGACCACAGTGGCCTCCTCCTTCCACTTGTCCTACTGCTTTGAGTGAGCCATGACTGGGAAACAGGGCCAGACAATGAAAGGTAAACTGAGGCACAGGTGAGCTAAATAAAGGAAGATGTCCAACCAGTCTTTCTGTGGACTTGAGCTGCAAAACACACTGGGTAAAATGTCTGGGCTTCCCCCGCCCTTATCTGTGTTTTGTTTTGCGTAACTTGGCTTACAAGGAATCTTTGAGGAAGGAATATCTGACTTGGATTAGGTCAGCCCTGCTGGGATGGGTCTGCCTGCTGCTGCTGGATTATAATGCTGAAGGCAGCCTATTGGAGGTTGAAATACAGCCTGGGTCCCCCGGGGCCCTGAGTATATAGAAACCACCAGTGAGTGCAACTGTGTTTAGTGCTCGCTCTATGCTCGGGACTGTGCTGGGCCGTGGGGAGGGCCCTGGAGGGTTTTTTAGACATGGTCTGTGTCTTTTCAGGGTTTCTGGCCTAATGAAAGAGATGGAACAAAGGTGGCATTTGATGAACAGGACTAGGCAGTTTAGAGTATGACTTGCCCCCCAGAGTGAATTTACCAAGCAAGCAGGGAAACAGACTTGTTACTTTATAGCACAGAACTAGGCTGTCTGATTTAACTCCTCCCATTCAGTCACCAGACTTGGTGCTAAGCAACCCAAAAGCTCTTTGCTCTCAATTAAATCCACCCTCATTGGTTGAAGAGCCATGACTTTTGGATCTACTCAAAGGCATGTGCTATTGAACCCATGGGAAGTTCTAAAAGGGGTTCCAACCCTGTTTGAGGGACAGCAGCATTGAATTAAAGCAATTCATAGATTCTCACCTTCAGTGTCATTCAGAGCACTGAATGTTTAGATGCTCTGCTAAGAGCTTTCCAACCTTTGCTTGAATACCTCCACTGACAAGGAGCTCACTACCTCTTTCGGAAGCCCATTCTCATTGTTGGAAAGTTTTCCCTTCTCTGCAGTGGAAATCTACCTTTTAGCTTCTACTGATTGGTTCTTGCTCATAATAAAGTCCAGGGCAGGGTGATGGATGACCATGATGCTCCTTGTCCCTGGAATTTCTTCCAAGGACCTCATTGGATAAGACCACAGTCTGTGTGTATAGAAATGATCATCTCAGAGCAGTTGATAATAGCCATTGAGGCTGCACAGAAGAAACCAGAGACCCTCCAATGGGTCAGCTATTAGAAGATAGTGATCATTTTCCTCCCCAAGTGTTTCTTCTCCAAGCTCCCTTGCTTCTCACCTGATGTCATCGGGACTACCTTTCCCATCTGGTTTCTCTCCGTTGGCCGTGGCCTTTATTCCTCTTAAATGCTCACTCCTAGATCTGGCCACACAACTGCGAGCTTGGTGTGACCAGTATGGAAAAATGATAGTGGAGATAGCTACTATATATTGAATTTTACTATGCACTGAGTGCTTTATTTACTTATCCACTTGTTTAATTTTCACAACAAACTTATAGTATGGGAATTGTTATTTATCCCCATTTTACAAAGGAGCAAGTTGAAGCAGAGAGAGGTTAAAGAACTTCCAGCAGACACAGTTAGTTGATGGTAAGTCTGGGACTATCACCCAAGCAAAAACCTATGTCCTGAACCTGAACTCTTAATTATTTATACAATTGTAACTTATAACTCTACCTCCTTCTGGATGCTCAACCTCTGTTAATATAGTCCAAGGTTGAAATTGATCTGTCATGAGAAAACATGGTTGTTCATAGGGAAAAGTGAGCTCTGCTTAAAAGATGTGGCCCTGAGATATTGCTGTGGAGATAGAGGAGTCGGCCATGGGACGCAAATTGTTACCAGCTTTCCTCAAGTAATTTGAGCCTGCTTGCTACATGCTATTTGGGGGTCTATCTGCCAGTGTGCTCTCTGCAGTGCCTTAGGGTCTTTGTGGGCCCAAATCTGTGGAGACAAGTATCTTGGTCCCTCTTCAGTGTGGTCTCTGGAGATCACTGAGTGGGGTCTATATGTGTGACACCCTTTCAGAGAAGCTTTGGTTTTGTTTAATTGAAAGCATCATTCTTGTTTGTTTTTTTCTCTCTGGTTCTTAAGTTATACCTGTTCATGTTAAAAAGAAAAATCAAACTGTAGCAAAAGTTAGACAAAAAAGGTTAACTCTCCACCCCAGAGATAACCACTGCTGGCATTTGGGTGCTTATCCTTCCTGCCATTCCTCTATACATTTGCACATTGGGCTAGATCTGGATATAACTTTTATTATTTAGATCAAATATATGAGCTAGTCTATAACTTGCTGTTTAAATTTAACTTTATGTCATGCACTCATTTTCTTGTTAATAAACGTGAATCTCCTCTAGATTTGTAATGGCCTTACAGAATTTCATTCTATGGATTACCACATGCATTTAACTAGTCCCTTGTTGATGGACATTGAGGTTGTTTCTGATTCTTCACTGTCATAGGCCCACCGTCCTTTTTCCAAGATCCGTGGGGCCTGCTGGCTTCAGAATTTAGAATTTTTCAGAGTTTAGAAAGCATGTGGTGAGTATGTTGTGTGTGACATATGCCCCCATGGGGGTCTGGGCAGCACCCTGGGTGAAACAGTGATATTTCTGAAGTGACATATGACTGATCACATCTAGTGACATAAAGGCAATATATAACCTCAAATCGGTTTCATGCAGATTTTGCCTCTAAATGGATTTTGGTGCTGAATTTTTTAAAACATGTTTTGGACTTTTTAGGGATTTTTGGATTGTGGCCCTGTGTAAAAATGCTGTAGTGATTCTTCTTATGCATATGTCTTTGCCCACTTGTCCCAATTTCTTCTTAGGATAAATTCCTGGAAGTGGCAGGGAGGGTTTTGAAGATCCATCATCCAACTCCCTGCCCCTACCCTGCCCTGCCCTGCCCTTTGTGGCTGCCAATGGATTTATGACTTTGACAGCAGTGAAGGGGATAAATGTAGTACCGGGGTTGGGTGGGGACTTCTCATTCTTTTACTGACTTATAAGCCCCTAGCTGAAATTTTTTAAGGCCTGGACTAATTTCTTTCTGCTCCATAAAGGAAGAGAGATGATGCTGATTTGCCTGGTGGGCTGACACACCAACTATCAGATAATTCTGGGCTGTTAGACGGACCACTATGGGGAAATGGAGTGGCTGCATGCCTGGTCATAAACCTCCATCCCATATAATAATGAAGAGTAAAAGAATGAAATGTCAGTTTATACTGAATAAAGACGACAGAGTGACTCTTATTAAATTGCACTAATCTCACAAGTGGAGATAAAAAGGAAGAAAGTTTTCCTATATTGAATATCTAGCTTTTTAAAGTAATTAGGAATATTAAAGCACTGACAATGATTGAGATAGAAACATTATTCATAACTTTTATTTCCGCACTGGGAAATGATCCAGTATACTTCATTTATGAGATTTCAGCTGTACGGAGAAGGACGTGAGCCAATTCCTAAATTAAATATGCCCTGTTAACTTTTATAAACGATGCCCAAGAATTAACTTGGAAATTTAAGCTTTCATTGTATGATTTAATTATTGTATTTCCTGGGTCCCATTTCTCTGCCTCCCATCCCAGGGTGCTTTGCATTTTGGGTTCCAGGCTACAGAATGGCATTTTGGTTTTGGGCCTGAGCCTGCCCTCCAGAAGGCCTGGGGTAGAGATGAGGGAGAAGGCTGCTCTTCCGTTTCCCATTATTTTCCACGTTATCATGTATTCCACCAAACTGGTGTTATCCACGCACTTAGGACAAAGTGCAGGATAAGTCAAAGCCCGGTACACACTGTCCTGCTCTTTTGCAGAATTGCTCCCCTACTCCCCAGACACTGGGCACAAGGCAGGACTACAGAGAGGCCTGAGTGATGAAGGCAGCTGGAACCAAGCTGGCCCATCACCAGCTGTAGCTTCTGCCAAGTCCAGCGTGTTCTTATCTTGAATGGTGTGTGGGACCCCAGGCCGACTTGGCTTTAAGCTATCTGCAGATTAAAATAGAATGTTAACCAGCTCAGAAATATGCCTACGCTCCTAAACTAGCTCGGGACCCTTAAGGTCAGTGCTTCTCAAACTAAGTGTTGGCTACAAATTCTTTCTTTAAAAAGTCCTGGTAAAAGATACATAACATAAAATTACTCATTTTAACATTTTTAAATGTGCAATTTGGTAACATTGGTACATTCACATTGTTGTGCAAACATCACCATCATCCATCTTCAGAACTTTTTCATCTTCCCCAACTGAAACTCTGTCCTCACTGAACACTAACTCCCCGTTGCCCGCTTCCCTGGCCCTTGGCAACCAACAATCTGCTTTCTGTCTCTATGAATTTGACTACTCTGTGCTTCATATAATTGGAATCATACAGTATTTGTCCCTTTCTGACTGGCTGATTTCACTTAGCATAATGTCCTCAAGGTTCATCTGTGCCATAGCATGTGTCGGAATTTCCTTTTTTTTTTTTGAGAATGAAGTCTTGCTCTGTCGCCCAGGCTGGGGTGCAGTGGTGCAATCTCGGTTCACTGCACCCTCCGCCTCCCAGGTTCAAGTGATTCTCCTGCTTCAGCCTTCTGAGTAGTAGCTGGGATTGCAGGTGCATGCCACCACGCCCAGCTACTTTTTCTATTTTTAGTAGAGACGGGGTTTCACCATGTTGGCCAAGCTGACCTTGAACTCCTGACCTGAAGGGATCCACTCAGCCTCCCAAAGTGCTGGGATTACAGGCGTGAGCCATTGCGCCCAGCCCCCTCATTTGGTTATGTCCTTTCCTGGTTTTGGTATTAGGGTGATGCTGGCTTTAGAATGAATTAGGAAGAGTTCCTTCTTTATCTTGTGGAACAGTGTCAAAAGGATTGGTACCAATTCTTCTTTGAGTGTCTAGTAGAATTCAGCTGTGACTCTGTCTGCTCCTGGACTTTTTTTTGTTGGTAATTTTTAAATTATCATTTCAATGTCACTGCTTGTTATTTGTCTGTTCAGGGTATCTAATTCTTCCTGATTTAAACTGGAAGGGTTGTAATTTTCCAGGAATTTATCCGTCGCTTCTAGGTTTTGTAGTTTATGTGCATAAAGGTGGGTTCATAGTAGCCTTCAATGTTCTTTTGTATTTCTGTGGCGTCAGTTGTAATATCTCCTGTTGCGTTTCTTTGTGAGGTTATTTGGATTTTCTCTCTTCTTTTCTTGGTTAATCTGGCTAATGGTCTATCAGTTTTATTTATCTTTTCAAAGAACCAGCTTTTTCTTTCATTTATTGTTGGTATTGTTGTTGTTGTTGTCTCAATTTCATTTAGTTATGCTCTGATCTTGGCTATTTCCTTTCTTCTGCTGGTTTTGGATTTGGTTTGTTCTTATTTCTCTAGTTCCTTGAGGTGTGACCTTAGGTTATCTATTTGTGTTCTTTCAGACTTTTTGATGAAGGCGTTTAGGGCTATGAACTTTCCTCTTAGCACTGCCTTTGCTGTATCCCAGAGGTTTTGATAGGTTGTGTCATTATTGTCATTCGAAGAATTTTTTAATTTCCATCTTGATTTCATTTTTGACCCAATGCTCATTCAGGAGCAGGTTATTTAATGTCCATGTATTTACATGGTTTTGAAGGTTCCTTTTGGAGTTGATTTCCAGTTTTATTCCACTGTGGTCTGAGAGAGTGCTTGATGTAATTTCAATTTTCTTAAATTAATTGAGGCTCATTTTATGGCCTATCATATGGTCTCTCTTGGAGAAAGTTCCATGTGCTGTTGAATAGAATGTGTATTCTGTGGTCGTTGGATGAAATGTTCTGTATATACCTGTTAAGTCCATTTGTTCTGGGAAGTAGTTTAAATCCATGGTTTTTTTGTTGACTTTCTGTCTTGATGACCTGTCTAGTGCTGTCAGTGGAGTATTGAAGTCCCCCACTATTATTGTGTTGCCGTCTATCTCATTTCTTATGTCTATTAGTAATTGTTTTATAAATTTGGGAGCTCCAGTGTTAGGTGCATATATGTTTAGGATTGTGATATTTTCCTGTTGGACAAGGCCTTTTACCATTGTATAATATCCCTCTTTGTCTCTCTTAACTGCTGTTGTTTTAAAGTTTGTTTTGTGTAATATAAGAATGGCTACCCCTGCTCGCTTTTGGTGTCCAGTTGCATGAAATGCCTTTTCCCACCCCTTTAAGTTTATGTGAGTCCTTAGGTGTTAGATGAGTCTCCTGAAGGCAACAGATGGTTGGTGAGTTCTTATCCATTCTGCAGTTCTGTATTTTTTAAGTGGAGCATTTAGGCCAATTACATTCAATGTTAGTATTGAAATGTGAGGTACCGTTGCATTCATCCTGTTCTTTATTGCCTGTGTACTTTGATTTTGTTTTTGTTTTTGCTTTTTAACTTGTATTTTTGTTTTATAGGTCCTGTGTGATTTATACTTTAAAGAGATTCTGTTTTGATGTGTTTCCAGGATTTGTTTTAAGATTTAGAGCTCCTTTTAGCAGTTCTTGTAGTGGTGGCTTGGTAATGGCGAATTCTCTCAGCATTTGTTTGTCTGAAAACGACCGTATCTTTCCTTCACATATGATGCTTAGTTTTGCTGGATACAAAATTCTTGACTGATAATTGTTTTGTCTGAGGAGGCTGAAGATGGGTCCCCAATCCCTTCTAGCTTATAGGGTTTCTGCTGAGAAATCTGCCATTAATCTGATAGGTTTTCCTTTATAGGTTACCTGGTGCTTCTGTCTCACAGCCCTTAAGATTCTTTCCTTAGTCTTAACTTTGGAAAACCTGATGACAATTTGCCCAGGTGAAGATCTTTTTGCGATGAATTTCCCAGGTGTTCTTTGTGCTTCTTGTACTTGGATGTCTAGGTCTCTCACAAGGCCAGGGAAGTTTTTGTTGATAATTCCCCCAAATATATTTTCCAGGCTTTTAGAATTCTCTTCTTCCTCAGGAACACTGATTATTCTTAGGTTTGATCTTTTAATATAATCCCAGACTTCTTGGAGGCTTTGTTCATATTTTCTTTTTTTTTCTTTGTCTTTGTTGGATTGGGTTAATTCAAAGACCTTGTCTTCGAGCTCTGAATTTCTTTCTTCTACTTTTCCAATTCTGCTGAGACTTTCCAGAGCATTTTGCATTTCTAAAAGTGTGCTCAAAGTTTCCTGAATTTTTTATTGTGTTTTCTTTATTTATTTCCTTGACTATTTCTCCCTTCACTTCTTGTATCATTTTTTGGATTTCCTTGCATTGGGCTTCACCTTTCTCTGGTCCCTCCCTGATTAGCTTAATAACCTCCTGAATTCTTTTTCATGTAAATCAGGGATTTCTTGGTTTGGATCCATTGCTGGTGAACTAGTGTGATTTTTTAGGGGTGTTGAAGAGCCTTGTTTTGTCATATTACCAGGGTTGGTTTTCTGGTTCCTTCTCATTTGGGTAGGCTCTGTCAGAGGGAAGGTCTAGGACTGAAGGCTGTTGTTCAGATTCTTTTGTCCCATGGGGTATTCCCTTGATGTAGTACTCTCCCCCTTTTCCTATGGATGTGGCTTCCTGTAAGCCAAATTGCAGTGACTGTTGTCTCTCATCTGGGTCTAGCTACCTGGTAAGTCTACCCAGCTCCGGGTTGGTACTGGGGGTTGTCTGCACAGAGTCCTGTGATGTAAACTGTCTATGGTCTCTCAGCCGTGGATACCAGTGCCTGTTCTGGTGGAGGTGGCAGAGGGTGCAATGGACTCCATGAGGGTCCTTAGCTTTGGTGGTTTAATGCTCTTTTTTTGTGCTGGTTGGCCTCTTGCCAGGAGGTGGCGCTTTCCAGAAAGCATCAGCTATAGTAATGTGGAGAGGGACCGGTAGTGGGTGGGGCTGTAGAACTCCCAAAATTATATGCCCTTTGTCTTCTGCTACCAGGATGGATAGGGAAGGACCATCAGCTGGGGGTGGGCATAGGCATGTCTGAGCTCAGACTCTTCTTGGGCAGATCTCGCTGCGGCTACTGTGGGGGATGGGAGCGAGGTTCCCAGGTTAATGGAGTTGTGTACCTAGGAGGATTATGGCTGCCTCTGCTGAGTCGTGCAGGTTGTCAGGGAAGTGGGGGAAAGCCAGCAGTCAGAGGCCTCACCCAGCTCCCATGCAAATCAAAGGGCCAGCCTCACTCCCACCGTGCTGCACCCCGTCCCCCCTTCCCCCGCCACCTTCGCGCAACAGCCCGGAGTCTGTTTCCAGGTGTAGGGCAAAATGGGCTTGAAAACTTGCCCAAGGCTATCTGCCTTCCAGCTGCAAAAGAAACGGGCTTTAGTTCTTCCCTTGCTTGTGAGGTCTCCACAGCAGATTCGTGCCCTCCCCCAAGTTATGGCCAGGAGGCTTCTCGCCCCGTTCAAGTTGTTACACATTTCTGCTAGAGAATTCCTTCTCTCTGTGGAGTTTTACCTCCTGCTCCTCTGGCCACCCTCCTGATGGATCCCTGTGGTGCCAGGCAGGAATGGGCTGCCTGGGGACCACTAAGCCTTTCTGCTGCTTCCTCTACCCCTGTATTTTACTCGGCTCTCTAACTTGATTCAGCTCCTGGTAAAGTCAGAAACTTCTCCCACAAACAGACTTCAGCCTCTCCAGTGGGGGGGTGTGTTCGGGAGAGGAGGGTCTCCCTTTCCCACTTCCACACTTGGGGCACTCACAGTATTTGGGGTGTCTCCTGGGTCCTGCAGGAGCAGTCTGCTTCCTTCAGAGGGTCTGTGGTTCCTCTCGGGATTGCTGGCTTGTTCTTGCAGTTGATCTGGAGCTAAAATTCACACTGCAAGCCGCCGCATTGTCCGGGGCTGCAATCTAGTCCTGCCTCCCATCTGCCATGATCCCCTAACCCTTTGCCCATTTTTTTAATCAGATTGTTTTGTGTTGAGTTATAGGCATTCTTTATATATTCTGGATATTAACCACTTATTAGATACCGTCATGCACCACATAATGATGTTTGTGTCGGTGACTGACCGCATATACGATGGTAGTCAAACCTAGATGGTGTAGCCTAGGTGTGTGGTAGGCTATACCATCTAGGTTTGTGCAAGTACACTCTATGATGTTTGCACAACAACAAAGTCACCTACCAATGCATTTCTCAGAGCATATCCCTATGGTTAAGCAACACATGACCATATGTGATTTGCAGATATTTTCTCCTGTTCTCTGAGTTCCCTTTTTACTCTGTTGATAGTGTCATTTTTAAAAATTATTTTAATTTTTTAGAGATAAGAACTCACTTTGTCACCCGACTGGAGGGCAGTGGCACAATCATAGCTCACTTCAGCCTTGATCTCCCAGGCTCAAGCAATCCTGTGGCTTCAGGCTCCTGAGTAGCTGGGACTACAGGCATGTGTCGCCATGCTGGGCTAATTTTTTAAATTTTTTTCGTAAATACAGGATCTCACTATGTTGCCCAGGCTGTTCTCAAACTCCTGGCCTCAAGCAATGCCCCCACCTCAGCCTATTGATCATGTCTTTTGATATATAAAAGTTTTTTTTTTTTATGAAGTCCAATTTAACTATTTTTTCTTTCATTGCCCGTGCTTTTAGTGTAATATGCAAGAAATCATTGCCAAATTCAATGTCATGACGCTTTACCCCTGTGGTTTCTTCTGAGTTTTATAGGTATGCTCCTACATTTAGGTCTTTGATCCATTTTGAGTGAATTTTTTATAAAGATTCCATTTCATTTTTTTGCATGTGCATATCCAGTTTCCCCAATACTATTTATTGAAAAGACTTTTGCTAGAGACTCTCGAAGCTACAAAGTTTAAAGTTTTTACCATGTAAATGGCACATTAGTTACCTGATAATTTAAACATTTCCTTAAGTTAAAACAAATACAGATTTATAATAGAATGAAATGTACAATTGGCATTTATTGAAAAACCAAAAAGATGATCTCTACCTTCATACCAGAAATGATTGTGCTCCTGGGGAGGCCTGGTGGTATAGCCCCAAAACCTATGACTACAGGTCAGGCCAGCACTGGGATTGGGGATTTCCAGGGATGTCAACCCAACCAACTGCCTGATTTGGAAAGTACATCAGGGAGTGTCTCCGTCTCAGGCGCCCCTGGACACACTCTCATGAAAATGGCAACACCACAGCCTGGTAGCCCAGGACATAGGGGGCAAAGCAGAGGTATAGGATGGGGGCCTGGGTCCCTGCCCCTGGCCTGGGACAGGTGAGGGGTCCCAAAAGGAGATAGGCAGGGCCAGATGGGGGTGTGTGTGGCCCACCACATGTGTCAGCTAGGAAGGGCCACTGCCAAAACTTTAGGGCTCCTCCCAGCAAGGGAGTAAGGAGAATGAATGAATGAGAGGTGGAGGGAGGCGGGAAGAAAGAAGCATGATGAGGGGCCACGATTTGGAGGAGGAAGGTGATGGTGATTTGTGCTCCCGCTGTGTGCAAATGCTTCACGTAAACAGTCCCTCCGCACCGCCCTTTTTTTTTTTTTTTTTTTTTTTTTTTGAGACAGAGTCTTGCTCCATCTTGCTGGAATACAGAATACAGTGGCACGATCTTGGCTCACTGCAACCTCTGCCTCCTGGGTTCAAGCAATTCTTCTTCAGCTTCCCCAGTAGCTGGGACTACAGGTACACACCACCACACCTGGCTAATTTATTTATAGATAGATAGATAGATAGATAGATAGATAGATAGATAGATTTTTTTTTTTTTTTTTTTTTTTTTTTTTTTTAGTAGAGATGGGGTTTTACCATGTTGGCCAGGCTGGTCTCAAACTCCTCACCTCGGGTGATCTGCCCCTGCTAGGCCTCCCAAGTGTTGCAATTACAGGCATGAGCCACCACGCCTGGCCAACTGTCCCATTTCATCTGCCCAGCAGCCTGGGGAGGACATATGTGTTATTCTATTCCACAAATGAAGAAATCAAAGCTCAGGGAGGTGGAGTCACTTCTGATATTCACCCAACTATCAAGCAGCAGATCTGGGATCAGAACCCAGAACTTGTGTTCTTCCCTAAGTTCCATGCTGCCCCTGAAGGGGTGGAAGTTGCCTTAGCTAGTTCAGGCTGCTGTAACAAGACTTGGTGGCTTCCACGGAAAAGTGTTTCTCACAGTTCTGGAGGCTCGGAGGTCCAAGACCAAGGTTCTGGCTGACTCTATTTCTGGCGAGGGCCTGCCTTCTCACGGTGTCTTCCAGAGTGGAGAAGGGGGTCGTGTCCCTCATGTCTCTTCTTTAGATCAGTGCCCTCTAAGGGGACTGATTACCTCCCACAGACTCGACACAGGTCCCACCTCCACACAGCACTACATTGGGGATTAGGGTTTCAATATGAATTTAGGGGGGACTTGAACATTCAGTTCATAGCAGAAGTCCTGTGCCTTAACATACAGGAAAGCTGGCTTTGTTCCAGGTCTTCCCTGGGGGACCCTGGTCCTTTCCTTTCTGTGGGCCTCAGTTTTCTCATCTTTAAAGTGGGAAGGGCCAGGCGCAGTCGCTCATACCTGTAATCCCAGCACTTTGGAAGGCTGAGGCAGGTGGATCACTTGAGGTCAGGAGTTCGAGACCAGCCTGGCCAACATGGTGAAACCCCGTCTCTACTAAAAATACAGAAATTAGCTGGGCATGGTGGAGGGCGCCTGTAATCCCAGCTACTTGGAAGGCTAAGGCAGGAGAATAGCTTGAACCCGGGAGGCGGAGGTTGCAGTGAGCCGAGATCGTGCCATTGCACTCCAGCCTGGATGACAGAGTGAGACTCTATCTCAAGAAAGAAAAAAGAAAGTGGGAAGGTAAACAGGGCTATTTCCACTGTGACAGCTCATGATGTTTTATTTCTAAGGAGTCAAAGTCCAGGACTGGCTCACCTAATCCGAGGCCCTGGTGACCTCCCTGCTGCCCCCTGATGGAGGATGTCTCCCCTTCCTGCCACCCCGCTCATGGCCACCCTGATTCTCTCTTCATTCCCAGACCTGGAGAGGATGGGGAGGTAGGGAGGCAGGGCATGAGGGGGATGGGGCGGCCTTGTGATCACATCCTCGCCCCCTCCAGGTGGGAGCTCCTGCTGAGCCCTATGCTGTCCAGGTATAGCTCATGCGTGCAGTGGGTGTGCAGAGGGTGCTGTGCCAGCCGGGAGGCCTCAGCTCTCTCTCGAGTTGTTTTTTCACTGCATCGAGCCGGCTGTCAAGGTTAAAGCAACTTCAGATGAATCACCGCAAAGCAATTACACTCACTGTTCCTCGCGTGCAGCTCTGCCAAGCCCGCGGCCCTTCGCAGACCCGCCTGGGCCGCCTTCTGCCGGCATCTGGTGTGCCTGTGGGCCTCCCCGGGACGGTGGGCTCTGTGTCAGCCCCACACACTGGGGCACAGTCACCGTGACGGGGACAGAAGGGAGCTGTGTACGTAGCAGCAAATGCTTTTTCAAGGTTTATGAGTAAGAGGAGCTGCTATTCACCCTGGAATTCTAATTTTGAACAAAAAGGAATTCAATAGCCAGGACCACTGGCCTCATCGACTCAGTATTCTCCATCCTTGACTTCCTCTTAGTGCACATTTACTGAGCGCTTCTCAAAGGCCAACAGTGCCCAGGGTTCAGGACCAAATGGGGGGTTCAGAGATGAGGAGAGCATAGCCTCCATCTTCCAAGAACTTTGAGCAGAAGCCAGAACCACCAGCACAGAGAGGAGGGAGGAGGAGGAGGCAGGAGAGGAAAGGCTCTGCTTTTATGGGAGGGGGACCTGGATGGCGAGGCCATCATGGGAGGGCAGTGGAAGGCAGGAGCCAGGTGTGTGCTGCGGTCCCCCTTTTAGAAAGAGAATCTGAGGCACAGAGAGGTTACATAATGGCCTGAGGTCCCGCATCTGGTGACTGTCAGGGCTGGGTCTGTCTGAGGCTTTCCACGAGGTCATGGGGTCAGAAGTGCGAGGACAGACTCAATTGTGAGGAGCCTGTGCTCAAGCCTGAAAGAGACCATGAGACAGGTAAGAGACTGCCCAGCCCCTGAGTCCTGGGGGGCTGTGGGCCGCAGGGGAGGAACAGCAAGAACCTGGGTCTGCCGGCCTTGATGTCCATCTCTCCGCCCTTGGCTGTCACATCCCCCAGCCTCTGTCTCCTTCTCTTTGAGATGTTCCAGCCTTGGTGACACTCTGGAAGCCAGCGGAGATATGAGTCTCCTCTCTCCCATGCTCCGTTTCTTCCACAGTGCCTCCCAGGAGAAACGGGAAAGGGGAGGAAGCAGGTGCTGGGGAGCCCCGCCCTTGTGGGAGCCCAGACCTTTGTCAGGATGAGGATCAGGCTGGGAAGGGGCAGCCCATGGAGACCCCAGAACACCAGCTCAAAGGCAGCTGGTCCTTCCCACCCCATCTCTACCCTCCACCCACTCATGTTCCTGTGATGCTGCTGCCAGGTAAACGCACCTGAGAGCGATCACCTAAGTGCACCCCAAGAATGACCCTGTATGGCAAACGCACCTGAATGTGTGTTCTGAGCTAGGGAATCTGAGAGTGGCCAACCTGGAGATTCGTTCCTTGTCTATGAGGAATATCTGAGCCGTCGGCCTGTCTGGTGGAACACTGGCTGTACAGGGGATTAAGCCCTGAGTTTTGGCGGGGGTGCTGGGGGGGGGGGTGTGAATGAAGGTTCCCAGGTGGAGGTTGTTAGGGTGCTGAGTGGAAATGCTATAGCAACTGCATGCCTTTTACAAGCAGTTGTGGTTCTTCTGCCCAGCCCGCCACTGCTGGGCTCTCCTCTGCATATAAGCCCCCAGTAAAACCCCATGTCTCTTTTGCTGTTTCTGGGTCTCTTCTTTGGCCTCTTGAACCTGGTGCCATCCCCACTAGAGTTGTTAGGGGTTCAGCACAACAGATGCCCACCAGGAAAGGAGGGGAGACCTTCTGAGGGTCCTCATCTGTCCCCCCAAGAAAATCCCAGACAAATCCTCATCTGTCCCCCCAAGAAAATTCACAGGCAGGAAGGCAGGCAGGCCATGGGGCAGGAGGCGGTGTGGGGCCACTGCTCTCCCCATTCTTGAGAAAGGGCAGTCTCCCAGAGTCTCACCCCTTCCCCACTGCCCACTGCCCCTCAGACCAGGGAAGATTTGGGGCCAGTCACATCTGAGCAGGAGGTGGGGGTGAGGCAGGGCCCTGGCACGTGTGGCTCCTCCTGAATTTTTGGACCTGAGAAAGCCAGAAACGGGATAGCCTGGGGTCTGCGAGTGAACTGTGTACTCGGGAGTGTTGTAAGTGGGGAGGGAGGTACATTCTGCCCAACTCAGTTCCTGCCATCTGCTCCCTGAGAACAAAATGAATAAATAAATGACACACAGGGAGTCTCGAGAACTGGCAAGAGGCGGGCAGTGGAGATCCCACCTTGAATGTGACAAAAGCAGAATAGAGTGGCGGGAGCCCAGCTGGCGTTGTCGCACGTGCTGGCAACCGGGCGGATACCCCTCCCCAGCCCCACACAGGTGTGAAAAGGACCTGCACTTCCAGGGGCAGCCTGCAGGCAGGGTCTCCAGGAGGGGACTCACGAACTGCACCCACCTGCTCCCACCAGCCTGCAGGATGTCCCTAGAACTCTGAGGGGAAGGAGAGGGAGAAGGTGCATCTCATCCTGGGCAGAGAGGGGCCTGGTGATGGGGGAGCCCTGCCCCCAAGAATGTCAGCGCCAGCCAGCCCCTGCCCACCTGTGGGCCACCGCAGACCTCCTTTCCTCCTGACGCAGCCCCATAAGGTGGGGTTAGAGAGCCGAGGCCCGGGAAGTCCAGTCATCCTCCAAGGTCACTCGGCTACGGCAAGTGTGAGCTCTCCACTCAGGCGTGTTTCCGCCACGATGCAGGGCTGTGGAGGAGGTGGCACTTGAGGCTGACAGGGAAGGAGGCTGGGCTTTGCTCTTGCTTCAGCATCTCTCCTAACTCATCCAGTACTTCCTCTACACACCGTCCTAGAGAAAGTAGTTTATTATTCTCATCCCCATCTCTCAGAGGAGGAAATGGGCTCTGAGAGGTTCAGTACCTGGCCCAAGGGTACTCATAAGCAGCAGCAGCATGATTTGAACTCAGGCAGTCTGTCCCTGGAGACCACCCTTGAAACTCTGGTTGATGCCCTCTGCCTTCCCTCCCCAACCCCTCCCACACTTGGGAGGTGGGGAGGCTACTGAAACGCCAATTGGGCCACACCTGTGTCCCTGCTCTCTATTGCCTGCCGGGAAGTGCTCATCTCCTTGGCCCGGCCTTCCTGGCCCCTCTGGATGTGGCACCTGCCTGGCTTTCAACCTCATCTCCCTCCCATCATTCCCACCCTTGCCCTCTTTCATCCACTGACCCATTGCTCTTTTGCTGTCAAAGCCCAGCACAGATGCCCCCCTGCTGTGAAGGTTCCCTGATTCCCAGGGGCCTCGACTCTGTACATGGCCAGGCGGTCCTTGCCACCCTGGGCAGTTTTGGTTTGATTGTGTTTGTCTCCCTCTCACCCGTATCCCCTGAGGCCTCTTCATGCAGGACCCACGTCTTTCTTGTCTCTATGACCTGGAGCACCTCATGCTGCCTGGCACATGGAAGGTACTAAGCAGTGTTACATGGAATCTGGTAGACTTGCTCTCCTGTCTTATCACGTCTTTCGTTCCTTCTGGAGGTGGAGGTGGGACTAGGGAAGATTATGGGGCTCTGGGTTGGATGCTTGAGAGAATGCAAAGCCATATCACGTGATCTTCCAATGCTTCTCACCTATGGGGAGTAGGGGGCCAGACACGTGCCCCAAGAATTGCAATATGAGGCCAGGAGTCAAATTGGTCCTTCAGAGGAAGCAGAGATCATATCCTGTGGAGAGATCGGAAAGATGCTAAAAATATGGTAGAAGCAGAGCTCAAAGAAGGATGAGATGTGAGGTTTCAGTCATCAGATATGGAAAGAGAGGGTGCTCCAGGCAGGCCCACCCACATAGCAAAGGTGCCAGTGCTGAGCAGGTCAGTGTGGTTGAAGCGGAGGCACCCAGAGGAGTGGGAGCCAGGCTGGACTGGTGGGCCAGGGCAGGTGGCATGGTGTTCTCACACCAACAGCCCAAGGGGCTCTGGCATTATTCTGTGGGCATGGGGAGCCCCTGAAGGCTTATTTTTCATCTACTCACTCTGCAGCGTTTCCTGGTGGGCAACCTTTTAACTCTTTCTTCTCCTAAGTAGCATGTGACCAGCTCTGGGCCTAGGTATGGGAAGAGAGAGGATGCTGAAGGCTTTGATCTGCCCTTGGAGCCCCAGCCAGTCCCTCTGGGTAGCTGGGCAATGCTCTACTTCCTCCATCCCTGACTGGAGGCTACTGAAGAACATATGGCGGGCTACCTTGGCGTTGGAAGGAAACAGATTGGATGGGGGGAGATTGCTGTGATTAAGAGTTGGTGAATGGATCTGGGCAGAAGATGACCCACAGAGGCCAGGTTGGACATGTCCTGGCCTGACCTCCCTCTGCCTTTCCTGGTGCAGCCAGGGAGATATCCTGGTACAGCCTTACTGTCTCCTGACATCTCTGACTCCCAGCCTGCCTCTCAGGAGCAGCCATGCCCTCCACATCCAGTCCTCAGACCCTGGTGCTGCCCCAAAGCAGGCAGTCACTGTTCAATAGTGCCACAGCAACAGAGGCAGTGGCAGAACTGGAGACTCTGTCACCCTCTAATAAGGAAAACCCATTCTGGCAGGCTGGGTAAATGGCCTCAAATTGAATAATTAATAAAGTTATAAAAATATGTCTACTATATGGCCAGAATAATTCAGCCCAATTAGAAGCAGTTATTTCTCATAGTTATGCCACTTGGTATTTTTTTTTTTTTTTACAAAGATCTTTAGTAACATGACAGAGTTATCAAGTTTGGCTGCCTGCTTGAGAAGTTCTTTTGAGACCAATCCCTCTTCCAGATGAGGAACATGCATCCATCCATCCATCCATCCATCCATCCATCCATCCATCCATCCATCCTGTCTGTCAGTCCAACCATTCATCCCCTTGTCCAACTATGTATCAGTCCATCCATCTGTCCATCACTCTGTCCATTCATCCATCTATCTCTTTATTCTTCCATCCATCTGTCCATCTATGCATACATCCATCTGTTTATTCATTCATCCACTCATTCAGCAGACATTTCTTAAGCCCTTTCCATGTGCCAGACACTGTGCTAGGTTCCGGGCATATGGAGATGAATAAGATCCTTCCCTTGTCCCTGCCCTAAGGACCTTTCAGCCCAGGCAAGTGACCTTTGAGTCACAGAAGCTCTTGTTCCTCTTCCTCTTCAGAGGTCCTGCCAAATATCATTTTTGCCCTTCATCTCATTCCCTTTATTTCATGGATACATACGCAGCTATTTGGACTTAAACATAGTCTTGAGCTAGGTAATGGGCTCCTTCCCAAGGTGGCTTAGCTCATTCTCCTATATCTGAGAGCTCAGGGATCTGCTTGCTTCAAAACACCCACTGTTCTGGGTCCCGACCTTTTCTCCGAGCCATCAGTGGCTGTGAGATCTGGCTTCACTCTGTCCCCTGTCTTCAATGTGATCTGGGGCAAGACATTTACTTTTTCTTGGCCCATCTTTAAAATATGAAGGATCACTGTGCTGCTGTAAGCTCACAGGAATGGTGAGAGTCGAGAGGCTTGGGGCCACCTGTTGGAGATCCCAGTCTGCTGTCTGGAACACTGGACATGAGTTGAATTCTGAGTTACATCAACTCATACTTTACAGGCATCCTTCAGGAAATCCTTCCATAAAGCCAGTGCTCTTTTTGCAATGAAAATATCCTGCTTCTGATTTCTCTGCTGGACATTGGAACTTTTCTCATAGCATAGCAAAACCATGTCATTAAGTCTCCATAGAGCCCTTGCTGTAAGCCCAGATCTGTGCTGGCCTAATCTGATAGAATTCTCTAGTGAGTATGTTACAGTCACCAAACATTTATTAGGGGCCTGATATATTCAGGGGATGCAGAAAGACCTTGCTCTAGAGGGCCTCTCTAACATGGGTTCCCTTTTGCTTCATTGTGAATCAGGATGTCAGAGCTAGCAAAGGCCTTTTGACACCCTAAACAAAGTAAAATGGCAAGCTGTAGTTTGGGAGAAGATATTTGCAATACCTGCAATCTATAAGGATTAATATCCAGAATATATTTTTAATCCTACAAATCAATAAGATGAAACCCAATTCAAACACTAGTGAAGAACATAAACATGTACTTAGCATGCATATTTTGACGGGTAATAAGTGTATGGAAAGATGCTGACCTCACTAGGAATCAAAGATATGCAAATTAAAACTAAGATGCCACCCTATGACCCCCAACAGATTGAGGAAAATCAATTCCTGATAATAGCAAGTGTTAATAAGGACACAGGGAGATGGATACTCTCATATGATACTGATGAGAGAGTGAATTGCCAGTACCACGTTAGGGAGCAGTTTGGTAACTTTAAATAAAGCTGGAGATAATACCAACCTCAGAATGCCATGCATCTCAAATCTTTTTTCTACCACAACCTAGATTCATAAATTCATTTCATGTCATGTCCCAGCACATACATTTTCACACACCGATATTTTAAAATCTCTTCTATTTAACTTTTAAAAATGGTGATCATGGCCCATTATATTGATTTCATGACTCTCCTCTGGGTTACAACTGCAGTTTGAAAAACTCGGCTCCAGAGAGCCTCTCCAACAGGCGCAAGCCTGCATTATTGTTCATAATGGTGAAAAGCTACAGGTCCCTCAAGAGGGAAGTGGATACATTGTAATATACTCATACAATGGAGTCTCCACAGCAGTTAAAATGAATGAACTAGCGCTATACCTGTCTACTTGGATGAATCTCAAATATATCATATTGAGTGAAAAAAGCAAGTTGCAGAGGGCTTCATACAAACCATATGGTATCATTTATAGAAGTGTAAAAGCATGCAAAATAATGAATATGTTATTTATCGGTCCATTCATATGTAATAAAAATACAAATACAGGCATAGAAAGGATCCACATCAAACCAGTCAGGCTCAGGTTACCCCTGGGGAAGGAGAAGATGGGCTAGGGAGGGATACCCAAGGAATTTCAACCGGGTAATGTTTTTCATCTAAAATGAAAACATCTGTAGCAAGACTGGAGGATGTTAAGATCTGTTTGATGGATACACTATGGTTGTTTTAATTTTATTTAAACTTTACAGAATACATGAAACAGTCCATATGCAAAAGAAAAAGGCCTTTGACACCTCTTTGTCCACCTGTCCAGCACCCAAGCTCATGTGGGGGAAAACATGTTGGCTTGTCCTAAACTCAGGTGTTCACTTAATGTAGTTCAACAAATATTTATTGAGCACCCACTATGGGTCTGACAATACCAGGTGTGAGGTGTGGGTTGGGCAGCAAGGAAGGGGAAGATATTACCAGTGAAAATTTGGAGCTCAGCAAGGGAATAGGCTGCCCACCCAACTCTGCCATAAAAAGCAGGTAAACATTCATGCCACAAAGAGGAGCCCAAGTTCACCCTGTGTCTCCCTGGGGAACCAGGAAAGGCTCCTTGGAGGAGGTGAGGACCATGATGGGCATTGAAAAACGGAGAGAGTGATCTGTTAGATCCTGGAAAGGAGATGGGAAAGAAGAGACGATGAAGCAGCTCAGGACTGTACGCTGAAGCACTGCAGCTAAGATGGTGAAATGCTCCCTGGATGGCAGTGCCCAGGAGGAGATAAGATAAATGGAGTGAAGAGGTGGGTCTAATTCATCACAGGAGCTTAGGAGTGCTGGGTTCCCGGAAGCTGTGGGAGATGGGAGACAGCCTGCCCACAAGGAAGGGCACAGCCTCTCAGGGACAGCCACTTCCACCGCCCATCCTCAGCAAGGGCTCAGCGGGGAAGAAGGGGGGCGTGATTCTGCTCAGATCCCAGACTTCCGATTTATTTGACCAGCTCCCAGTAAATTCCTCACACCAGAGGCCTCGCCACCTCACACCAGAGGCCTCGCCATTCATCTCAGGCTGGCGAGGCGGAGGTGGGGGTGCACTGCACAGGAAGTGTCTGTCTTAGATTGCTTGGGGACATGGCCACATGTCTTGCTAGGAGGCCAGCCCCTAAATCCTCCTCTGACTCATTCCCTTCCTAGTAAATCTGAATAGTTTAAAATAACTTCTTCTGACCTTGAGGCTGGTGCCAACTATCTGCCATCCATCAGCCCTGGCCGATTTCTTATTAAGGTTCTGCTGTTCCCTTGCAAAAGTTGCCACCTTAAATCAGAGGGCCCATAGGGCAAGGCAGAGACCGGGGCCTTGCAGACAGTGGGGCAACAGCAAGTCAGGAAGATGAGGTTCTAGTGCCACTGCTGGAGCGAGCCAGGCAACCTTCCTGGGCCTTGACCCTACAGCTTGCATGAGGGCCTATGGATGATAGTTGTCCAAGCTCTGTAAAGCTAGAAAAAGCTGCCTAGGGAGGAGCTCAGAGGAGACCAGCTTCCCAAGGTTTTCCAAAAGCCAGCAGGGAGAAGGCTCAGGTAAAGTGGACTTGTAGCACTGATTACATTCATTCATTCGCTCACTCAGGAATACATGTCACTTATTTAATAAATCTGTATCAGAGGCCTACTGCGTACCTGTTTTAGATGCTGGGGATTCAGCAGTAAACAGGACAGAGAAGGTGCATGCTTTCATGGATATTACCCTTCAGTAACAGAAACACAATTAACAAGAATATAAATAAACACGGTAATTTCAATTGGTGATAAATGCTAAGAAGAAAATAAAAGGGCGTGATGGGTTAAAGTGTGTGAGGTGGGGTGGTCAGGGAAGGCCCTCATGGGAGCTCATGGGAAGATTTGAGCCAAGACTTGAATGCAAGGAGGAGCCACCAGGCCAAAAACTAGGGGAGCTTTGTGTTCGTCAGCCCTCATTCTTGGTCTGTTTTTGACTCAGCAGAAGAAAATTTGTTTTACACTCAGGGGACAATTGCCAGGCTCTGCAGAGGATTTACAAATGGATGAGCATGTTCCTGCTCACACAATGCCTTCTATCTAGTGGGTGTGATCATGCACCATGCAAGGAACTATAGGGCAGGGCGGCTGGGGACGCGAAGGCATCTTGCTGAAAGCTCAGAGAAGGCACAGGCCCCTTCCTGCCTGGATGAGCAGGGAAGAGCTCCTGGAGAGCAGAGCGCCGGAAGGGAGTCCTCTGGCAGGAGCTGTGGGCTCTGTGAGCAGTGCCTGGGTCCCAGTGGTGCTCATTTATTCCGTCAGATGCTGATGCTGGGTGGGCACGTGTGTCCTATTAATTACCGGAGTGAACGGAGTTGTTTCTTGGAGAAATGCAGATGACACATATTGCCCCATCAGCAAAAGAACTATGGGCAGGGAGGAATGCGGAGTTGGAACCAGCTTTCTTTTAATAATTGGCAGCAGATGAGTGGCATGGATTTTTTTCCTTATTGTTGCTGCTGCCAAAGGAAATCACTGAGGTTTCCCCTCTTTTGTGCACTGCATGTCTCCTGGCTCCAGGTCACAGCCCCAACTGGGAACCCGAGCCCTGGATGGTACAGATCATGAGAAATGACAGATCCCCGATGCAGCTGCAGGGCCTTTCTGGGGAGAGCACACGCCACACAGGCCGGTCTGCCGTTGAAATGAGCGATTCTCTTTCATAATTCAATACAATTTGCTTAGCAAATAAAGATTAGCAGGGCCACCTTCTCCACATTTGCTCTCAGCTCTAAACTTCTCTTGACATGGGTCACAGCCAAGGGTTGCAGAGAACAACCAAGAAATACAGTGGCTTCCCATGCACCTTGGAAGCTGATTGGCTGATGACCTCAGAGGCTGGCACGGCACCCCACGGTGGAGACTCTTGGAGGGCAGACTCCAGGCTAGGCAATGCAGAGACAATGTCAGCTCTTCCCCTCAAGGAACGTAGAGTCTAGGAGAGAGAGACAGGCATAGTCATCAGGGCCTGAACAGGTAGGTGTTATCCTATACCTGTGTACGGGGCAGGAGGTGAGGGCGGGGAGGGAGAGGACAGTTCTATAAGGTGGACCTTGGGTGGAGCTTTTATCTCCTTCTTTATGCCCATACAATGCTTGGCACAGAACAGGCGTGGAATAGAATGAAGAATATGGGACAACGCAGTCTCTAAGTGCCACCAAGATACACCACAGCTGAAATGAATCAGAGCCATCTTCTAGTTCTTGAGGGGTGGGGAGATTAATACATAGTTTTCTCCTCGATTCCATGTTTTTCCCTTTAATATGTTCCTATAAACTTTGGTTTCTACAACTGCTTGACTACACTAAAGTCTAGGGAAAGATATGAATACTATGAAGCACTTACTATGTGGTGGACTCTGGGCTGGGTGTTCACAGACATTGGCCTCACTTAATCCCCCCACTTCCTCGACAGCCTTGCAAGTTATTCCCATTCCACAGATGAGGAGACTGAGAGGTGATATAGTCAAGGCCTCCCCGCTGCTGCGGGGTGGGGAGGGAGATTAATTTGAAAGAGTATACCTGCGTAAGATGACGTTCACCTTAGCCCAGCATTACCTATCTAGCTCTGCAGATTTGGTAAATGGGTTTTACAAAGATACCCCCCACCACCACCAGAGCCAGCCTCTTGTAGAATACAGGGTTACAGACCCTTCAACCAGCAATTGTTGAACATCATTTTTGCTTGCTCATTGGTGATCCCGTAAGGCTTAATGCTTAATCCTTTCCTGCCAAACTGGTCCTGGTTGTCACATGGACACCTGCCACCTAGCCAGGACAGGCTTGGGCAGTTGGCCTTTGGTTGGAGATGTGTTAAAGTGGGGCAGGTAATGCCCAGGTCAGGTGTGCCTTGGAAATTTCCAGAGCCCACCTCTCTGGCTGCTCACTTCAAGCTCTGATTGAAGGGGCAGCTGAGCCTGACACAGTTTTCTCAGCTCCCAGACTGTTTCTAAAACCGACATCTCCGAAGATTAAAGCTGGGCTTCCCCAGTCCTCATTGCCTGTGGGGCAACCTCAGGGCCAACCCTCTGGGTGAGCAGACTACCACCCCAGAGCCCAGACAGAGTGACTTTCACTCCAGTCTTTTCCTGATTGTCCTCCCCAGACTGCTGAGGTCATTTCCTTTGGGCTGGAGAAAAGGGAAAGAGGAGCCTAGGCCACGCCCTAATTAAACCAGTTTTCTTAGAGCGGTGGTCAGCAAGCTATGGTCCATGGGCCAAATCTATTCCATTGCCTGCTTTTATAAATAAAGTTTTATTGGAACACAGCCATCCCTATTCATTTCTGGATTGCCTGTGACTGCTTTCTCACTGTAACAGCAGAGTTGAGTAGTGGTGACAGGGACTGTCTTGCTCAAAAGACAGAAAATATTTATTATCTGGCCCTTTATAGAAAAACTTTGCCAATTTCTACTTTAGAACAGTAGCATTTTTCATCCCAGTGTTTTTCTATGGAAAATATTCAATGCCTTAAAGACAGGATGGCCAAACCTTTCCATCACCTAGGATGATACTATAATAATAGAAGCAGTAGCAGTCTGGGCTAAATGCTGACTCTGTGGCAGTTAAGAGCACAGGTTCTGGAGGCAGGATGGTCCTATCCCAGCATCACCATGGTCCCGACTGTGGGACCTTGGGCCAAGTAATATGACCTTCTTTACCTCAATCTCTCCTTTTATAAAATGGAGCTAACAGTACCTTCTTTACAGGGGTTCTGTCTGGGTTAGATAAGGTGTTACATGTAAAGCACTTAGACGGTGCCTTGACAAAGTATTCAGTCCATGCTGGTTTACTCATTTAATCCTCATGGCAAATTCCTATTCCTTGCTTCATGGCAGGTACGGGCACCTGCCCATCCAAACCCTTGGTAATTCAAATTCAGAAAGAGAAAAGCATCACATATAAAGTTTCGGATTAATCATTCACTGTGACGACTTCCTTCCTTCTTTCTGAGCTCAGGACCAAACAGACTTGGACGGTAAGGGATATTTGCCCTTGTGGTCTCTAAGTACTTTTTTGCAATTACTTTTAATGGCAAAACTGCAATTACTTTTGCACCATCCTACTGGATACCATTATCATTCCCATTTTGCAGATGCAGAAGCTGAGGCTGAGAGAGGGTAAGGAGCCATGAGATGCAGGACTCAGTCCAGACTGTCTGACCCAGGAGCACCCAGTGACCAAGCACACTGCCACTCCCTGGTGTCTCACCGCTGTGTCCCTGGCTTGTAGTAGGGGCCCATGTTTGATGAGTGAATTTGTGAGTGAGGGGCACCCAAGAGCAGGCAGACACTGTTTTTCACCCATACATTGTGCCTCATTACCACAGAGTTTGTTGTGCCTCATGCATTGTCACTAGGGTAGGGGACTTTGCACAGCTGGCTACCCACTCTCCCCCATGACCAGCACCCTCATTTCAGTATGACCTCCCCTGATTCAGTCACCTGAAGAACAGAGCAGCAGCAACCAGCCTCTTCCATTCTGGAACCCATGACAATGGCCTGATGGAAGAGGCTTGGACAGTGGGCCATGAAAGACAAGGGCCAGGTGGAAAGAGCACTGGCTTAGAATTGGGACCCCTGGGGTTGAATCCCAGCTCTGCCACTAACTTGCTTTGTGATTTCAGGCAAGTCACTTACTTTCTCTGGGCCTCAACTTTCTCATTTTTCAAATTAGGTACTAGATTTCACTAGATCAATGGTTTTTAATGCCAGGGGACATTTGGCAATGTCTGGAGATATTTTTGGTTGTCACAGTTGTGGAGAAAGAGCACGATTGGTATGTGGTGGGTCGTAGCCAGGGTTGCTGCTAGACATCCTACAGCGTGCAGGACAGCCCACACAAGGGTTATCCCACTTCAAATGTCAGTAGTGCCACTACAGAGAAACCCTGTATCTATATCCAGCTCCAAATTCCCATTCTTCATTTGCTCATAAAACATTTATATATCAGGTACCTACTATGCACCAGGCAGTGCACAGGACAGGATCCCTGCCCTATTGGGGCTCACAGCTTATAAGGAATAATGATAATAAGAGTTAATATGGGCTGACTGCTAACTATATATTAATACCAGGGGTTTTTATTTTTCCATGAACTAGCTTACTTGATCCTCAACAACCCTTAAAAACTATTATTACTCCCATTTTACTGATGAGAAAACTGAGGCTCAGCAAAGTGAAGCATTTGGCTTCAGGCCACACAGCTAGTAAGTGGTGGCATCGTCATTTTTACTCCAGAACCCATGCTCCTAACTGCCCTGAAGCGAGGCGTTAAGTCCTTGCCAGCAACACCAGAGGAAAGGAGCTTGGAATGCTTAGCCCTGCTGTCTCTTTATCATGCAAACCATTTAGCGAACTGGAAAAGGGCCTCATGACTATAAACCAGCCAGTAATGACCTGACAGGCAAAGGGGGCTGGAGAAGTGTTAGGGCCACAGAGACATTAATCTGCTTCCAGCCACTGCTGCTAGCAAGACATTTGTTAGCGTGCTTATGGGAGCCATAAAAGGCTATTTGATGTCATTCCTCCCTACAGTGGGAGCCTCAGTGAGCAGAAAAGGAGCTTCCCAGGGCTCAGGTGTTGTAGGTCTGGTTGGCCAAAGGCAAAGGGTCCCACCTGCCACAGGTAGGATGCTGCCGGGAAAGAACGTGGGGCTGCAGCAGGAGAGCTGGATTCTGGTCCATTTTATGATCCAAAAACAGCTTTAAGGCCTCCAGCAAGTCCTGTAATTGCTGTGGGCCTCATTTTCTCCATCTGTAAAGTGGAAACAGTAATGTTGATTTTTCAGGGCTGTCCTGAGGCTCTAATAAGGTGACAGATGTAGACAGTGGATAGGAATGCATTTTACTGAGGTACTAGGCATCATTACTGTTGGTGACCACCGTGTGGGTAATAATAACTGCAGTAGTAACGTACAGGGATTTAGTCAAACATTAGGCCCGAGACTGGATCTGAGGTGTCATCAAACATTAGACCTGGGCAAAGCTTCATAAATCCATCTAGTTCATTGTGTAAGTAATAGCTTTCATTCATCCTGCACTTGTGATGCACCAGACACCGTTCTAAGCACTTTATCTGTATTAACTCATTGAATCCTCATATCAAACCTATGAGTTAGGGATGAATATGATCCCCATTTTACAGATGAGAAAACCGAAGCCCAGAGAGATAGCAAGGTGGTGCAGCTGGGCGCAGGCAGATTAGCTCCCCCTGTGACCACGCTCCACCCTCACACGGAGGAGAACTGGAATCAATTGTGGGTGACAGGCAGATGGTGCCTCTCCTTTCTGGGGGTCTCTCTCTCTCCTGATTGCTGGGGCCACAGAGCATCATCTGACCCCACCCTCCCTGCAGCAAAATGGAAACACAATGGTTTGTTTTTGTGGGGCTTGATTTTTGGGATGACTCCAAGCCTCAGCCCGGTGGGCTGATCAGGGAGGTGCATTAAGGAGGCAGGCTCAGCCCTCTGGCTGGCATCCAGAGACCTCCCAGCCCCCCTAGGGGTGTGGCAAGGAGATGGCAGGGACTCGCAGCCGTGGAGCTTGGTGTGACCACAGTGCAGCAGGTGCATTTCAGACAGACCTGTAGTGAGCAGGGTCTCCACTTGGACGCAGGCCACTTGGACCCAGGGCGGGCAGCCAGGGAGGACAGCTTGGTGCTCGGTTATAATGTGGTCTTCCAGGTTTTGCACAACATGCTGATGTTTGTTGTTTTTAAAATTATCATTGAAATAGCCACATAAAAATTTTAAATTCCTATAGATTCCCCCTGGGCTTCCAGCAATTCTAGAGAAACACTGCCTTAGATGGATCCCAGCATGCCAACAGTGGGGAGGTGGTGGGGAGGGAGGTCAGCAACCAACTGGGGGGCTCTGGTGTTTGTGCTGGGACCCTAAGAGCCATGCTCCCCTGACCCTGAGCCCCTGGCGTCTCTCGGCCTCCTCTTGCCTACCCTGCTGCTGCCCTCAGGGAAATGTCCTGGCACCCTGCTCATGATCTTGTTCCTGAGCTGGCAGAAGCTTCACGTGTCAGGCTTCCTCTTCCGGCATTTGGGAAGTTCTTAGGGAGGCCAAACCCACAGAGCTATCCAATGCCTTTCCTTCAAATTTGCTGTCCATTTGGGTCCCTGTTCAGAGCCATATGAACTGGGAGATGGATGAAATGGCTTTTTCAGGTCTCAAATCCTGTTAACTTGGGGTGCCTCTGCAAGAACACAAGGACAAACTGTCCTCCCACCACCAAGGCACAGCCCTCACCCCAGGCCCCAGCCCCTCTGTGCCAGGAGACCTGGGTGGACACTGTCCAAGTTCCCTGGAAGGTGAGGGAAACCCCACTGCTCCCCCACTTCGCCGGGCCCTCCTTAAATACCCTCCACAGTGGAAAGTCAGGGGAGATCTTGATGTTTGCCAAGTGGAAAAGACAGGAAAATCAATAGGGGGAAAAAATCTCATTTTCAAGCCTCTAAGCAGGTATTGCAATCAATAATGCAAAGAGCCGCAGGAGGCCATTAAGCCACACTCGGCAGTGTCCTCTTGGACGCAGGAAATGTTTGCTGAGCAATGGGACTTCAAGGGCACCTCAGTACCCACCCCCACCTGCCCAAGGACCACGGCTGTGGGCTGTGTCTTTTAAGGGAGCTGGTCTGAGTCTCCACAAGGGAAACGCTACTTGGAAGTGAGTTAGCCCATCCCCCAACCAGTGCGGACCCCAGTGCAGTGGACCCTCAGATCCAGACATGCAGAGCAAAGGACACAAAAGTGCAGGGGGTGGCATCCCATCTAACTTGGCCACAGGAGGTTTACCAGGAGTTGACACTTGCCATTTTCCCCTTTGTTTTTTATTTGCTCCTGGAGATAAACTGGATCTTTTTTTTTTTTTTCACCATCATAGAATAAATAGACTCCTGGTTTATGTTCCATCATTTCCTAGCTTATTGTGTATGCTGCAAAGTTTCATTTTTCCATCCTATTTCTGATAACTGCCAAAGAATATTAGGTGCTCTGGTGGGATGTTAGGGACGTGTGCTCTGACAATGGGTGCATCCCCCTCCTGCCCCACCCGTGGCAGCATTTGCTTCCCCTCTTGCCTCTGAGCTGTGACTGTGCTTTTAAAACCTGCTGGGTCTCTATGGACACAAGGGCCAGTGAATCAGGGCTTATTGGCATGGCACTGCATGGACCAGGAGGAAGAGGGCTTAGAAGGAGACCTGGTGCCTTCCAGACACTCCCAGGTTGGGGTGGGAGCTCCAGGCTCTGACTCACAGTGCTCCCAGCCTGATGGAGGAATCTAGACCCTGTCTATAAGATGATGGAACAATAGCACTTAAAAAACCATATAAAAATCATCTCACAAGGCCGGGAGTGGTGGCTCATGCCTGTAATCCCAGCACTTTGAGAGGCCAAGGCTGGTGGATCACCTGAGGTTGGGAGGTCAAGACCAGCCTGACCAACATGGAGAAACCCAGTCTCTACTAAAAAAAAAGAAAAAAAATACAAAATTAGCCGGGATGGTGGTACATGCCTGTAATCCTAGCTACTTGGGAGGCTGAGGCAGGAAAATCGCTTGAATCCGGGAGTTGGCGGCTGCAGTGAGCTGAGATCACACCATTGCACTCCAGCCTGGGCAACAAGAGTGAAACTCCATCTCAAAAAGAGAAGAAAAAATCATCTCACAAACCCCTACCCTTCCAAGAGATGGCCCTAATTCATTAATTGTCCTGAAATTCTGTTGTAGTGAGTATTACCTGGGGAAAATGTGTTATTTAATGGGATTTGAAGTTGTTTGATACAGCGTTTTCTTTCCTTCTTTTTTTCAAACAGAGTCTTGCTCTGTTGCCCAGGCTGGAGTGCAGTGGTGCAATCTCGGCTCACTGTAACCTCCACCTCCTGGGTTCAAGTGATTCTCCTGCCTCAGCCTACAGAGTAACTGGGATTACACACGTGCGCCACCACACCCAGCTCATTTTCTGTGTTTTTAGTAGAGATGGGGTTTTGCCATGTTGGCCAATCTGATCTCGAACTCCTGACCTCAAGTGATCTGCCTTCCTTAGCCTCCAAGTGCTGGGATTACAGGTGTGAGCCACTGCGCCCAGCCAGTATTTTGTTTTGTTGCTATGGCGTTTCATCAACGTGCTAGGTGGCAGGTGTGGTGATAGGTTCTGAACATGGGCTTTGGAGTTAGACAGACTGGGTTCACATCCCACCTGCAGAGTTGACAGTTTCTGTGCAACCTTGAACCTATAATGTGACTTTTCTGAGATTGTTTCCTCATTAGAAAAAAGTAAGGATAGTCATACCCAATCACAAGCTTCACTTAAGAAGTACATGCTCCCAGCAATGTCTGACAAAGAGTGGGTTCTTAACAAATATTTGTTTTCTTCCCTTTATCCCTTTCCTCCACAGATTTTAATCTGACTGATGCAAATTTAATGGAGAACTCCCAAGTGTAGAGAGCTTGCAGGCTAAGAAATACTCCAAATTTCGGGGGTTAATCAAGAAAGGCTCCCTGAAAATAGTTTGGGGTCTGTCTCTCCTAAGCCCCACTTGGGGCCCTTGTACCCAGGCAGAAAGACTTACAATGAAGACTTGTGGGGAGAGGCCGTGCACACACTCAGTAGGTGCTCCTGCAGCATGGTTTGGGGCTGGAACTATGGCCTGGAATTTCTGCTGCCCAAGAATGAAGGCCAGGCTGTATCACTTCCCCAGGCTTTCCAGGCCACCCCAGGGGCCCATCAGAAATGGAGCTAGGGCTGATTAGTTGGGAGGGACCCCTGGCAAGTTCTCTCATTGCTCACCAAGACTAGTGTAACTGCCTCTCATCTGGGCTCCCTGCATCTGACCTTGCCCCATCCATCTCATTCTCTACCCAGCAACCAGTGTGAACTCTAAAACATGAGTCAGATCACATCCCTCTTCTGCTCAAAAGCCTCCAGGGGCCACTTAGAAATGATATTTAAAGCTTCAAGCCTGTCCTGGAGTGTTTTCAAATAAAAGTATCAATTTGTCTAGGTGCAAAGCCATTTGTTTGAAATTATGTAACTTGTTAGCATTTGAATAAAAGAGAAATTTCACAGCAGTGAAAATATGCCTTTTTAACACTCTATGGTTCAGTGACATCTTAGCTCCTCAGAATACACATACCTGACCTAGATGTTTTTGTAGATCGTATTTTTAAAACTCACATCTGAAAACACTCTTTTCCATAATTTAAAGGGATGGTTTAACAAAAATGTCTATCACTTTCACAAATAAAAACAATCTTCCATGTCACTCAATCATGCCACTCAACCTCATCTCCTATAATTGCTCCCTTGCACACCTGCTCCAGCTATGCTGACCTCCATAGGGTTCCTT
This sequence comes from Homo sapiens, assembly GCF_000001405.40. NCBI lineage: Eukaryota > Metazoa > Chordata > Mammalia > Primates > Hominidae > Homo > Homo sapiens. The sequence goes on along the minus strand of NW_003315944.2, from coordinate 154,646 downwards.
TCCTGCCTTAGGGCCTTTGGCACTGGCTGTGTCTTCTACCTGCAATTATTGTCTTCCCCCAAATATCTACAAAGCTCACTATGTCACCTTATTAGCTTTCTATTGCTGTAGAAAGAACTCCCACATATTTAGTAGCATAAAATACCCACATTTATTATCTCATAATTTCTGTGGGTCAGGAGTTTGGGCACAGCTTAACTGGCTCCTCTGCTCAGTGTCTCACAAGGTTACAACCAAGGTGTCGGTGGGCTGCAGTCTCATCAGAGGATTGACTGGGGAAGATCTGTTTCCAAGGTCCCTCTGGTTGTTGGCAGAATTTATCTCACTGTAGCCATAAGACTGGGGCCCCATCCTCCTGCAGGCTGTCAGTCAGGAGCTACACTCAACTCCTAGAGGCTGCCCACAGTTCTCTGCCATGTGGCCATCTCCACTGGCCTTTTACAACGTGGCAACTTCTAGCTAGTAAGGGACAAAAGTCTTTCTAGTGCATGCTAGCAAAATAAAGCTTTCCTCATATCCTAACATGGGACAGCCCATCATCTTTGCCATATTCTATTAGTTAGAAACAAGTTATAAGTTCAGCCCATACTCAAGATGGGAGGGGACAAACATGGGGGCCACCCTAGCCTGTGGGCCTTTGCTTGCTGCTCTCTGTGCCTGGAAAGAGCTTCCTCCTGCTCTTTGCAGAGGTGACATTTGATTGCTCATATATCAGATGTCACCTTCCCAGAGAGGCCTTCCCAGATCACCTGACCAAAAAGAGGCTGCAAGCCAGCTCAGTGGCTCACACCTGTAATCCCAGCACTTTTGGGAGGCCAAGGCAGGAGCATCACTTGAGCCTAGAAGTTCAAGACCAGCCTGGGCAAGACTGTCTCTACAAAAAAATTTTAAATTAGCCAAGTGTGGTGGTGTGCACCTATAGTACCAGCTACTTAAGCTGAAGCAGGAGGATCACTTGAGCCCAGGAGTTTGATTATCAACCTGGGCCACATAGGGAGACCCTGTTTCTACAAAACAATTAAAAAATTAGCTGGGTGTGCTGGTGCATGCCCATAGTCCCAGTTACTTGGGAGGCCAAAGCGGGAGGATTTTTTGAGCCCAGAAATTTGAGGCCACAGTGAGCTATGATTGTACCACTGCACCCCAGCCTGGGTGACAGAGCAAGACCCTGCCTCAAAAAAAAAAAAGGCTCAAAAAAAGAGGTTCTAGCACCCCCTACCCTAGGCACTGTGCCCCTAATCACCAGCCAGACGTTGATGACAATCTGTGATCATCTTATTGAGTAGGTCATGAGTTTGCCTTCTGTCTCTGCTGTAGCTGTCAGCCAGCTGTGGGGCCTCCTCTTGCCTCCTCCAGCATCTCCCCATGCCTGGAGCCATGCCCCACACTCAAGAGAAATGGAAGTGAACAAGTAAAGGAGGCTAAGTCTGACGTGTGGGGGTCAAGCCTTTCCAGCCCCATGTTAGGAGAAGGGGACAGTGAGGTGGGAAAACTGCCCTGGCCAGAATGCCTGGGACGGCCTGCAGTAACTCCCTGGACTGCCTGCACTCCCTGGGCCTCAGCCCCTGCTCTGTGAAGTCAGGGTGGGGCAGCTCCACTCTCCCTGGTCCTCTGATCAGAGTCGGGACTTACCCCTTGGCCCTGATCCAAAAGGTCCCCAGGTTTTGAGGTGACAGCCTTCAGTCACCACGTTTCAGTGAGGCGCCTGGGAGTCACATTGTTTTAATCCTTCCTGAGGCCCAGGTCTCTGTAACCAGCTCCTCCTCCTAACTGGGCTCCCCATCTTCACTGCTACCCTGGCCCTAGCTGGGGAATCCCTGCCCCTCCAGTCCCCATTCCAGCCCTAGGCGTCCTCAGGAGGGCTAGGAGCCAACGCCATGGGTCCTGGGCACAGCAGGTGGGTTTGCCCAGACTGCTTCAAGCCACAGAGGCTAGGCCTCATGAGGGTCTCTGTTTCCGTCCCTTTAGACTGTCATATCCTCACATCTGTTGTCAGTTTTCCTCTCATATTCCTAGATCTCTGTCCACAATCAGTTCAACTGCACAGATCTTTCCTGCTCACTTAGTGCTGTAGGTGCTGCGAGGACACGGGATGAACAGATGTGGTCTCTCCTCAGGAGCTCACAGTCTAGAGAGAGGGACAGACACACCAGGTTAACCAACATCCAAGGCTGAAGCCATGGCGGGGGGGCCAAGTGCCTTGGGGGGTCCCAGAGGACAGAGGGTCATTTGCCTGGAGGGTACACTTCACAGAGGATGTGGCCTTTGACATGGATGAAGGAGGAAGACAGTTCCAACAGGTACTGCAGAGAGGAGAAGGCTACATCCCTCGGAGGCTTCTGCGCAAAGGCGTGGAGGCTGGATGGAGCGTGCAGTGTCATTCAATGGTGGGCAGCAGCTTAGAGCAGCAGTAGCTGGGTACTGAGCTAGTTCTGCAAGGGGAGAGACTGTGTTTGGCTTGGGGGTCTCAAGGGCATGGAAAGGAGTTTGGGATTTTATTGGATTTGGATTTTCTGACCTGAGGCTTTGGTGCTTGCTCCATCTCTTCCTTCTGCCACCACTTCTGGGGCAGCTTTTGCCGTGTCTCTGTCTCTCTGTCCTCCACCTCCCTGCCTTCTCTTTCCCCCTCCATCCCCATCCCTCTGACTCCTTAGCCGTCAACCCCACTCCCCTTTCACAGTATCTCCGGTCCCGGGCCCCATCTCCTAGTCACTCATCTCTTTGTTGCCCCATCCTTCATCCCTCTGCTGTCCATCCCTCTGTCTCTCTTGTCCCTTGGTTCCCCGCCTGCCCCCATCCCACAATCCTAATGCTCCCCCACCCACTGCCTGACCTGTCCCTTCCCAGGTTCCCCCTCAGACACTTCCCTGTCCTTCTGTGCTGCCCAACCTTCCCAGGAACCCTGGCCAAGGAGGTGTGGTTGTTTTTCGAGCAAGATAGCAGATTTGCCTTAGTTTCCAGCTTGTTTGTTTTACTATAATTAGGTAAATAAATCAGCATGTTAGCTCCCTGCCTGGGAGCCGGGCTTCTTCTAGAAGGAGCAGTTCTACCGTAGGTAGAGTGGGCAGGGGAGTCCCTGGGGTTCTGGGACGTTCTGGTCCTCTTCTGGCCCTGACAAATGGGGATCACTGGATCTCTCCCTCTGCTCACCCTCTCCACTCCTCAGCCAGCACAGTTCATATTTCTCTGAATTTAAGAACCTGGGGCAACTGGTTGGCTAGCGCTGTGGGGGGTCTCTGGGACTGGGCAGGGGCGGGAGGGCTGGGAGTTTTGCTGAGTCAAAAGCACATGGGTAATGAGGGCTGCAGGTGTTGCTCATTAAGCCACACACCCCACTTTTCCTGACATCCCCACTTGGACTGTGGGGCAAATATGGCAGCCGATGAGCCCCTGTTCCTCTGCCTAGGACCATTAAAACCCAATTAGCCGAATGAGGACCTGCTGAGCAGGGCGCCTTTCCTCTTCTGCAGGAATGCTATGGGCTGGGAGAAGGGGTAGCGGGGCTCTAATGAGCCTGGCAGGACTGAGCCAGAGAAAGTGCAACAAAGACTTAGGTTAGAGCTAGTGGAGAACTTCCTCGTGGTGAGGATGGCGCGGGGGAGGGAACAGCTCTGGGCTGGGTTCTCCCCGGCTGTGCCACTAAGCCACACCCTCCCATTGGTCCTCCATGTGAGTTAAGGTTAGAGCAATGGTTTCTAAATGGAGCCAAATCTGGAGCAGGCTCCTCCAGGGTAACTAGGGGGGATGTTCCAAATATTCAACAGTCACTGGGGTTTGATGACGGGGCCCTGACCTACTCACCCCCAGACTCCTAGCAGGGGAAGGATCAACCCTTTAATTGCCGAGTGGTTGGGAGTCCTGGATGGGGAGGTCCCAGTGAAGGGGCTGAGGTGGTCTGGGGTAATGGGGAGACTCAGGGCACTACAGGGCTTGGGGAAATGGTTCTTTATCAGCTAATATGGAGATATTTCAGGATTTTCATGACTGGGACAGACATCTCAAAGTGTATCAGCTAAATAACAGCATTGCATGTCATCAAAGGAGGCATCACCACCTCCTCCTCCTCCTTCCTGGTAGGGAGCAGGATGCACTGGAATAGGGCCACCCCGAAGAGGGAGGATAGCATGAAGTGACCCCTGATGCCTCCCTACAGAGAGAGAATGACTGAGGCACCCAGAGGCAACTTTATCCCTTCCTCAGAGCCTCTAGACCTGTGGAGGGGGAATCTGGGGGAAGTACATAACTGGGATGCCTCAGCCCTGAAACCTGTTCCCCAGATCTGTCTCTGCCTGACTGTATTGGGGTGCTCCGGGGCCCAGCCCAAAGCTGTCTCTCAACCCCTTGGAGAGATGTTATTAACAGCTCCTGAAACTGCCTCCTCAGCTCCTGGCTTGTCTTAGCCTAAGTAGGCCTTTTGGATTTATTAGTTCTGGGGGTGGAAAGAAAACAGCTTCTTGAAGAAGTGTGTTAGTGCCGCATTTCAAACTTCCAGGCTTGATGGAAATGGTAGTTAAAACATTTTAAGGCTCTTAGGTAAAGTTGCATTTGCCTTCCGCACAGCCTGTATTCTGATATTATCCATTTACTGCCGTTGCCCTGTTATATGGCTGAGAGGTGGTGCTTTATCAAGAGCTGTCAGCCCATCTTGCAGGGATATGGCCCCGGCTTCCATCTGTGAGCCCATCTCATTGAAACCACCAAGAATAAAAAACATCAGAGAACAATTGTGCATTTTAATTAAGCCTCAGTGTGCACCCTATTGTGGAGATGCTAATATTAAAGAATTCTTTTCACTTTGCAGGAAGCTGGAATATTTGTTCCCCATGTCATTTCTAAATTCTTTTTGTGTGGCAATTAATAGTTAACTCCTGGGAAATAAAGCTACTGCTTGATTTCATCTTTATGGCCTGGCATTAAAATAACTGTTCCTGATAAACTATTACAATAAAGTATTGAGAAGACCCTGCTGAAAGGGGGTTTTCGTTCAGGTATTAATTCTACTTAAGAGCTGGGCCCTGAACAGATCTTTTGAATCCTAGTTTGTTTCCTTTTTTATGATGAAATGTCAGTGAGCCTAAACATAATCATAATAATAGGAGAATAAGTGTGTATTTAAAGGGTAGGGGACCTGGTCCACCTTTCCACCCCTCCTATAAAGGTATTTCCAGTTAGTATGATGACCCTAATTAGGTGCCTATAACAGCCTTCATCTGCTTGCATCACTTTTAGCCAGAACATGTCCTTGACGTAATAGAAAAGGTGAAATCAGCACATTTGTAGTCATTGTAGCAGCCCAGCTCTACCTGATATCAACAATATTTAACTGGGAGACCTAATTTGAGTTTACAAGTGATTACAAGGTATCCTACGGGATGCTGCTTACCAATGCATTCTCAAGGAAGTTGCAAAACAGTGACGAATTAACTTGTTACACTGTCAAAATCAATTACTACAAAAGACAGCTTAACTTCTTCAGCCCTGATCTTAGGGTCTCTGAGCCAGCACCACTGCCCTCTGCCCTTCAAGCGCTGCTCAGGGGAATCTTCCCAGCCCAAGCTGCCTGCCACCAGCCAACCTCCCCGACGCCCTACCCTCGTTTTGCTTCACCGAAAGCCTCCAGTTTGAATTTTGGAATGTGAATTCTCAGGAGCAGGGAGTTGGGGGAATGGGAAGGGAGAGTCAGCCTGACACATCCTCCCCACCACCCCCTGAAATGATGTTCTCTCCCATGAAGGCTGGGGGAGATTGATTCCTGCTGTGGTTTTAAGTAAGATAAACATCTGAAGGGCCCAAAATCTTTATTTTGCAGCATTGAATGGAAGGGGCAATTTATAAATGCTCCTTTAATATTTCTGAAACAGATTGGCCAGTAATTTATAGACTGCAACATTGAGGACTGAATTAATTTTCCCAGTGAGAAAAGTCCACATGCAGCTTGGCGAAAGCTGCTCCTGGCATCCCTAAGCAAAATCAGAGAATGACAGGGTGAAGGGGGACCTTGGAGGTGATGAATCCGACGCTGTCAGTTTCCCAGTGGGGGAAACTGAGGCCCAAGGTCACACAGCAAGTTCCTGGCTGAGTCAAGTCTTGAGCTCCAGCCTCCTAAGGGCTAGACCAGTTCTTCACTCTATCCCCTTCTGGGTAGGTGAGGTCTCATTGTTGAGCTTACCTTTCTATGTTATTGGTGCTTATAGCCTCATACCACTGAGAGGGCCCTGCATTCTTCTCTGGCTTTTGTTTCCTTTCTTCTCAAAAGACGAAGATGTCCTTGCCTGAATTACGAGTTGTAGGCCCAATGCTGAAGATCGGGGGCAGGCTAAGGTTCTTGCTTGCATGACTGTCCACATGTCGGGCTCATGTGGGTAGGGAATCAATAGCTATTAAGTACCTACTATATCAGGTGCAGGGCTGAGCACTATATCTACATTATCTTGTTTATAATCCTCACAACAATGCTGACTGGGGCTCCTATTTTGATCTCCTGTTTTACAAGGGTAAAATGAGGCTCAGAAGGTTAAGTCCTGCTCCTTTTTACCACCCCACACCCTGCCCCCTCTACAGCCCCTCCCTCTTCTCTCCAGGCCCAGAACAGCAAGAAATCAAATGGGTCAGATGCTTCCAGTGATTGGAAGGATTGGGTAAGGCATTAACTAGACCAGCACTTCTCCCACTGGAATGCACCCATCAGTCACCTGGGAGCCTCGTTAAAGTACAGATTCCCAATAGTAGCTGGGGAAGGGGGTGAAATGTGGAGCCTGACACTCTGCATTTCTAACACGCTCACATATGGTGCTGCTGCTGCTGGTTTAGGACCATATTTCAATTACTAAGGGCCTGGATCACCCTACCAGAGCCATTTGCCTCCATGCTTTCCCGAAGCCTTCCATCCAGTGTCATACTAATGGTCAGAAAGCCCATTCTCCTGACTCTGGAATTCGGGGCTTCTTTTTTATCCTGGCCAGTCTCTACGAGAGAGATGGAAACCACCACCACCCCTCAACTGCAGAGCCTCCCGAATCATGTTGAGGTTGTTCTGTATGTAAAACCTAAGCAGTGCGGCCGCGTGAGGCTTCCCACCATTGTGATTTAATAACTAGTAACTGAACAACAAGTTGGTCCCTTCCATTTACTTGGTTCTTGAATCACAGAGCTTGTGTCACAGGCAAGATCTTTACGTGAAAACTGTGTTGAGTCCCGAATGTTACCAAACATTATAAATAGCAGCTGGTTTGTTTTCCAAATGCTCTATGCTCTGAAATGAGAAAAGAAATACATAGAACCAAAGAGGCTGTTTCTGTCCCCCCGATTCTGACACACCAGCACAAACACACGCTACCGAACGAGGCACCCTCGTGCAATTATGTTGTGGATCACGTCTGAATATCTCCTTGTACATGACATTTACGAAGAAAAACACTTGCAAATTAAATGTTTGATTAAATTACATCTTTTACAGTGTAAAATGGGTGAGCATAATTGAAAGCTGCATTAGCTAAAGAACACGAACTTTATATGAGCTTTATCCTGGGCCTACGAATCTCGATAGTTTTACTGAATCCTTAGTGCCAATGGCCCAGAGTATTTATGCATTACATCTCGTAAAATAATCTAAAGGTTCAGTAGTGTGCAGCCTTATCAGAGCTAAACCGGTACAGTTTGACCACGAATCTTGTCTAAGGGCAGTGAGCACTTGCCGGTGGAATTGTGGGTGTATTTTATCAAGAGCTAACTTGGTTAGTCTTTCTTGTGTGGTTCAATACAGGAGGGATGGCTACCCAGTCACCCAGATTCTAAGTCTGTACTCACTTTTCCAGATTCCATGTCTACACCAATAATAGCATCTAATTTACTGCCGGCTTCTAGAGAATAGCCTCTTTTATAATCTTGAGATGTAGACATATACTTTCTGGACTATTCCCTTCTTCCCTTTTGTATTTCATCCTTTTCTCTTCTCTTTACTATCCCTCCCTCTCTTTCCTTCGTTTCCACCTTTAATCTTCCCTTTACCACCCTCATAACCCTGCCTTTTCCTCAAGTTTGAGGACTGCATCAAATTTCCCAAGGTAGTTCCCTATTTAAGAGCACCTCTCAATGACTGTGTGTTTAAAATGAAGACTTTATATAGTAGAGTAAGGCCCTAATTCCATTATCTGGCCTTTCTTGTGATACTTTTAAAAGAATACCTCTGCAGCCCAAGTGTTCAACATGTGTGCTCACTCCATTTTCCAGGCCGCTCACTCTGCCCAGGCCAATGGAGGAAATCTTCATCCAGACACCCCTGGAGGTGATTTTTAAAGACCGAGTTAGAGTTTGCCAAGTGAAGAAGCCAGAGTGGGGAAGGGACATTCTAGGCAGTGGGAGCAGCACATTCAAAGGCCAGGAGTTGGGAAAGGGCCCAGGTAGTCTGGGAATGTTGGAGAGTCTGTGGGGGCAGGTGGAGATGAGGGGCTGGAGTTGACTCTGGAGGGACCTGTTAGGATCAGGCTGTGAGAGGCCCTCATGGAGGAGCCTGCAGAGAATTTTAAACCAAGAGGGGACCTGATCGCTTTTGTGTTTCACATGGTTGGCTAGAGTACAGGGTGGACTGCCAGCCAGTGGAGAGCAGCTGGCTAGGAGCTGCTGCATCAACGCAACCAGGCAGGCACTTAGGAGACAGGGGCTGGGCCAGGCAGCCCTGCCAGGAAGGCTTCAGGGAACTGAGCAGAGCTGGGAACTGGGGACCCAAGAGGGCAAGGATGCCAGCCAGGAGGGGAGAACTGGCAAAAGAAAGGCTAAGGCCTCCAGTGGAGATCAAAGGGGTCAGGGAGGCCGGGCATGGTGGCTCAAATCTATAATCCCAGCACTTTGGGAGGCTGAGCTGGGCAGATTGCTTGAGCTCAGGAGTTCAAGACCAACAGCCTGGGCAACATGGCAAAACCCTGACTCTACAAAAATTAGCCAGGCATGGTGGTGCATGCCTGTAGTCCCAGCTATTTGGGAGGCTAAGGTAGGAGGATCACCTGAGCCCAGGGAGGTTGAGGCTGCAGTGAACCATGATCACACCACTGCACTCCAGCCTGAGCAACAGAGTGAGACCTTGTCTCAAAAAAAAAAAAAAAAAAAAAAAAAAAAAATTGGTGCCAGGGGAGGGGGAGCTGAGTCCTGGCCCTGGCTGGGAATGGAGAGGATTAGTGTTAGGTTTCAAGGGTTCCCAGAGTGTCTGGGCCATGTCTCCATGAGCAGGGGTCTGGGCCCTGAGGGTGGCAACTAAAACATCACAGAAGGCAGGATGGCTGCTGATTACCAGCAATGTAAGGGAGATTGGGAAAACTGCTGTTGGGTTGGGGAACTAAATAATGATAATGATAATAATGATAACCCCATTCCCCTATGTATACTACATTTCAAAATTATCTGAGCCACTTGACCCTGCCATGTTGTTACTAACAGCATGAGAAATCTAAAGCAGGTTAATTGAACTAAAGTCACAATCAATGAAGATGTAATATTTAAGTCCCCATCTCCTCGTCTAGTGTTTTTAACAGGCAAGGATGTTAGTACTCCTTCGCATACTTATATCTGGCTCTATGCTAAGCATTGTGGAAAACACAAAGGATATGAAAAATCATTGCCTTAAGGAAGCTCAATGAGAAGGCAAAGTTAATCCAGTGAAAGTAGTGAACAATTACAAGGAAGTATCCATTTATTATCCATACATTCACTGGCCCACCCACCCATTCACCCACCAACCTACCCATCCACCCTGCCACTCATGCATCCATCCATCTATCCATCCATGTACCTGTCCACTTGTCCATTCATCTGCCCATCAACCCATGCATCCATCCATTTGGCATTTACCATAGTCATTATAAACTGGGTCATCAAGATCCTAAGTTGATTCTTCCCACTCTGGCTGCATATTAGAAGCACCTGGGCATTAAAAATACTGATGCCCAATTCGCCAGAGATTCTAATTTCTTTGGTCAAGGGTGGGGCTAAGCTTTGGTATTTTTTAAAAGCTCCCTGGGAATTTCAATACGTAGCCAGAGTTGAGAACCTTCTAACATGGTTTAGTTGTTCAAAGATGGGAGGGCCTCAGAAGGTTCCTAGAAGCCCCCTAGTGCAGCCTCACAGCCACTGAGGGGAGGCCTGGATGATGGTAGTTTCGGGAGTTGGCCCATTATCATCTTTCTCTCGGCTTAGAGTAGCTTCTCCTAGCCCTCTCTGCTAGCAGTTGGGGAAAGCATCGAGAAGGAGGCATGATTTGATCTGGGCTTTGAAGAACAGGCAGGCCTGGAATAGACAGGGGAAAAGTCGTTTCAAGTTGAAATGGAGTCACAGCGCAGCCCAGGATGTGGATCAGGATTGAGGCTGGTGAATTTGGAGACAAGAACCTCTATGTGCTTTTGAGAGCTCTTTCAAGTCATAAAACAAACAGACCTCTTCCCAAACACCCAGGCATCCCTTCTGTGGAGCTCCTTGACTGTGGCCCATACCAGAGTAACAGGGGAAGTAACAAGGACGGCTGGGCCATCATCTCACCATCATCATTTACCATCCATCCTGCTGTTCTCTGAAAGCAAACACCTTGCCCCCCACCCCCAGCACAGCCCCACCTGGAGAGCAATGAGGAGTGATGAGCCCGTTGCAGGGAGGAAGTTTAAACAATTACTTTGCTCTGATTAAGAAGGCTAATGCCTCTCTTTGAGGAGCAGCGTTAATGGGAAAGTGGGGATGATGGATGCTCACCCCTACCCACATAAATCTCACCTGTGCGCCTCTGTTGCCTCCTCATGATGCATGTATGAGATAAATTCTCCAAATCTATTTTTGTGCCGTTGCCAGCAGCCTGCTGATGGAGTAAATAAGAGTTATGGCCGCCATAATGGCATCACTTAGGAGGGGCTGAAAAAACAGCAAACATGTCTACACTGTTCTTATAAATCTATTATAAATGTGGGCTCAAGTTCCCAAGGAAGTTCCACGAAACTGCACAGCACTCGCTTTCTCTGGAGTCTAAATGAGCACCTGAACGAACAGGTGCCAGAGATGCCGAAATCGACCAGTGAGCCCTTCCCAGTCATTTCCTCCCTCCCTCCCCTCTGAGTTCTAAGCCCTGGTCAGCTGTGAGAGCAGAAGCTACACAGAGCCAAGGAGCCACCGAGCATGCCCCAAGGCTCCAGCCCCTGCAGATGGGATGGCTGCCACCAGCACCTTCATTTAACAACTCTGGGGCATGGCAAATCTGAAGTGGCTGGGCGGAATGCTCTCATCTGGTGGAATGGGCAGGGGGAAGCCTTTGAGAGAGAGCTGACTTGGGATAAGCCAACTCTTGTCTTCCCTCTGTGCTTTTTCTTCCCTGGATGGAGTTGAGACAGACTTCTCTGTTGGAAAAGGGGGTGTTTGACCTGGTAGGTCTGGGGTGGACCAGGTCTCAGAGTCTACTTCCTGAAAGTCTTGGCTTTTTTCCTGCTTCCCATCCCAGCCTCTTTAGTCTGAATGGGCTTGTCTGGCATGGAAAATGGAAGCAATGAGACCCAGGACTCTCCAGGGTCCACCCTTCTTCCCGCCAACACTCATCTCCCAGTCTTGACTCCCTGTACTTCCTCTCTGCTCCCCCAGCTGAGGCCTCAGTTTCTTCATCTGCAAAAAGGGAATAATACTAACAATAATAAAATAATAATACCTAACTTGTGGGGTTGTTGTGAGACTCCCATGAAATAATGGAGGTGAAAGCACTTTGTATGGTCAAGTGCTATGAGGCATAGTGTTCGTTGTAATGATTGTCCTTTGGGGCTCATATCTGTCACAGAAAAATGCCTAAGCCATGCTCCTCTGAACTGGATGCCCTCAGTCATTCCCTTGGGAAGAGCTCTCTGTAAATGCTGCCAGGTAAGGCTAATTATCTTTTAACTCAGGCATCTTCTTGCCCCAAGATAGGCTTTAAACCCCCAGAGGGCAGTGCCAGCCTCTGAAATGGCCCGGCAATCCCAGGGTGAGTGCTTGGCTGATCCCTGGCACATATGGGATTATGTGTGACCCTTCTGATGGTCAGGGTGGGCCCTGGCTGGGAAGATGTGTGGACTCCCCTGGAGCTGCAATGACCTTCTTCCTGGATTACAGCCAGAGTCTCCTAACTGCTCTCCATCTATTCTCTAATCCCAATAGCTACTCTCCATGCAGCTGTCAGAGTGGGCCTTTTAAAACATTGGTCAGGTCATGCCAGGCCTCCGATGGCTCCCATCACACTCAGGGTAAGAGCCGAAGCCCCATGTGGGTGTCTAAGGCCCCGTGTGATCCTTACCCACCTCTCTCACTCATTGCTAGCCTCCCTGACCTCCCTCCTGCCCCTTGCACATGGCAGGTCTCTCAGGAACCTCAGGGCCTTTGCACTGGCTGTTTCCTCTGCCTCCACATGGCTCACTGCTCGCTTCAGGTCTTTGCTCAAATGTGTCCTTGCTGAGGCTTTTCCTGACACTGTGTTAAAAGTGTAGGTCTCTACCCCAGCCCCCTCTTCCCCTTTCCCTACATATTGCTCTCCCACATTGGACAGTCTATTCCACGTATTGCATTTAGTTCTTTTGTTTATCCTCTGTCTTTTCCACCAGAATGTAGGGGCTCTAGTCAGGTGTGCTGATGTGCACCTGTAGTTCCAGCTACTCGGGAGGCTGAGACAGGAGGATTGCTTGAGCCCTGGAGTTGAAGGCTGCAGTGAGCTATGATCACACCACTGTAGTTTAGCCTGGGCAACACAGTGAGACCCTGTCTCAATTATATTTTTAAAAATTTTTAACACGGAATGTAGGTTCCATGAGAGCAGAGACTAGATTTGTCTAATTCTTGACTGTATCCTCAGTACCTAGAATAGTGCCCAGCCCATAAGAAGCCCTTGATAAATATTAGTTGCTTGAATGAATAAATGAATAAATGAGTGGATGAATAGATTACAGAGACAGAGAGGCCCTGGCTGGGCTAGACGCCGTGACTATTGGAAGTCGCCATCAGCTCTGGGAGAAGGGTGGGTTCTTGGCCAGAAGGCAGGTGGGGAAAAGGACCCTTTTACCTGCTTAGATCCTGAGGGAGTGAAGCTCTGGGCCCCATCCCAGTTGCCACTCTTTCTGCCTCTTCTTCCAGAGCAGAGAGAGGGTGTAAGGATGCAACAACAGATGCATCTGGAAACCACATATGTAATAATTCCCATAATCACTGGCACTCACTTTTCCAGAAAGCCAGCAAACCCGTTAACATGCAGCTCGACCTATACCCTGTAAAGTATGCAAATGGCATGGGGTGGGGAAAACGCTTCCACAGGCGCAAGTCCCCATTAAAAAAACATTGCTTCCCTCACTGCGGCACTTGGCCTGCAGATAGATTCTAAATGTCAATAGTTCCCCCAGTGAAGGCAGGCAGAAGGTTGAAAGGTCAGCCGTTTTAGGAAGCTAATTGCTATCAGTAAATTAGAACTATGAACACACCAGCCTTTCTCCTTTGTCACCTCTCCCCCTACCCCAACCCTTTTCCTGACCCAGGAGCCCCAGGTACGATGCAATTTAAAACCCAGAGTTGGAACCTAGAATACAGGCTTTCTGTGATGAGGAAGATAATAGGGACTAGATCCTACCCTCCTGAGAATAAGTGGATCCTCGCCTGGTTTGCAGTCAGTCCAGGAAATAATAGCCCATCTGGGAGCCAATACTTAACCAGTTCCAAAGGCAGGGGTGACTCCAGCTTATGCTGTGACTTTGCGGGGCTGAGGGATGCAATTTGGGCACTGTGGCTGCCTCCCCCAGAATGCCCACTCTGGCCCCAGCTCTCTTCTGCAGCCCTTCCTCTCATTATAGGACAAACCCCTGGTGGTCTCTTCTGAGAGGAGAGAGAGCTGGGCTGAAGGTCATTTAACCTCAGTTTCCCCAACTGTAAAATGAGAATGTAGAAAGCGTGCCCTTCCCAAGGCTGCCTTGAGGTCTGGAGGGGGTAATGCCTGTGGAGTGCTGAGCAGAGGGCCCCAGAAATTTCTACAAGGGGATAGCGTTAGGATTTTATCTGTCAATTCTGCTGCCTAGAACTTAACAATGTCACTTGTGGGGCAAGTTAGGCCCCTGTGGACTCACTTGCCCATCTGGGACCCTTAGAGGGCCAGGCCTTTCCCTCCCTTTTTGCCACCCACCAGCGTGGCAAGGTGGGCAGGAGGTTCAGTCTACCAGCCAGCATAGGCCAGGCACTTGGCGTCTGCAGACCAGCCCACAAGATGTCTCTGTGTGTGTTGCTTCCCTTGGTCATCAGTGAGCTGTCGGGGAGGTGTTTTGTGGGCAGGGAGTCAGGGTGGCTGGGTTCAGAAGCAGACTTGCTCACATGGCTGCTAAGCCCACAGAGCCCCTGGGCTGCAGAGAGAAGCCGTCTGTCCCTTGTTGAAATCCATGCCAATGGCTGTTTCTGCTTTCCTTTGAACCTCCCAGAGAAGGGTGCCTGCGGGGTCACCCCCTTGGTGACATAGTGCAGGATTGGGTGGCTTAGAGAGACACAGAGCTCTTCCTTGGGTCCTCTAACCCCTGCTCCTGTGAGCCTTCTCCATGAGCAGTTAGTAAAACAAACCCTCCTCCTGGCTGGGCGCGGTGCCTCATGCCTGTAATCCCAGCACTTTGGGAGGCCAAGGCGGGCAGATCACTTGGGGTCAGGAATTCAAGAGCAGCCTGGCCAACATGGTGAAACCCTGCCTCTACTAAAAATACAAAAATTAGCTGGGCGTGGTGGTACATGCCTGTAGTCCCAGCTTCTAGGGAGGCTGAGGCAGGAGAATCACTTGAACCCAGGAGGCAGAGGTTGCAGTGAGCTGAGATCACACCATTGCCCTCCAGCCTGGGTAGAGGCTCTGTCAAAAAAGAAAAAAAAAAAACACTCCTCCCAGGGCCCATGGAGATAACAATGTCCCCTCAGGCCTCCCCTCCACCCGAGGCCCAGTGTGACACCTTCTACTTCAGACCACGCTTCTGCCCCACGGGAGGGCATGTAGGCCAAGAAGCCATCTCTCAGCCCCAGTCCTGGGGGACGTCCCTGTAGAGCAGGCAGCCTGGCTGGCATGTTGCAAGAGCCGCTCGGCCCAGACTCCCCCAGGCCCACTGGGCCTCCTGCCTGCTGTCAACCCCTTTTGTTCTCACCTTTTCAAGCAGCTTCACTGGTGGTTTGGATGGAGTTTGTGGGCCAGGGAAAAAGGGATTAAAAACAGTAAGGACATAAAAGGACCTGAAGAAGGTGTCTATTCTAGACACCAGGTGTTATTCTTTATGGGATGGAACAGGTTATTCATGGCCATCATAAAGACTGGGGAGTTCGTGTTTATTATTCCCAGTGCTGTAGGTGTGTGCTCATATTTCATTTGATCCTTAATACAAGCTCATGAGGAGGGTAGAGTCAGTCCCATCTTGTAGATGAGGAAACCATGGCTCAGAGAAGACATGTAACTCGCCTAGCTAGGAAGTGGTAGAAGAAATCGAGGCTTAGAGATGTTCAGTAACTGGCCCCAGGTCACACAGCTAGGAAACGCCAAAGCTGGGATTGAATCCCACTTCTGTTTGTTGAACAACATACAACAACAAAAAAAGCTCTTTTCACTATGCCATGCTATTGACAACTGCCCAGCAGCTTTTTAAATGCCTGTTCTACACAGCAGGCATTTGGAGAGGACCTCACTGAATCCCTCATCTGTGGGGAGGGTGTTTGCCTCCTAAGTCCTCCTTTAAAAGGCAGAGGTCAGCACAACACCTGATGTGGCTCCCTTTCGACCCAGCTTTTCAGAATCTGCTGAGAGGTGAACTTCATGGGATGTGCTGAAATCTGTGTGTATTGATTTTGTACATTCACTGACAATATCACTTCCTGAAAGAGCAGTGTGTCACCTGCAGGGGGAACCTGGGGACCTCCCTGTCCTTGTTGTCCCCATTCCTCACAGTGATGCTGGGGATTGGAGTGAGGAGGGGAACTGGCAGATTGTACACAGGTGAGCCTTGGGCAGAGGGGAGGGAAAAATATGATAAGGGACAGCCTAGGCAAAGATACAGAGGCCAGCAAAGCCTACTGTGTGTGTTAGCAAAGTCAGGCTTGGCTGGGTATTGAGGCTCAGGGGCTGCATCTCTCCTCATCACTGCTCTGGGCTCTCTCTTTAGAAGTGGGCACGGTGTCTGCTACAAATGGGCAAATCCTTTAAGAACAAAGCAAACAAGGAAGCCCCCTTGGCCCCGGCACTCAGCCTAAGCCTGCGTGAGAAGTCTTAGCCAAGAGCTGAGGCCCTCAGCCTGCAGCAGCTGCAGAGAACCTGCAGGATGCTCGGCAGTGCCTGTCCCCAAAGTCTGACCATCCACCCAGCTCTGCCGTCCCTTCGGCTTCAGCTGAGCTCTAAAGAAAGCCTGACCACCACGTCCCGTGAGGTGCCTACACTGCATGCAGCCTGGGTACCTACACTTCTGGAGTCTGGGGTGTGCTTCCTCCATTAGGTTAAGAACTCTCAAAGGCTATGTGGGATATTTGGGAAGTTTGGATAGTCCAGATGGCGATTTGGGATCCTGGGTGTACGTTAAGGGCTGCAGGGGGAGGTAGTAAGCTAGGGGAAGAGAAAGAAGAAAATAAGGCAAGGAAGCGTGAGGAGTCAGCTTCCTGCTACTTAGTTGCCATGTGAACTGGAGCAGGTCCCTTCACCTTTCTGAGCCTCAGTTGCCACAGCTGCAAAATGAAGATACAGTAATCTTTTTTTGAGACAGAGTCTCACTCTGTTGCCCAGGCTGGAATGCAGTGGTGGGATCTCGGCTCACTGCAACCTCCGCCTCCCAGGTTCAAGCAATTCGCCTGCCTCAGCCTCCCGAGTAGCTGGGATTACAGGTGCATACCACCACACCATGCTAATTTTTGTATTTTTAGTAGAGACAGGATTTCACCATGTTGGCCAGGCTGGTCTTGAACTCCTGACCTCAAGTGATCCACCCACCTCGACCTCCCAAAGTGCTGGGATTACAGTCGTGAGCCACCGTGCCTAGCCAGGATACAGTCATCTTTATTGCACAGGGTTGTAGGGAGGCTCAAATGAGATAAGGGTGAAGAAAGTGCCCTGCCAACTGTAAACCACTCTGCAAACTGTAAAGCGCCCTGCCCACATAAAGCACTGCAGTTGTTAGAGACTGAGGGAGTTAGGGTATATGTCAGAATCACACCCACTCTTCTGTGTTTCATTTGGAGGTGACACATGTCACTCCATTCACAGCCTGCTGGCCCGGACTAGTCTTCCAGACCTGCCTGGCTACAAGGGGAAATGGAGTAGAGCCCATGGGCTGTTGGGTGGGCATTGATATCAAGCTGAGATGCTGAGCCAAGGGGTCCTGAATCAGAGCAACCACTGCCCAGGGCAATTCAGGGCTTGGGATGGGCAGGCGAGCCCTCAGAAAGTGCCTTAAGTGGACAGGCAGGCAGGCAGCAGCAGACTCCCCATCCCTCCCCTCTCTCCTGCCAAGCCTATGGCTCAGGACCCTTGGACAAAAGCCCTCCTGGGTTCTACAGCCACAGGGCTCTAGGCATCCACAGGAGAGCAGTGAGGTATGAGAGGCTCTGTCCTGCCATGGCAAACTGGAAGCCTCAGGTAGAGATAGTAGAGCTACAAAACAGAAATGCCTGGATTGCTGAATCTCTCATGAAGGCCAACCGCCCTGGGAAGCTGCCTGGACCCACAATAGATTTTGTATGAGCGATATATACATTTTTGTTATTTTAAGGCTTTTAGATTTGGGGGATGTTTATTATAGCAGCAGGACCCAGACTATCCTGACTTAATATACTTTTTCATCTTGCACTGTTTGAGCTTCATAATCCAGTCTGTCCTGCTGCAGGGCACTGCTAAGACTTTCTCCCAGCTCCTCGTTCTGTGGACACAAGCCTTATGGTTAAGACATCACCTCTCCATTCTCCTCACATTCCAGTTCAATTTCTTTTTTTTTTTTTTTTTTTTTTTTTTTTTTGAGATAAGGTCTCACTGTCATCCAGGCTGCAGTGCAGTGATGTGATCATAGCTCACTGCAGCCTCCAACTCCTGGGCTCAAGCAATTCTCCCGCCTCAGCCTCTCAGGTAACTGGGACTACAGGCACCTGCCACCACACCTGGCTATTTATTATTATTATTATTATTATTTTTAGTGATACGAGGTCTTGCTACCTTGCCCAGGCTGGTCTCAAACTTCTGGACTCAAGCAATTCTCAGTCTCCCAAAATACTGAGATTACAAGCATGAGCCAGCACACCAGTTCAATTTTTAAGAAAAGTGACCCCCTAATGCAGAAGTAAGAGGACATCTCATCACCTGTTTACTCTTGAGAATTATGGGCACCTCCTGGGGTGCTGGCCCTGTGTGTGGCATCAGAGATAGAAAGATGTACATTCTCCCTTTCTGCCTTGAAGAAGTTCACAATGTGGACTGGAGCACAGAGAGAACACAGTGTGGTAATGAGCAGGTGATGGATGGATTAATGAGTGGAGGGTTGGATGAAATGATCACAATTCAGTGTCTACTCCATTGCCCCTTCTCTCCTATTACCTTCCTTAGTACCAACAACTACTCTATAAGGTATGTATTATTTTCCCTAATTTATGGATGGGATTCGAACCCAGGTCTGGGTGATGCTAGCAACTATATTCCTTCCACATCACCTTGCCATAGTGGAGATGTTCATTGCTTTGTACAAGCTCCCCAAGGGTCGAGGTTTCCTCTCCTTTCTCAGATTAGACCCAGATCACTGCCTCCTGTGGGAAGCATTCTCAAAACTTTCCTCCATACACCACCCACTACACCAAGCACCCCTTGCATCTTTTCAGTTTTTGTTTCTTAAAAGCCTTATTGAGGAATATTTCAAATATATATAAAAGCAAAAGAATAATATAATGACTCCCATGTCATGATTACCCCACTCCCTTTCCCCCTTGCCCAGGCATCGTGCTGGTTGATCTGTAAATACTTCAGCATTTATGTGGTCGCTTACTTCTGTTCATCCTTCCCGCTCTGGGGCTGGTATTGGGTCTTTTTCATCTTCAATTCCCCAGTGCTCAGTTCACTAGAAACTGGGTGTGTCTGTTGAGTGAATAAATGACAGAGTCCCATGTGGGGACATGAGTAGGTTCCTGGTGCCTGTCACTGCCCCATTACAGCTTCTAAAGAGTCTGGCTTCTCAGCAGGGCCAGTTCTTCTGGGTAGGACGTTCCTTAGATTGCAGTGTGTGAAAACCTTTCTGTTGTGGTCATCTGGGACTCTGGATGCTGATAAAGCCTTCTCAAATATGGCTTCTTTTGTGTCAACATCACGCGGGCATAATTACATTCGCTGTGCAAACACACAGGCGAAGGGCCTCTGGGCCACGCAGTGTGGTATTATCGTGGCTTCTGCCCAGACATCCCTCAGAAGTCCTGCCAGGAGAGCAGATGGGGCCAGTTCAGTCCCCCAGGACGCCCCCAGCATCCCAGCTGGCCTGGCAAGGCCCTGTTCTTTGATCTGATTTCAGCCCAAGAGGACCCACAGAGCTGGTCAGCCCTGTGGCCCTGCTACATTTCTGACAGTGGCACTGAGAGACACTTAGACATGACCATTGGGTTGCCAACCACTGTTGAATACCTACTATGTGCTTGCACCTGCTGGAGTCAGAGGGAATAAGACTCAGACCCAGCCTCGAAGAGCTCTCAATATGTGAAGACAAGGAAAGCTCTAGAAGATAATATTTACCATAAGAAACAGCCATGGCCCCAGCCCGCCTTGTTTGCCTGAAGGACTCTCTTCTATCTCTGGCTGGGTCCCTGATTCGGAAGGATTGAGACAGCCCCTCAGAGTTTTGAGACATTCCCTGTTACAGGCTGAATTATGTCCCCTCTAAAAAAGCATATTGAAGTCCTAACCCCCAGTGCCTGAATGTGACCGACCTTATTTGGAAGTAGGGTCATTGCAGATGTCATCAGTTAAATTAAGATGAGGTCATACTGGAGGAGGCTGGGCACCTGATCCAGTATGCCCTGCAGTCCTAGGCCGTGTAAAGACATGCAAATGGGGGATCCCATGAGGTGGCCAAAGCGGAGCCTGCAGTTATGCAGCGGCCAGCAAGGAAGGCCAAGGATGCCAGCAAACCAGAAGCTGGGAGGGGCGAGGAGGGACTGCCCTAACAGGTTTCAGGGGGAGTGTGTCCCTGCCAGGACTTGGGATTTCAGAACTTCTACCTCTGGAACTGTGAGTTGATAAATGTCTGTGTTTTAAGCCACCCAGTTTGTGGTGGATTTTTACAGCAGTGCTGGGAAACTGATATGTTCCCCCCCAGTGCTCTGAGCTCCCTGGAAAAATATCTGTTCCCCAGAAGTTTATCTGAACCTTTCTTGGCCTCCATTCACAGCTCTGACGTCCCCTGGGTAATGAAATCTGTGCATTCTTGGCCGGGTGTGGTGGCTCATGCCTGTAATCCCAGCACTTTGGGAGGCCGAAGTGGGCAGATCACTTGAGGCCAGGAGTTCGAGACTAGCCTGGCCAACGTGGTGAAACCCCGTCTCTACTAAAAATACAAAAATTAGCCAGGTGTGGTGGTGCGCGTCAATAATCCCAGCTACTTGGGAGGCTGAGACATGAAAATCGCTGAACCTGGGAGGCAAAGTTTGCAGTGAGCTGAGATCACACCACTGCACTCCAGCCTGGGTGATGGAGTGAGGCTCTGTCTCAGGAAAAAAAAAAAAAAAAAAGGGAAAGAAATCTGTGCATTCTGTCTCTGCTACATGACCAAATACCTCCCTCTAATTGGCTCTAAGTTGTTGAGCTAGAGCCCTCCTTGTCCTGGGGGTCGAGGATCTTGTACATGAACCCTTATGATCAGAAAAGCTGCTTAAGGGTCAAGAGAGGCAGGATGATTTGGTTTTTAAGAGCATGGACTCAGGCTGACCCTGGTTTAGATCCCAGCTCTGCCACTTCCTTGCTGTATGACCTTGAGCACGTAACTTAGCTACTCTGTGTCTCATCTGTTTTCTCATCTGTAAAATGGGAGTGATGATATTATGAGCCCTAAACTCAGAGGGTAGTTAGAAGGCTTAAATGAGTTAATACAGGGATTGGCAAACTTTTTCTGTAAAGGACCAGATAGTAAATATTTTAGGTTTTGCAAACCACATACAAGGTTTCTGTCGCAACGATTCCACTCTGCTATTGGAGAGCAAAAGCAGACACAGGTAGCATACAAAGAAATGGCCTGCTGTGATTCATAAAGCCTTATTTACAAAAACAAATGGCAGGCAGGGTTTGACCCAGAGGCCACAGTTTGCCAACCTTTGAACAGTACATCGGAGGCACCTAGTGCAATGTGCAGCGCAAGGCGACCCTCCGTGCATGGGGGCAGTTGTTGTGGAGCACAGAGCCCTTTCTCATGCACAGTTCCATTCACTGTCATGGAAACCCTCTGAGGAAGGGGTTGTGGGTACCCCCACTCTGCAGACAGGAAATCTGAGGTCCAGAGAAGTTCTTCATCTTGTTCTGTAGTGAGCCTAAGGCAGAGAGCTTGCATTTTCTGCCCAGCAGTCTGTGAGCCTTAATAAACACAGTTTATCTCTTGCCCAGTCGATCAACTTACCAAAGACCTGTTCCGTGCCCAGAGCTGTATCCAGCTTAGACAGGAAGAACTGTTCCTGCCCCAATTTTCAAAAGTCAGCTTCTTATTTACCAATTGGGAAAAACAAACCTGCCCATCTCAAAGAGTTCTTTTTGCCATGCAGTCATTCATGGATTCTTGCTTATGTTCATTCATTTATTTATTTTCATTCAGGTATTTATGCACCAAACATGTACTGAGAGAGATATAGCCAGGACCAAACAGGCATGGTCTCGGGCAGGGCTATTGTCAGCCTAAGTGGCCTCTTTGTGAAAACCGGGGGGGAAAAAAAAAAAAAGTCCCTTCCTCTGAGTGGATACGAATCTATAGTAGGGCAGTTGAGGACTAGATTTCAGCCCCATTTTCCCCTTGGCCAGGTACCTTGAGCAGTGCACAACATACATAACCATGCATGGTGTTCCTGTTCCCTGGAGCTTCAGTCTACTAGAGGTTTCAACCATGGAAGTGAGTGATGACAGTCGTGATGTGAGTGCTCCGACAGCCAGATGAGGGACAGGCCCTGGAATGCCCTCCACTCCTCTCCTCATCCACTGGCTTCACCCTCCCCATTTAGCACTGCCACCTCTGTGCCCACATAATCAGCCCTTGGCATGAACCTTCCTCCCACCACCACTGTAGACAGCTTCCTCACCTTGTAGGACTTGGAGGGGGCCCTACCTGAAGGACAGAGAACGTATCGCTGTGAAATATACTTCCCGGTGTACCCAATCTGCATTAGTGTGTGTCATTAAAAGATGATTGTTATGTGAGAAAGAGGCCGGGATTGCATTAGTGAAACATCTGGAATTGTTTTAGTGTGCTGACGAAGAGCCAGTCCGAAGTGCCTCACTTTCTGCAGCCACCACCACCACAGGTGCTGAATCTGAGGGCCAAAGATCGAACCTGTAACCTGCCACCTCACCCAGGAAGCCCTCCTGAGCTGCTCCAGGTCACACTCAGCTCTCTTTCCCCTCTCTGAATTGTTAAACCACTCACTTTGGTGTCTAGCCACTTACTGTCTGCCATTGGCAACTGTTTCGACTGGGTTACATTTGTCTTCCTTGTTGGACAGTAAGCCCTCTGATACCACGTGAGGCATTTTCATCTCTTAAACCCCAGCGAACATCATTGAAAGACCAGCAGTTCGGACACTGTAACTGACACTTGCTACGAGGTAGGGATGAGAGAAGGCTGACCGTCACCCCACCGCCGCCTGACCCGGCTCAGGACCGTCACCCCACCGCCGCCTGACCCGGCTCAGGACCGTCACCCCACCGCCGCCTGACCCGGCTCAGGACCGTCACCCCACCGCCGCCTGACCCGGCTCAGGACCGTCACCCCACCGCCGCCTGACCCGGCTCAGGACCGTCACCCCACCGCCGCCTGACCCGGCTCAGGACCGTCACCCCACCGCCGCCTGACCCGGCTCAGGACCGTCACCCCACCGCCGCCTGACCCGGCTCAGAACCCTCAGCCAAATGGCTCACCTCTGCTCTGTCTGGAGGTGCCGGGCTTTGAGACAGTCCAGGCTTCCTAGAGGATGTAGTCCGGTGGAGAAAGCAGGGGTGGGAGGGGTGAAATCGAGACCTAGGTTGAAACTTAAACCCTGGTGCAGCCACTTAACGTAACCTGAGTTACGTTGGGCAGTCTACTCAACTCACTGTGTCTGTTTCTCTGTCTGTAAAGTAGGGAGAATGCCTATCTGTGAGAACCAAATGAAATGATAACAGTAAAAGGTCTAACTCAGTGCTCAGCACATTAGAGAGCAAATGCACATATCCACTCTCTTCCCTCTTCCCGTAGGCAGGAGACGTGGTCCCCAGGCTGAAGTTAGGCTGAGATCAAGAATCACTGAACTCCCCTCCTCCTCAGCTGTCAGGACCTGCTCTGAGCAAAGCCTCTCCCGCCACCTCTGGGAGTGGGTGGGGTCACCGCAGTTCCATTCCTGGGAGCATTTATCCTTGCTGACCTCTTCGCTGTGGAATGGAAGTTCCTCTGTCTTTTCATGTCTGCTCAAGGGCGATGTTTTTCGGTGGAGTGATGCATCCCATCGCTGCCATCCCTCAAATTCTATCGCATAGGTAGTCACCTCATTACCCTGTAGAAAATGGACCCATTTATCATTCATTTCTCCTTTGGTAGGGCTGAGGTGGAGCCCGAGACTGCATTTCCAGCAAGTTCACAGGAGACAGTCCTGCTGGTGCTGCTGGCCTGGGGACTGTAATTTGAGAACCATTCCCTAGACTGCACTGGCAGGAGTATGTGCCCTGAGTGAACTGTTAAGCCCTACAGGTGCCCAAGGGTTAAACTAAGCCTTCCCTGGAATGCCCACTTCTTTTTTCCCCTCCTGCTTTGGATCCAGGTGCTGCTCGGCACAGATGCCAGTGAGACCCAGGTGATTGGATTTGTGAACTTGGCTCAATTTCTCATCATCTGCCCTAGGAAACTGCATTATAAGGTGGGAAGAACACAGGACTCAGAGGCAGAACCGGGGTTCAGCCTGGTATCTGTTTCATAATAGGTGTGACCTTGGGCTGCTAGTAGTTGTAACTGAAGCAATGGGGACTTAGCTTGCCTGGGCCTCAGTTTTTTCATCTGTAAAATGGGGACATTACTGTTCTCCTGGCACACCGCCCATGTTTTTATGGGATGTGCTTGAACAGCCTCGTTAAATTAAAGTGCCGCAAAAAGACTATAATCTTATTATCCCTGGTGTGAAAGGAGAGGAAATAGTGAAAAACAGATTCTAACATCACAAAGATGCAAAGCCTTAGCCACTGAGGGGACTTTAGGGCATCGCTCCCTTAACCATCCCTCGATTTTATAAAGGAGAAAATGGAGGCTCAGAGGCAGGCAGGGAAGTGACATGCCCATGGTCAAATAGCAAAACCAGGAGAAGAATCCAGCTCTCCCCTGAGCCCTGCTCTTTCCTCCATACCAAAGTATCAACATCTCCCCAAACCTGGGCTCAGAAATTCTGCTTTTTCCGTCACCCCGTCTTTGAAGAGAAGCCAGGTATGCACCTCAATTTATCATTCCTGGTGCTCCTAGGAAGTTTCCATTATTCATCTTGTTAATTACTCTTCTCTTTGCTCTCCCTGGTTCTGGGCTTGTCTCCTTTTCTGCCTCTCTAAGCCAAGCCTGAAACAATAAAGAAATTTTATTACATATAAAACCGCTTTGGTAAGTGCTACCATTAGCTGATAATAAAAAGAATTTTTTGAGTGTTTCAAGCAGTTGTTTTTACATTTCCTGTTAATTATTCAAACCTCCAGGTATCATGTGGCCATGGGGATGTCAGGGTTGAGGGTGCCTCCTGTGCTTGTCCCGATCACCTCCTCTTCCAGAGAAGAAGTGGCAGTGGGGAACCCCGGGCTAGACACAGTGGGCAGCAGCCAGACTGGCGAGGACATTGTTCCTACTGCTGGAGAGCCTCTAATCTGAGGAGGAAGATGACTTTCCTAGGGAAAATCTAGTCTAATAAGGGAAATAAACTCCTGCCTGCCGAGGGCTGCCAGGATGGTGGGAGAGACCTGTTCTGATGGAAGAGAGCTGCCCCAATTGAGTTTCAGAGCTTCTTGCATTTCTCCACCCACTTGCCCTCACCCCACCCTATGATGGGACCAGGAGAATTTCCACGTTATAAGAGCTCACCCTCAAAGAGCACTTACTACGTGCCAGGTGCTTCTCTATGGACCTACACATGATTACTGCTTTTGCCCTCATGGCAACCCTATGAAGCAGGGACCATTCTTATCTACAGCTAAGGAAACTGAGGCATAGAAAGATTAAGTCACCTGCCTGAAGCCATCCACTAAGAAAGCAGTAGAGCTCAGATACGAAAACTGACAGGCTCATTTTGGCAGATAGTGGGTTTAGTTATCCCAACTGTAGTAGATGTTTAGTAAATGCTTATTGGTTCATTGACTCATGGTAAGTATGAGACGGAAATGCTAAATCCTACAGGATTTGGTGCCTGGGAGAGTCAGGGATGCCTTCCCAGAGCAGGTGGGGTGTAATGGGAGGGCTGGATGCTGCGAGGACTGTTTCCCCATCACCCTCCCAGCATCACTGAGGCCTGACCGGCAACAAGCACTCGGAGCTGCCACTTGCAGGCCATCTGCATGCAGGGTAACAGGCCATGAAATGTCATTATCAGCATGTTGTTCTAAGAGACAGCGTAGGTTATTGCTGGCAAGGATAGCAGCCCAGCCAGGGACAGGGCCTTTGCCTCTGCACTTCCCTTTCTGCAAGAGTCCCTGAGGCCTGGGAGGATCCCCAGGGAAGCAGGGAAGAAAGAAAAAATGCAAGGAGGAATTAGAGAGGGGAAGGGGAAGTTGATAGACGCTTGTTATCCCAGTTAATGTGCCCGGCGCATAAATACTTCCTACATGAATGAATGAGTGGTCCTTTGGGAGTGGATGGTGATGCCAAGCTGGGTACCAATCTGAATTCAGCTTATGTTTAAGGCTCCCAGCTCCCTGCTCAATTTATTTGGTGAATTAATTTGCCTCCCCGCCCCTTTCCTTCCTCTACTTTCCAGGGCTTGCCTTTAGTTAGGAAGACATGGACTCCAAAGATGAAATGACGGTCAAGGCAGGTGTGACTCGGTGTCAAAAAGCCAATAGGAAACACTGAGGCTGTCAGAAAACCTGGATGGGAATGCTCAGTGCAGCACTGTGTGTGATAGCAAAACATTGGAGGCAACACAAATGTCCATCACCTGGAAAGGGGATATATATTCAGTTCTGTGGAATGCTGTGTGGCCGTGAAAATGAATGAATAGAGTAATATGGAGCAACGTGGATAATTCTGCAAAGCAATGCAGAGAGCAAAAGCAATACTGCCTTAGCTTGGGTTCCCAAAGGCAGAACCAGTGTGCAGGGAGCTTCTTTGGGAGGGAGAATGAGGGAGCAGGGAGAAAGGATAGAGAAGAGGAAAGCCAGTAAAGGGTGCATGACTGAGTAGGTCACTGCTGTGGGCAGCTGGAGTCCCTCCGAAGAATCATGCAGCGTGGACTTGAGAAATGGCCTCTGAAGGACAGACCTGGGGTGGTTATCACTGATCCCTGTTCCCGTTGGTTGAAGGTTGTCCCCAGGGATGCCAGCTCCTGGCCCCTCTGGCTGTGCCTGCACAGGCTGATCAGCCTCCTGGAACTCGGGAGAAAGCCCAAGGCAGGAAAGCAGAAAGGACACTGGACTGAAGTGGGGCCACTGGCGGGGTGCTCTGAGCTGTCACCACAGCTGTGCTGAAAGCAGGTGGGCTGAGGGGCTGTGGCTCAGAGGACACAAGCCATCAGCCACAGATTCACCCGTAGATGTGAAGCTTAAAAACATGCAAAACTATAATATATATTGATAGTGGATATATATGTGTGTTAAAAACAGAAAGATACTCATGGCAGTGATGAACATCACATCCAGGATGCTGGTTACCTCTAAGAAGAAAAAGAGAAGCACATTCAGGAAGTGAACACAGGAGACTTCGGTTGTACTGACAATTTGTCTTCTCCTTTTTAATCTAAGTAGTGGGTACATGGGTGTTTGTTTCATTACTTTTTGTGTCTTTAAAACATTTCATCGTCATCATAAACACCATAGAAATGCATAAGGAAGGACCTCAATACTTGCCTTTGGAGGGTGTGGTTCATGGTGGAAGCTGGATAAAAGCTTTGGCTTTGAAGGAGGAGTAGAATTTGGCTAGGTAAAGGGGGAAGAAGGGCCTCCCAGGCCAGGGACCTCATGAGCAAAGGCACGGAGATGGGAATGTGTGTGGGGTATCAGCCCATGTCAAGCAAAATCACTTTGGGGAAATAAAGGTTGAATGTACAAGGTGAGGCCACATTGTGCAGTTATTGCAACACTGAGGAGTTTAAGCACAACAGGACCATTAGAGTGGCAGCACCAGCGGCAGCAGCAGCAGTAGTAGTAGTCATGGTGATTGTAGTAGCAGTAATATTAGAAGAAATAATATACTACTAATAAAACAACTACTGTAATACTACTTATGAAGTTCTTACTCTGTGTCCGGTACTTTGCTGCATACTCTGGGTACCTCAGCTCATTTAAACTACACAACAACCCCCTGAGGTATTGTCTTAGTCCATTTTCTGTTGCTATAACAGAATGCCACAGACCGGGTAATTAATAAAGAAAAGGATTTTTTTTTAGCTCATGGTTCTGAAGGCTGGGAAGTACGAGAGCGTGACACTGGCATCTGGTGAGGGCCTTCTTGCTGTGTCATAACATGGCAGAGGGCATCACATGACAAGAGGGCAAGAGAGCCAGAGAGAGCTCACTTTTACAACAAAGCCACTCCTGCGATAATGAACCCACTCCTGTAACAGTGACATGAATTCATGCATGAGGGCAGAGCCCTCATTAATCCATTAATTCATCATGAGGGCAGAACACTCATTAATCCATTCATGAGGGCAGAGGGATTGTTTCCAACACATAAACTTTTGGGGAACACATTCAAACCATAGCATTTGCCTAGACACAGTGGCTCACGCCTGTATTCCGAGCACTTTGGGAGGCTGAGGTGCAAGGATCGCTTGAGTTCAGGAGTTCGAGACCATCCTGGGCAACATGGTAAGACCCCATCTCTACAAAAAATACAAAAATTAGCCAGGCATGGTGGCATGTCCCTGTAGTCCCAGCTACTCAGGAGGCTGAGCGGGGAGGATCAATTGAGCCTGGGAGATGGAGTTTGCACTGAGCCAAGATCACACCACTGTACTCCAGCCTGGGTGACAGAGTGAGATCCTGTCTCAAAAAGAAAAACCAAAAAACAAAAACAAAAAAAAAAAAACCAGCATTCCACCCCAACCCCCAAAATTCATGTCTTCTGACATGTAAAATATATTCATTCCATCCCAATAGCCACAAAGTCTTAACTGTTCCAACACCAACTCAGAAGTCCAAAGTCCAGAGTCTCATCTGAATCAGATATGGGTGAGACTCAAGGCACATTTCATCTTGAGGTAAATTCCCTCCAGCTGTGAGATTGTGAATTCAAGTTATCTACTTCCAAAATGCAATGGTGGGACAGGTATAGGACAGACACTTCCGTTCCAAAAGGGAGGAATTAGCAAGAAGAAAGGAATAACAAGTAAATCCAGGCTGGGCATGGTGGCCCATGCCTGTAATCCCAGCACTTTGGGAGGCCGAGGCAGGTGGATCACAAGGTCAGGAGTTCAAGACCAGCCTGGCCAAAATGGTAAAACCCTGTCTCTACTAAAAATACAAAAAATTAGCTGGGTGTGGTGGTGGGCGCCTGTAATCCCAGCTACTGGGGAGGCTGAGGCAAAGAATTGCTTGAACCCAGGAGGCAGAAGTTGCAGTAAGCCAAGATCATGGCGCTGCACTCTAGTCTGGGCAACAGGGCGAGACTCCGTCTCACAAAAAATAAAAATAAAAAATAAAAATAAATAAATCCAAAACCAACAGGGAAAATTATATTTGGTCTTAAAGCTGGAGAATAATTTCCTTTGACTCCGTGTCTTGCAGTCTGGACACACTGGTGTGGGGGTTGGGCCCCCAAGGCCTCAGACAGCCCCATCCCCATAGCCTTGCTGGGATCAGCCTATGCCTGGGTACCCAGACCATCTGCTACATCCTTTGAAATCTAGATGGAGGCCACCATGACCCCACAGTGCACACACTCTGCATACCTGCAGAGTCAGTACCACATGGACGCCACCAAGGCTTACTGCCTGTTCCCTCCAGAGTGATGGCCAAAGCTGCACCTGGGCCTGCTTGAGCTGTGACTGGGTCAGCCAAGGAGCACTATGCTGTGCTGGAATTCAGGGAGCAGAGACCCTAGTTGGCTCTGGGCATGGAGCCTGTGGAGGGCACCCTGGGGCCCTTCCCCCAAAACCATTCTGCCCTCCTAGAGCTCGGGGCCTGTTATGGGAGGGGCAGCCTCAGAGATCTCTGAAATGTTCTTCAGGGTCTTTCTCCCTATTGTCTTGGTGTCTTCTGTGTATGGTAATCTCTTCAGCAAACAATCTCTTGGCCACACCTAGGTGCCATTTCCAAAACCTACCTTTTCCCTCTTTGCATGACTAGGCTGCAAATTTTCCAGATATTTCTTCTCTGCTTCTTTTTTTTTTTTTTTTTTTTTTTTTTTGATGGAGTCTCACTCTGTCACCCAGGCTGGAGTGCAGTGGTGCCATCTCAGCTCACTGCAAGCTCTGCCTCCCAGGTTCACGCCATTCTCCTGCCTCAGCCTCCCGAGTAGCTGGCACTATAGGCACCTGCCACCACACCTGGCTAATTTTTTGTATTTTTAGTAGAGATGGGGTTTCACCGTGTTAGCCAGGATGGTCTCGACCTCCTGACCTCATGATCTGCCCACCTCGGCTTCCTTTTTAATCATAAATTCTGTCTTTAAATCCTGTCTTTCCTATCTTACTTTACTGTAATCAGTTAAAAGCAGGCATGCAGCAGGCTGCGTGCTTTGCAGCTTAGATATTTCTCCCACCAGATATCCTGGCTCATCACTCTTAAATTCTGCCTTCCGTAATCTTCTCAAGCACAAGCATAGTTCAGCCAAGTTCTTTGCTACTTTATAACAAGGATGGCCTTTGCTCCAGTTTCCAATACCTTGTTTCTTAGTTCCATCTATGACTTTGTCAGAGTGGCCTTTGCTATGCATATTTCTATCAACATTCTGGTCACAACCATTTAATCTCTAAAAAGTTCCAGACTTTCTCCAGTCTTCTCTTCTTGTGAGCTTTCACCAGGATCACCCTTAATGCTCTGTTCACAATGCAGACTTTTTCCAGCATTCACTTCAGAACTGTTCCTGCTTCTACCCATTACCCAGTCCTCAAACCCTTCCACATTTTCAGGTATCTGCTGTAACAACAATCCCATTTTTCAGTATCAATTTTCTGTCACAGTCTGTTTTCTATTGCTATAACTGAATACCACAGACTGGGTAATTTATTTAAAATAGAGGTTTATTTAGCTCATGGTTATGGAGGCTGGGAAGTTCAAGAGCATGGCACAGACATGTGGTAAAGCAGCAATCCCCAGCCTTTTTTGCTCCAGGGACCAGTTTCATGGAGGACAATTTTTCCATGAAGGGGATGGTTTCAGGATGGAACTGTTCTATGCCAGATCATCAGGCATTAGATTGTCATAAGGAGCTTGCAACCTAGATCCCTCGCAGGCACAGTTCACAATAGGGTGTGTGCTCCCATGAGAATCTAATGCCACCACTGATCTGACAGGAGGCAGAGCTCAGGCAGTAATGCTCGCTCACCTGCTGCTCACCTCCTGCCATGTGGCCTGGTTCCTAACAGGCTACAGACCAGTACTTTCATAACGAAGCCACTCCCAAGATAATGAACCCATTCCTGTAATAACAACATTAATCCATTCACGAGGGCAGAGGGATTAAGTTTCCAACACACGAACTTTTGGGAGACACATTCAGACCAGAGCAGGGAGTACTGTCATAATCTCATTTTACACATTTGGAAGCAGAGGCCCAGAGAAGATAAGTAGTTGCTCAAGATCACACACTGAATTGGTGGCAGAATGTGGATTTAAGTTCAGATCAGCTTTCTGCCCAAGCTCAGCCTCTCCACCACTCTTCCTCACTGCCTTATGGATGTCTTCACCCCTCCATCCCCCCACGTAAATTCCTGAATGTGAGGACAGTACTTCACTTGGAGTGGGAAATGGTTATCCTGTGCTCCACCTCTGATCTGGTGCTGGATTGAGGTAGAACCCCAGCCCGGCCTCCATGGGAGAGAGTGTAGTGATCTCAAAGTGACATTTGCCAGGAAGACCTCAACTTTGCTAACCCTTCACCCAGGCCCTCCCCTCCCAAGACAACATCCTTGCATATTCTATGCCCTATCTCACAAAGGGAAACCAGACTGGGTATAGAAGGTCCTGACTGTGTGCCAATGAGCAAATCTACCCAACATCGAGGAACACGCACTGGGGCATATCAGATGTTAATTAGCGGGTACCTAGGATGGGCTGTGCTTCATGGAAAAAGTGAAGGGACCTTTACTTGGGTAGAAGACAGACCCCATCAAAAGAGGCTTCTAAGACATCCTAACTTTGAGAATTTGGTCCTGATGCTTCAGAAAGGTGGTCAGAAAGGAAACCCCACTTCCCTCTGCTTGGACAAGGTATTTGCTTTATCCTATCAGGCTGATAATCCCAGTGGTTTGGGTTTGGGTACAGAATGGGCAAGTGCAGGCAGGACCTAAATCCTACTAAACAGCTTATGAGCCCTCTTACATTTCCCTTTTATTTTCCCTGAATGGAAATCAGGCCCCAGGTTGAATCCTCAGACCAAGCCTGGGAATTAATTAGGCATGTAATGCTCGTTAGCAGTAATGGATGTTCCTTGCTGAAGTCCTTGTGCAGCTTGGCACGGGGGACGTGGCCTCTGTGGTAGGAATTGAGCATTTTTTCCTGAGGAGGATCTTGACACTGCAGGGGCTCCAAAGCCTGTATGTAAAGTTGAGGGGTGGCAGGGCACAGTGGCTCACACCTGTAATCTCAGCACTTTGGGAGGCCGAGGCAGGCAGATCACCTGAGGTCAGGAGTTCGAGACCAGCCTGGCCAACATGGTGAAACCCCATCTCTACTAAAAATACAAAAATTAGCTGGGCGTGGTGGTGAATGCCTGTGGTCCCAGCTACTCCGGAGGCTGAGGCAGGAGAATCACTTGAACTCGAGAGGTGGAGATTGCAGTGAGCCAAGATCATGCCACTGCACTGCAACCTGGCAACAGAGCAAGACTCCATATCAAAAAAGAATAAAAAGGTTGAGGACTGTGTGTGTGAGTGAGGTAATGGATGTGTGGTCTGAGGCCTGTATACAACATGTATGGGATATGTCATGTGTATTGACATAGCATGGGTCCATGAAGGGTAGATATTACATGTGAGGTTTCTGATATATATGCACTGGGTGTGATGTGGAAATGTGGTATGGGCTGGATATGTCATGTGAATACCTGCCATTTTGCATGCGGCAGGTACATAGCATATGAGTTGCAGACGTGTGGCCTGTGTGCACGAGAAGTCATGTCTGAATCTCTGTGTGTGCTCAGGTGTTTGAGCCTGAAGGACATTGTCACTGTCAGAAGCAAGATTGCTGAGAATTCCCATGACATTGGGCAGAATTATGATCCCGCTTAGCGCTGAGATAACATTGGTTGGAGAAAGTATGGATGAAAAATGTCCCCAGGAATAGAAAAAGGAGTTACACTGGCTTAGCAGAGGATGAGCTGGTGCTGGGGAGACAGGGAGGAATACTTGATTAAAACTGAAAATATCTGTTACCAGGAGGGAGAGGTCCAGAGGAGGGAAAGGGACAGCTCAGCCTAGAGGAGCGCAGGAGGGAAGAGTCATAGGCAGTGGAAGCCGGAAGCCCCAGGAGGGGCGTTGATGTTGGTGGAGAAATGTGCAAAGAGGAAGGCCTGGGAGGGAGAGAGGAAGGCACAGAGGTCCCCACTCAGCTCCCAGGACAGAGGTAACTCATGGAAGTCTTGAGTAGGGGGCAGGTGGCCCAGGGCCCACCTAGAACAATTCTTGACATCTCTGGGTCTGCGCCCCTCAGGGGAAAGACCCCACCATCACACCACCGTTCATCAGTCACAGAGCAGCTTTCCTCTCCTCTTTTCCTGCTGTAAAGAGGTTTCAGTAATGTGGCCATGTCCCAAATGGGACACTTTTGAGACTGAAGAGTGCTATTAATAATTATGCCAGGCCAGCAGGTGAAAACTGGGACTGTCTCAGGCACACAGGATGTATAGTTTCCAAAGCCTTAGAGGTCAGGAAAGGTGAGTGTAAAGAGGAA
This sequence comes from Homo sapiens, assembly GCF_000001405.40. Classification (NCBI taxonomy): domain Eukaryota; kingdom Metazoa; phylum Chordata; class Mammalia; order Primates; family Hominidae; genus Homo; species Homo sapiens. The sequence goes on along the minus strand of NW_003315944.2, from coordinate 121,192 downwards.
GACTTCTCATTCCTCACCCAGGCTCAGCCTACCTCCTGTGGGCAAGGCTCCAGCAGAGAAGACCTCGAATGCCACCAGGCCCTTGAACTTGAACATTCTCTGCACCCCTCCCTGGCTCAACCCCCATCAGAACACCACAGGGTAGCATGGGCTTCTGAGAAAATCTAACCTCTCCCCAAAAGTACCCAGAATCATTTGAGGGCACCCAAAAAAAAAAACAAGGCAATTCTGTTTGCCTGGCCACACTTCTCTAAGGCTAAGCTCCATCCAGAATCCAACTGTTCATTTGAGCATCTCTCTCAAGATACTCTGGGATACAGACAGGGATGGATTCGGAGACCCCCAAACATCACCCTTCTCCCCTCCTCTCTCTCCTTGTAGTCATTTGACAAACATTTATTATTTGGCTATCTAACTTTTGCATTGTGAAAATGGCATTACAACAAAATTACAGGAAATGTTTAAAAACAAAAATAAATCACCTCTAGTCCTTCCACCTTAACACAGTAATTAATTTCGTTTTGCATAGTCCCTTCTGATCCTTGTCAGCATTTTGATTATGTAGTTATACACACATATAATTTTACATTCTAACTTTTTTATTTCACATTTTACCATAAGCATTTTTTCCACATAACATAGTTTTCATAAATATTTTAAATGGCTACATAATAGTGCGTTGGGTTTATATACCATAATTTACTTAACAATTCCCCTATTGTTTGACCATTTAGGTTGTTTTCCATTTGGGGCCATTGTAATGTTGCAATGAATATCTTCATGCATATAAATAATTGTTATTCTTTTGAATGATTTCCATTGGATACAGTATTACAAGTGGGATTACTGGGTCAAAGTGAATGAGCATTTTATGACCCTTGATATATATTGCCATATTGCTTTCCAAAATGATCATTTGATCATTCCTATTTTCAACATTATCAGTAATGTGTGTACCAGTTTCTGTATAACATTGTCAGCAGTGCATGTTATTTGTTTCCCTAAATTGCTAATCTAGGAAGTGTAAAATAGGACCTCCCTGTTGTGTTAATTTGCATTTACTGGCTTTCTAACAAGGACAGACATTTTCTGTGTTATGAAAGACCTTTATTGGATACTTACTATGTGGCAGGGTCTGTGCTGGGTGCTGCAGGGGCTGCAGAGATAAGACAAGGTCCCAGTCCTCAAGCTTGCAGTCCAGAACAGACAGGGATACAACTGATCACCAGGAAGAGGAGACTGGGTACAGTAAGACTGGGTACAGAGACATCTTACTGCACCCAGTAAAAGGGAGCTGAGACAGGGGACTCTGGGAGGAAGCTGGTGGGTGTGCTGACATCACAGTTGTCAGAGCACCTTGCATCTGTGTGCTACGTCCCTCTTTTCAGAGGGTTTCCCTCTTGATCTTTTTTGACCCTGAATATTCCTCCAAGACAATTGTCTTCACTGTCCCCATTTTGCAGATGAGGAAGCTGAGGCCCAAGTCTGTTAAATAACTCACATTTGGTCACAGCTTAAGGTGCAGAGCTTAAGAACGCTAGCCTGGGGTTTCTGATCCTAAGCCCAATGCTCTCCAGGGGACATCAGGCCAACAGGAGAGGAGGGCATAGAGGGCAGTGACTCTCAGCCCTGATCATGCATCAGAACCACTGGGAGCTGAAAAAGAAAAGGTAGATTCTTGCCACCCCCACCCAAGATTTGTGCAATCTGAATCATCAAGGGAGGGGCCCAGGATCTGAAGCTCCAGACTCTCGGGGTAGTTCTGAGGCACTGCCTGGCTCGTAGCCCAGAGATAGGGGGTGATGGAACAGGAAGTGGACCTGCAGTGGGGCAGAGGGGAAAGCTGGGGCTTGGCCATTGTGAACGGGAAGAATGCATGGGGCACCCATTATCTCAGCAAATGTTACGGTGCACAGTGATGGAGCAGAATGAGTTTCAGGTGGCCCTGCCTTATCATAGGCCCCTGTCTGTGAGGGATGGTGACTGCCAGTGGGTTCAGCTTGACGTGGTCACTGGTACTCAGGCATAACAGCCCAGTGCTGCCTCAGAAGAGGGTGATAAGTTGTTTACAAGAGCTACTGGGAACCCTAGTGTGGACTCAGCCTGTGGCTGGAAGGGGTAAAGTCGGGATTTGAACCTGTGTCTTCTGAGTCTTTGTGTGCTGATCAATCTGGAAGTGTGCTGATCAGTCTGGAAGTGTGCTTGTTTCTGAGTGAGCTTGCTGGCCTGGCCAGGGCCCTGGAGCTTGCTGGGAGGCCCAGAAGGGTCTCCACAGCTAGCGTGTCCAGTGCCCACTGGATTTCAGGACTGGGAGTGCTGGTGCATGAGGGCTACCAGAGATAATCAGGCGGATCACAGGCACCAAGACATCACTGCAGGTGGGATATGTGTCCTTCCAGGTAAAAGAAGAAAAAAGGGATATTTTCAATTTACATTTCATATAAATGACACCATTTTATTCTCCCACTGATCCTATAAGGCTCCTGGGGCAGTAAGAGCATACCTGTTTTACAGATGCAGATGTGAGGCCACAGTTGATAAGTACCTTGCCTAAATCCACATAGCCAGAGCAATAATGCTAGGCTTCGGCCAGGTGTGGTGGCTTATGCCTGTAATCCCAGCATTTTAAGAGGCCGAGGTGGGTGGATCATGAGGTCAGGAGATCGAGACCATCCTGGCCAACATGGTGAAACCCCGTCTCTACTAAAAATACAAAAAAAAAAAATAGCTGGGTGTGGTGGCATGCGCCTGTAATCCCAGCTACTTGGGAGGCTGAGGCAGGAGAATCCCTTGAAGCAGGGAGGCCGAGGTTGCAGTGAGCCAAGATCGCGCCACTGCACTCCAGCCTGGTGACAAAGCAAGACTCCGTCTCAAAAAATAATAATAATGCTAGGCTTCAAATACAGGTCATCAGGCTCCACATCCTGCACTGCCTCAATTAGGGGTGCATCCATTCCACAAGCGTTTCCTGAGAAGCCGGAGGGCTGGCAATGAACAAAGATGATAAAGCCGTGGTCCCTTCATCAAGCAGTGCTACTCAAAGTGTGGTCCCCGGTCCTGCAGCATCAGCACCACCTTGAGCTTGTTAGCAACACAGAATCTCAGGCTCCTCGCCACACCTCCTGAATCAGAATTTGCATTTTAACAAGACCTCCCAGGTGATTCTCATGCACATTAAAGTTGAAAAAGCCTTGTCTCTAGATAGCTTCTGCATGCTGGCTGCACATTAGAATCACCTGGGGAGCTTTGGGGAGTGGGGGAAATCCCCTGTCAGGGCTCCATCCCCGGAGATCTGAATCACAATCTGGAGCGGGGCCTTGGCATTGACATTTTTAAAGTTCCCCAGGTGATTCTAATGTGGGGCTAAGGTGAGGAGCCACTAGTCCGGGATGTTCTAACCGATGCTGGTCAGGCCTTTCTCTCCTGACTGCCCTGCCCTTTTCTCCTTTTAAGTTTTCTGTGCTGTGCAGTTGGGAGGCATTGTTAATTATCATCTTCAGGAAATAGGTGGGCCAGGAATTCCCCCATCATTGTGGGGTTGAGATGCTGGACCCCAGAGCTTGGGAAGCAGGTCCTGGGGTCTGGATTAGAAGTTCACAGAAGTGTAAGTCTGCAAGCCCAGACTCAGCCTCGGCGGGGGGCTGAACAAATTAAGAGACAGGGGAATGTCCCGAGAGGCCTGAAGGCAAAAGGAGGTATGGTCCGTTCCTAAGGACTCACAAAGCATTAACAGGAGTGGATCTGGGTGGCAGGTTTCATCATCATTCCCATATTATAGGTTAAGAAATTGAGGCTTGGAGATTTTAGGTTTTAGCTCAAGGTCACTTAGGCTTTTAAGACCTAGGACTTGAGCAAAAGTCCGACTCCACCGTGCTACCCTTGTCCTCAGGGTAAAGATCTAGAAGAGGTAGTGGACCTCCTCGCCTCAAGTCCCTCCCTTTGGAGCTTTCTCCAGCCCAGCCCCTCTCCCTCCTCCCTCCTCCCTGCCTCAGGCTGACTGAGGGGCCCAGCATGAGTTTCAATAAGCCAAGCAGGAGTGGACCACGAGGAGCCCCCCCACTCAGGAATCAGCCTGGGACCAGCCCCTCCCTTGGGTGGCTGCCAGCAGCAGGGGACTTCAAGGAGGGGGCAAGGAGAGGAGAATGCGGGTGTGTTTTCCCCTTCTCTTGGGCACTGGCCCAGGTTTTGCATAGACTTGCTGGAAGAGAGAGTTCAATTTGGCTCTGATACAAACTCCACAGTCACTGTACTGTCATCTTCATTTAGTTAACGTTCTTTCTGGGCAGACCTGGCCGGAATTCATCTTCATTATCCAGTGAGGGGCTCACTCCAGGCCAGCTTTGATCTCCTGCAGATGATTTCCCCTGACGGCCATTAACAGGGGTGGGGGAGGCTCAAAGCCAGGGAGGGGCGGGTCACACTCCCCCAACCAACACACACCACAGCTCCCACTCCACCCAAATAGGTGCCCAGTCCACTTTCAGCAGGACCCAGTTCGCCTCTGGCCTCTCTTAGCTGAGCTGGGAGGGGCTGAGATCCTGCTTCTTCCTCTCCCTGCCCCTACAGTGCCCCCGTCCCGGCCCCATCCCTGAAAATTACCACCCACAAAGCCCTTTATAGAGCCCCTTCTCCTTTGGTTTTCACAAGCTCTGAAGCCAGAGCTACCAGGGATTCAGTCCTGGCTTGGTCACTTATATAGTGACCTTGGGTGATTTACTTCACCTCTCTGAGCCAGTTTTCACATCTGCAAGATGGGGCAACACCACCAGCCTGACAGCATTTTGGAAATGATGCCACAACATAATGCATGTAAAGGGCCTAACACAGTGCCTGACACACAGTCAATGTGTTATTACTACTTCTTTGAGGCAGATATTAGCACACCTGTTTCCCAGATGAGGAGGCTCATGGAAGTGCCTCTGGCCAGCTGTGTGACTTTGGGAAAGTCATTTCTTTCCAAGCCTCAGTGTCCTCCACTGTGAGATCCCAAAGGTAACATCCCCACCTCCCAGACTTGTGTGAAGGTCAGCTGAGAGAATGTGTGGGCGCAGCCCCGGGCGCCCCAGGGCTGACTGCAGGTTCAGAATTCTGGAGCTGGTGGCGCTGCCCCCATGGAGGGACTTGTTCTGGGCAGCCATGTTCCCCAAAGTACCTGAACTCTAAATGGAGGCCTTTGTGGCTTTTAAAATTCTTCCAGCTTTTGGTTTGGGTACCAGGAGTACAGAGACTGCTGGGTCAGCAAGATCCAGAGTCTGGTTCCTCACTCTGCTCTGGGTTCCCCAGGAACGAACCAGCCCCACCCTGAGCCTGCAGTTCTTTCCCACTGCTCAGCCCACCCACCTGGTTTCTGCTGGTGACCTCCATCCCCTCTGTCCCAACTTCTCCTGCCCTGGTCCCAGCCCTAGCTGTCCCCATCCTCAGCCCACCACTGGCAACCCTGTATGCTCCCCTCCCCCTGCAGCCTTCAGACCGACCCTCACCATCCCCAACCCCATCCTTGGCTGCCAGTCTAGCCTCAAGTCTTTCTCGGCAGGGCTGTGCCCCAGCTGGTTTTAATCCCCTGTGATTGGCACTCTCTGACAGTGCAGGGTAAGGACATTTGGTCTGAGCAACTGGTGCTTCACTGCAATTATCTGCCCAGGGCAGCAGGGTCTGTAATCCAGCCCATTGATTCAGTGGCTTTTCTTCTGCACACACTCATGGGCACGCCGACCCCACTTGGGTCTGTGCAGACTCTGCAACGAGCAGAGACAGAGGAGCCTTTTTGCAACTGGGGCTGTGAGTCTTTGAGAAGAGTCTCCATTCAAAAAGGCCAGCTAAGAGGGATTCATAAAGTGCCTTATAAAGCCACACAGATGCCTTGTGTTCCCTGGCAGGGAGCCTTGGCTGACGTCCTCACACCTGACCACCCATTCATCTGCCTTTTCACTGGGTCTGCATGTGGCCTGGGCACATGGTTACAGTCTCTAGCCCCAGCTGGGCCTCCTGCAGACTGGGTTACCCTGCAGGGCCATGTTTAGAGGCTCTCATGGATATAGCTGTGCTTCTTCCAGGCAGGCTCCAGCCCCAGGCCCTGAGCTGATGGGCAGTTTGCTGCACCCTGGAATTCAGAGCAAGAAGCAGCTGCTACTGGCCTCTCTCCAGAGGACGGTGAAAGAGTGGAATCTCCATCTGGGCTTTTCTCTGAGCCCAAGGGACCTAGAGCTTCAAACAAGTTTGTTTTTTTTTTTTTTTGAGATGGAGTCTCACTTTGTTGCCCAGGCTGGAATGCAGTGGGATAATCTCAGCTCACTGCAATCTCTGCCTTCCAGGTTCAAGCAATTCTCCCTCAGCCTGTGGGATTACAGGTATCCACCACCATACCCGGCTAATTTTTGTATTTTTAGTAGAGATGGGGTTTCACCATGTTGGTCAGGCTGGTCTCGAACTCCTGACCTCAAGCAATCCACCCCACCCGTCAGCCTCCCAAAGTGCTAGGATTACAGTCATGAGCCACTACCCCCAACCAATTTTTTTTTTTTTTTTTTGAGACAGGGTCTTGCTCTGTTGCCCAGGCTAGAGTGCAGTGGTGCAAACACAATTCACTACAAGCTTGACCCCCACCCTCCACCCCCAACCCCAGGCTCAAGTGATGCTCCCACCTCAGCCTCCTGAGTAGCTAGAAGTACAGGCATGCGCCACCACGCCTCAGCTAATTTTTTAAAAAATTTTTTGTGGAGATAGGATCTCACTATACTTCCCAGGCTGGTCCCAAACTACTGGCCTCAAGTGACTCATCTGCCTCAGCATCCCAAACTACTGGGATTATAGGTGTAAGCCACTGTGCTGGGCCCAAACAGAAATGCTTAACCTGGAGTGCATGCACTGGGCCACAGTATGACCATGAACTCCTTGAAATTATGTACAAAGTCATACGTGTGTGTGCCTGCATGCATGCACATTTTGGTAGAAACAGTCCACATTTTCATCAGATTCTTAAAAACGTCTGTCACCTAACAGTGTGGTCAAAGCACAGCTGCCTGAGGCCATTGGGCATGACCATCAGCACTGCAGGTAGGCCCAGAGGCCACACTGGGCACTTTTTTGCAGGAAATGTATTGCATTACCTTACATGGAGCTGAGAGAGTACATCTGATGGAATCGCCAGCAGACCTGAGGGCCCACACCTGTCCTGGCTACCACCACATGCAGGCTCTGTCTGCAGGAAGGAGCCCTGAGCTCAGCCATCCATGACCCAGGGCCAGGGTGGCCCTCTGTTCTCGCTGCATGGGTCTTTATATCCTTATTCCTGGACCTTGTGGAGCCTCCAGACCCACCACCTGCCTGGCTAGACAGAGCCTCCTCATCACCCCCATGCCCTTAATCCCGCCTGACCCAAGAGGCATCACATGGCTTGTTCCTCCCTGTGCCCGCCCTTCCCTGGACTGCCCTGTCCCCCAGCTCTAGCCGCAAGTCATCCTCAGACTCTGGAGAGACATTTTGCTGTCTTGCCAGAAACCACTTTGAAATTTGCAAACTCTTGCAAATGGAATAGTGAACAGAGAGCAGGAGGAAATCCCCACAAGTGCCAGTGTTCCCCCTGCTCTCTCGGCTCCCCTCCCCATCCTGAGATGTCCAACTCACACCAGCCTAACTGGGTCTTAGTTCCACACTTTGCCAAACCAGCATGGAAGGGCAGGGGTATCTGGGAAACTCTGCCAGTCCCAGAGCCTCCTGTAGAAAAGCATTTGGGCTTGAGCCCCGGGCACTGGCTGCTGAATTTCCGTCTCCCTGGGACACAGCCTTTTTCCTTCTCACAGATTTTCAGAGCCAGAAAGGAGCTTGCAGACCACCCTGGCCAATTCTCCTCTATTTCAGACTTCACCTTCAGGACAGCATTATTGACTTTTTTGGTTTGTTTTATTTTGTTTATATATGTATGGCTTCTATTCCCAAAGAGATTGTAGGGTTAAGAGATTTCTTTTTATTCCAAGTGTCTACAACAGAATAAAGACTCATACATATAAAAGATACTAGGGCTGGGTTTGAATTCACATTGTCCAACCCTCTCATCTTGCTGACAGGGAAACGGAGGCTGAGAGGAACATTTGGCCTGCCCATGGCTTCCTGACCCTGAGCCCAACCTTCCTCTACTTTTTGTTGATTGATTGACTGACTTATGACAATATCAAGGAGCAGGAGCACCAGACAAGGTAGGGGTGGGCTCCCCAAGCGTTGTCCCTGCAGGCCCCTGCATCACCTCCCCAAGAGAGGTTGGGAATTTCTCAGGACCAGTGTCCTCCTGGACGGTGTGGAGACCCAACATCACTACTTCTGATGCCACTGGAATTCTTTTTTTTTTTTTTTTTTTTTTTTTTTTTTTTTTTTTTTTTTTTTTTTTTTTGAGATGGAGTTTCGCTCTGTCGCCCAGGCTGGAGTGCAATGGCGCGATCTCGGCTCACTGCAAGCTCCGCCTCCTGGGTTCACGCCATTCTCCTGCCTCAGCCTCCTGAGTAGCTGGGACTACAGGCGCCTACCACCTCACCTGGCTAACTTTTTGTATTTTTAGCAGAGACGGGGTTTCACTGTGTTAGCCAAGATGGTCTCGCTCTCCTGACCTCGTGATCCGCCTACCTCGGCCTCCCAAAGTGCTGGGATTACAGGCGTGAGCCACTGCGCCCGGCCGGCACTGTAATTCTTAAAGATATCTCCAGGAGTGAGGGAATTGGGACCAGCCAGCAGGAAGTCTCACCATTTCTTTCAACCTAATGCCAGTCTTTCCCCCAGACATTTCCCTGGGAAGGAAGAAAGCTTTCATTAGTGAATTGGAAAGACAGGCTTCAGATACCATTAAACAATACTTTTTATTGCAAAAGACAGAAACCCAACCTAAGGTTTAGGCAGAAATGGGGATTTGTTGCCTCTTGTAACTGGAAAGAACAGAGGTGGATGTTGCTTCAGGCCCAGCCACACCAGGGGCTCAGATGATGTTGTCAGCAATCTGTCTGCACCTTGCCTCGGTTTTCCTTTGTGTTGGCTTTGTTCTGAAGTCTTCTCTTCCCAAGTAATAGCAGAGATACACACCAACAGCTCCAGGACCACAGTCTCCCAGCCTAACAGCCCAAATGGAAGAGAACACCTACTTACCCAATGTTCCTGTTGGAGTCCCAGGATTGAATCCCATTGGCCAGATTGGGTCACATGCACATTCCAGAACCAATCGCTGCGACCAGGAAATTGAATGATCTAATCCTAGGGGCCTGGGCCCTGTGCTGTACAAGGGTAGAATCAACCTCCTACAGGACCACCTACAGGACCCGAGCTGGGGAGGGGCGGTGGCTTTATGCTGACAAAACAACAGCTGCCCGTTATCCCCTCCCCGGTTTAGCTCCATCACAACCCCACCTCCGTGTGCTTACCGGAGTGGCCATGGGCTGTCTTGGAATGGGCAGGTGAAGGATTGAAGGAAATGGGTAGCGGTGGAAATAGCTTACAAGCCCAGAGCCAGAAGCTGGTAGGCTTGCTGGAGGGATAAAAGCTCCTAGGTAACCCACACCCTGGCTCTAAGTCCGTGGGAAGGATGGCATAAGTGATGCATGTGAGGTTTTTCATATTGTCTTTATTGATCCTCATAAGAATGTCGTAAGATGAGGAGAAGAAACAGAGGCTCAGCGAGTGAGGTCGCATACCCGAGGTCACCCAGCAAGCAGTATTCCAACCCAATTCTCCATCCGAAGCTCTCAGCAGCATTCCGGAAACAGCGCCAGGCCCCCTGGAGGAGCCGGTCTGCTGCTGGCTGCGGGGCTGGAAGGGGCTTGCGGTTCCCTAGCCTCCCTCAGAGCTGCTGGGTTCCTGGAGGAGAGGCTTGTGCTGCCCCCAGGGGAGGGAGGGCAAAATTGGCCTAAGACCAAGGCAGCCGCAGGAGGGGCCAGCCTCTTGCAAATGAAATATTCATGGGGGTTATTGAATCAAGTTTTATTGGAATAAAAATACACTTGCTGAATACATTTATTTCCCCTGGTTCCTTTCAACCCCATTCCCTCCCTGAGTGATTTGATTTGGGGGCCACAGAAGGTTTTTTTCCCCAAGTAAATTAGACTTCGTTCAGCAGCAGAAGGATGCCATGTCAGGATTGGTGCTTGGCAAGGGGAGTGCTGTCTGCGGCCTCTGGGAGGACTGAGGGCCCAGAAGGGAAGGGTCAGGAGGTCAAGCTCCTGGTTCCCACGCACAGGCCCTGTCACCAAAATCATCCACACTCGCTGCACCCTCCCCTCTTTCTTGGCCTCCCTGCCCCTTGCCACTTATGAGGGACCAAGCCTGACGTGTGGAGACAGGGAGAGTCCCACAGGCCTGGAGTCGTGGTGATGGGCCTCACTGTCAGATGGACCTTCCGAAGCCATCTAAGAGGTCCCCATCTGGGGGGCAGAGCAGATGACTCTGCCCTCTCTGCCAAATCTCTCTTCTTTCTGCGTTTCTCCTCCTCACCTTAGCGTTCTTGGTTTCTTTCTCTTCTCTCCTGCTCTACACATCTCATTCTGGCTTCCCGGCCTCTGGCCTCTCTCCAGGGTCAGTCTCTCTCCAAATGTTTCTTTTGGTCTCAGTATCTCTTTGGCTGTGTCTGTGAAGGTCTCTTTTTCTTCCTAACCTCACACTCAGCACCATTCCACAACCCCACACACACTCACACAGAGTCTCATGCACAGGTGCACACTTGCACACGCAGACACCCTCACCCACGCATAGGCAGGCACCCGCTCGCACACACTCACACATGCGCTCACCAGCTTGCACACGCACACCCTCTCCCACACAGTCATTCACGGTCGTGGGCTGCTGGCTGACTCAGCAGATACAGCCAGGGTCTTCTGTCCCCACTCCCTGCCCTAGAGTGGGCATCTGGGGTTCACCTTACTCTTCATGCACTGCACAGAAACCACAGCGGGGCTGAGTCCAGGCCACCCTGTGCTGCCTGTAGCCCCACTCTCTTATTTCACAGGGAGGAGTCGGAGGGGAGAGCCTAGAGGAAGGAGCCCAGCCACAGGTGTCACTTCTCCTGAAGAGCACAGCTGGGCAAGGCGGAAGGACTCTCCCAAATGGGCAGGGCCACTGGCTGGCTGGTCTGTGCCCTGCTTAGTGACTGGAATGAGATGGGAGGGGCAGACTCTGAACTGTGCTGGGGGCTCCATGGACCCCGAGACAGTCAGGCACCCAAGGGAGACTCCCCGGCTCTGTGGCCCAGCCAGCCTCATCCTGTGGACTGCCCTTCCTTTTCCTGAGGCTGGAGGGACCCTGCTGGGGTGGGCACTGCCCCATCACACACATGTTGGTGCCCCAGTGCCCTTCCTCCCCGCTCCCTCTCACATTCACCACTTGACTGTTTCTGGCTTCAAGCCCACCCGGCTCCTTCCCTGAAGTGTGACAATCAGGCTCTTTGCCTGCCCTGCGAGCGGCTCCTTCCCTGAAACCCTCTCTTGTCCTTGAGGGCCTGCCTCTCATCTCTCTGTCTTCCTGGCAGCCGCTAGATCAGCACCCCAGTCCTTCTGTGCTCTACAGGCTGCCTGACAAATCAGGTTCTCCCAGCACTCCTGCTCACTCACTCTTAGGCCACAGTGCTCCCTTTGGGAAACCTCTCTCTGGACCCAAGACCAATGGTCATTCTGCGCCTGGAGCAAAGACATCAGCAAATAGCCTCTGGGCTTCGGCTTCTCAGACCCCTCTAGCAAGTGGAGCCGAGCCTGTGGGTACTGAGGAGAAGGGTGTGACCCTCAGACACCAGGGAGCAAGCAAGGACCTCCTGGGGGAGGCATCCTGGGAGGGGAGGAAGGACGGGTCAGACCAGCAGGGCCGGAGGATTCCGGGTGCTGATGGTAAGAAAAACCAGCTGTGGGAGGGAACATGGTGGCTAGACAGACCTGGCCCCATCCAGGTTCTTCACTTCACAACCTGTATAAGCTTGAGTAAGTCATCTGGCGCTCAGTCAGTTTTTCCTTCTGAAAAGTGGGCACCGTCGTATCTGTTTAGATGCTAAAGGATGAAATGTGCTTGGCCCACAGAAGGTGCTCAGTTAACTGCAGTCCCTATTGTCACCATCATTAGCAGTATCCTGAGGACCCAGGGGCACCAGCAGTTCCCTGAGGTGGCTCCCAGGCTGCCTGTCATCCTGACCATCTCTGCCAGGCCTGATAGGCTGCCGTCTGTCTGCAGATGACAGCTCCATTACAGTAATCATGGGCCTGGTCTGTGTGGCTTCCCCCTCCTCCGTCCCCTACTGCTTATGATAATTTAATCGATCGCACTCACCCGGGCTGTGCTTCTCCAGCAGCTCTTCATGACTTAACTTGGGAAGGACAGGAACAAAAAATAACCCCTGTCCAACATCCCTGAAATTAGGAGCTTTGGCTCTGCTCTGAGTCAGACGACCATGGGTGAACCAGAGAGAGCTTCGGAATCTCCCCTCATGGAGGTATCAGAGGAGAAGGGAAATCAGTCCCTGCCCAAGTTAGGCCACCTTTGGGAAAACTTCCTGTCTCTATAGGCATCCCTTTCCCCATTCACAGGGAGCAGACAAGTACACCAGCATAAAGAAGATTCATTCATTGCTAATTCCCACGGCATTTGAATGAATTTATATTTATAATAAATTAAGTGAATAAAAGTAAACCTCAAATACTTGTATAGCACTTACTATGTGCTAGACACTCTTATAAGGCCTTTACAAATAATAACTCACTTAAACTTGTCGTTTTGAAGGTGATATTCAGCTGTCAGCTTGGATTTGTAGCTGGAAGCTTTGTAAAAGAAGGCAGTTTGGATTGAAGACACTTTGTCGGTGTTGCAGGTTGTCAAGGGCGTTGCTAAGAGGAGACACTGTGTTTAAATTTTAACTCCTTGCTTCCAAAAAAAAAAAAAAAAAAAACTGAATGGATGGAAAGCAGAGTCTTTGTTTTTCTTTTAGAATAGAATGACAAATTGTTTTGCGGTCGTTAGAAAACTCGGGGTTGTGATTCTGATCTCACATAAAATTCATTGAACCATGTAAATGAGGCAGGCTGCTGCTCTCTGATGGCAGTGTACAAATATTGCAGGAAAAGTACTCAAGAGGAGGGTTATTTTGCAAACCTGGCAGCAAATAACTGATCCTCTTCTATAAATGATCCTAATTGATCATTGAAAGAAAATAAACCACAGGATGGAGGAGGGAAGCGGGAGCATGATATAGTTGAAACAAGATTGGCCATATAGTGATGATTACTGAAGCCGAGTGGGTTTTTTTTAAATTAGTTAAATAGAAGGAAAAGATAATTCTATAAATAGCTAATTCTTTGCCCTCTCCCATTCTATGATTTGATACCTAGGAATGTGGAAGGGTCTCTCTCCTCTCACCAAGACATCCATCCCAATGCCTACCCACCCACCCCAAGTAGGTGGGCTCTGATGAATCTACCAGAGCCCCCCCACCAACTCCCACTACCCCACTGAACCCCACCCAACCCCACCCACACAGTAGCACAGGGAAAAGAAGATCATCAGTGGATGAGCAGAGATTCAGGGCTGGGAAAGGTGGAATCTTCTCATCGTCCTCTCAGGCTGTGGCCCGGTGGCCACCTTGCAGTTCCCAGCACTCCTTCCCAGGGCAGGTGTACGCTGTCTATTGGATGAATAAATTAATCTAATTACTCACCACAGGTCTGCTTTTCTAGATTCCCAGGAACATTTGCTGAGCCCCTACTCTGTTCTAGATACTGTGTTGGGAGCTTGCTATGTGTGTTCTCATTCAGTTTTCTGGGAGTAGACTCCTTACCCCCTTTTTCATGATGAGGAAACTACACCTACCCCCATGATACTATAACTTTTATGACTTTCTTCACCAGATTATGAGTTTCTTGACCCAGGGACTGTTTTATCTTTCATCTTTATTTCCCCATAACCCTATCACAGTGAATGGTCAAAAACTGTTGAATGAACGATTAAATGAATGATTAACATTCAACAAGAGGTTAGATGGTGTATCTGGGTTATGCAGTTAGTAAGTGGCAGAATCTGGATTCAGATCTAGCCGAGAGCAACTTTTGCATCATCAGAGCTGCCCAGATGACCCTCACCCTCCTACAGTGGGCTCTGAAACCTCTAAGCTCATTCCAGTTGGCTGATGACCACTGCAGAGGTGACTAATCCAAAAGAGCAATTGCTGGTGAGGGGAGAGGGGACTTGGGTATGTAGACCCCTCCGTGTGGCTCCCTGGTCCACAGATAACTGTGTGCCGTGCTGTTGTGGTGCTGTCTTGCACTAGCTCATGAGAGTCAAGTGTGCACATCTCTTTGCAACTTCATGTTTTGTTACGTCATGTTGATAAGCTTGAAAGCAATCATGGTGGGACGATTTACACCATGGAAATTGGCAAATGCTACAAATCAGGACTTTTTTTTTTTCCTCTAGAGCTGGTTGTTGAGCGCGTACAAGCACATCCCTGACTAGGTTACAGCTGGCAACAGGAAGCTTCCAAGGGAAGTGCAACTGTGAAGCGTACATCTCTATGTGGTTATTTTCTCTGGGGAGGGCTGTCTGACCTCATAATTCATCCCTTGTCACTGGCTACAAGTTGCTACAGGTGCAGTGCTGGTAACAGGAAGCCCATGATGATGAAAGCGGAGAGTTCTCAGCAGTTTAATTTTCTTGCCTCTCACAGAAAGTGGCATCTCCATGTTGGGGAATGGTGGGGTGGGGTGGGAGTAGGGTGCTCTTTGTCCCTGGAGTTGCCTCCCCAGGACCTTTGTTGAATGATGAGCACTCTCCTCCTGGGGTACCCTGGGAATCTCAAAGCGGTTTTTCGTGCCTATCACTCTGCCTCCCAGATTTGTTTTTACAAGTGGTCTTTCTGAGGCTTTCTGGCTGGAAATTCTGGAGCAAACCCAGTGCCTGGAAGAGGAACAATGGAAGCCAGGTCATTGTTTGACATAACCAAATCTTGTTTAGCCCTAGGAAGGAGCCACCCTAAGGGGCAGATATATTATTCTCCTGTATACTGGATCGAATAGTGTCTCTGAAAATGAATGTCCATCTGGAGCCTGTGAATGTGACCTTATTTGGAAATACGGTATTTGCAGATGTAATCAAGTTAAAATTAGATCATACTGGATTAGTGTGGGCCCTAATCCAGTGACAGACATGGCAAAGTCTAGGAGTCCCCACAGTTACTCTCTTGCAGGTGCTATCAGTGCTACTCAACTTTTTATGTTTCTCTCTTCACGATCCCCATCACTACTGCCTTTGTTCCAGGTCTCCTTGGCTTGTGCCTGGACCATCGCCTAACTTCTAACGGCCTCTGTGTTTCCTCTGGCCTCTCCTCACTCAAACCCATTGTAATCAGATCACAGTCCCAGAACCACCACCCCAACCATGGCCCTCCTCTGCTCAAAGCCTGCAGTCACTTTCCTGGCCCCAGAAAGGAAGTTCAGATTCTCCTGTTGAAATTGATAAGACCTCTATGATCTGGCCCCTAACTGCTCCTCCAGCCTCAGTCTCTCTTTGCCTTCACTTGCCTAAGTCAGCCTGTATCCAACTGGAACTACTCTTATTCATTCCCTATACTTTCCCACCTTTGCCAGGTGCAAAGTCTCACTCTTCTCTTTACTGATGTGGTGTCCCCTCTGCATTGTCATGAGACTATATGCTTCCTATACAGTCCCCACTATTATACGGCCCTTGGGTGTCCTTCTTTTCTTT
Organism: Homo sapiens; assembly: GCF_000001405.40. NCBI lineage: Eukaryota > Metazoa > Chordata > Mammalia > Primates > Hominidae > Homo > Homo sapiens. The sequence continues at coordinate 105,490 of NW_003315944.2, read as the reverse complement.
CTCCTTCAAAAGAATCATGATGGGTGTTGGAGTAAGACAGCCCAGCTTCAGATCTTTGGCCTCAATTCACTGTGGGGATATGGCAAGTTAATTGATCTCTCTGAGCCTCAGATTCCTCCTACATCTGTTCCTCAGTGAGTTGTGGAGATTAGATTAGAATGTGCATGTCAGGTGCCCAGCACAGAGAAGTCACTCAGGAAATGGGGGCTCCTTCTGTATCCCCAAGGACTCAGGATTGCAGGTGTGCAACATAAGTTGCCATGTTAATATCAAGAGCAGTTGTGGGGCCTGGAGACCTGGGGTGGGGGTGGGAGGCCTGAATTCTCAAGGCCCAGACAGAGGATAATGGCAAAGCAAGCACAGAGCCTGAGTGGGAGGGTGAGGCTAAGAGCAGACAGGGCTGGCTCACCAAGGCCACTTGGGTACTGACATGCTTCCCTGACTGACGATGGAGGCCAGAGAACAAGATGAACTCTGCCGCTGCCCTCTAGTCTCCTCCAGCTCAGCTTCCATGTGGATGGGAAAGGGCATGGAGGACAAAGACTTGAGTTCCAGCCCCACCTGGGCAATGACTCATGAGCTATCTTGGTCAAGACCCACTCCTCTGTGGGCCTTGCTTTCCTTATCTGTAAAATGACAAGGCGAAAGAGGAGAATCTCCAAGGTTCTTACTACAAAAAGGACAATGAGATGGAAGTTAATCTCCACCCACTGATACAGCAGCAGAGTTCCAAACTAAGCCCGGTCCAGCTGGCTGGCCCTTACTGCAGAACCCCTGTGCGGGGGCTGGCCCATCATCATCACTGGCCCTGCTTCCTAGAGAAAGCTGGCAAAGTCTGGGATGGCCTCCCCAGGGCTCCTAGGGGAAGCGCTGCTGCCTGGTGGCCTTGATGGCTGTGGCTTTTGGCAGGCAGGGAGCAGAGGGCAGGTGCTTCAGGGCCCAGTTTAGGGCTTGTGGGCATCACAGAGATGACAGCTGCATCTGCCCTCCTTGTGTTTTCTTATTTGTTCCCAACAGGAAATCGATAATGTCAGAAACTGTGGGATAACTCTACAGGCCCAATCAATGGAACCTAATTAATTCAGTCGTGGCCGTTGGGTAAATTTGCTGCATCATAATTAGAATTATTAATTAAAAATAGGAAATCGATTGACACAAATTAAGCAAAGGAGGAGTCAGTTGGGCTGCTTTGACATTGCATGGGCAGGCGCTTGAAGACATCCCATTGGCTCTAGCTTTGGGGTCTGTCATCCCACATGAGTCCCAGACTCCCCCACACCACAAGAGCCTAGCTCCAGCACCTGCCACTAACTAGGGAGCGGAGAGCCCTGGGCCTCCAAATGCCCAAGCTGGAGGCCCTCAAGAAGCATTTCACCCAATACTTACATTTTTTAATGAAAAACAGTAAGGATTTTAGGAGAAAATATATTTCTGCTCATTATTTTGCTTTCTTCTTTTTGTGTTTATAATGTTTTTGGTAGAGATCAGGTTTCACAATGTTGCCCAGGTTGGTCTCAAATTCCTGGGTTCAAGCAATCCTCCTTAGCCTCCCAAGTAGCTGGGACTACAGGTATGTGCCACCACGCCTGGCTAATTTTTTTTTTTTTAAGAGATGGGGTCTCACTATGTTGCCCAGGCTGGTTTCAAACTTCTGGGCTCAAGTGATCCACCTTGGCCTCCCACAGCATTGGGATTACAGCCACCTCATCCAGCCCTATTTTGCGTTCTTTATGCACATGCATACATCATCTTACCATAATACATACATAATTTATGTGCTATTGTGTTCTTTTTTCTCTCAACATCATGGCATAACTGTTCCTTTATTTGCACAAAATTATCTTTTTGAATGGCTGCATAGTATTCTCTGGATATACCATAATCTGCCTAACCAGTTCCCCATTGTTGGCCATTTAAGTTGTTTAATAATAATAATAATAATAATAATAATAGCTAAATTCCCTGGGGGTCCATTCTCACTGCTTGCACTGTGGGCGCTACATGCATCGTTTTTTCTGATCCTCATGACAACCCTCCGAAGCAGGTGCTATTAGGATCCACTTCAGATGGGGAAGGGAACACTCAGAGGAGTTACGCGACTTGCCCGAGTGACTTGTCTGGGGTCACTGGAGGCTTGCTGAAGTTGGGGTGTGGGAAGATGAGGGCTCTCAAGTCCGAGGTTGTTCTGCCTCTGACTTCTCGATGTTCACAAGTGGGTGGCCACACACAGCTTTCCGCATCTCGCTTTTTCTTGTCCCAGTGTCGTTTTTATAGATGAAGACACTGAGGTCTGAAGGGAGGAAGTGATTTAGTCCAAGTCCCATAGCTGGGCAATGGCTTACCCAGGAAGGGAGCCAGGCCTCCTGGTTCCCTGGCCAGAACTCTTTTGACCTGCCTCCCACTCCCATACCACCTTCCTTCTCAGTCCCCTCCCTCCTCACTGCTCCCTCAGGATCCTCTGAAATCTTACGGTGGCCACAAGTGGGCACAACAATCCCTGAGAACATCTGTCCTCAACTGAGTGCCGAGACTAAAGCCCTTGGAGGGTCAGAGCAGCTCCTGCCCCACCTGGCATTTCTATACCAGCTCTGGGATGGTCACCACCTGTGACTGCTCCTGCCAGACCCCCTTTACACACACCCTGTATTGTACCAATGAGTGTGGCTGCCACATAGAGAGTCTCCATTGTCCCCAGTGCTCTAGCTGGGCAATTCCCTCCCAGCACCTGTGCCCCTCTCCCCACTGCCACACCCAATGGCTTCCCACTTGTCAAGAGTGGACTTTCTGACCATGCTTGAAAGTGGTTTTCTCAATCCTCATTCCACATGCTGCCCACATGGACTGGAGCCCAGTTAAGTTGGCTGTGGGTTATAGGCATTTCAGTGGCTCCTAGTGGTGGAACCCCATGTTTTCTTTCCCATTTAAGAAAACATCTAGACATGCAAGTGATAGAGAGGGAAGTTATCATGCACGTCCAACATTGACACTCTGTTATTTAGTATGAGAAATAAATTATTCGCCAGCTTGGAACTACGTTAGTAGCAAATCACTTGTGACAAACCCTGCACTCTATTCAATAGAGCTGTCCAACCTGCAGTCCATGGGCCGCATGCAGCCCAGGATGGCTTTGAATGTGACCCAACACAAATTCATATACCTTCTTAAAACATTATGAGATTTTGCTGGGTGCGGTGAGTCATGCCTGTAATCCCAGCACTTTGGCAGGCCAAGGCAGGTAGATCACTTGAGGCCAGGAGTTCGAGACCAGCCTGGCCAACATGGTGAAACCCCATCTTTACTAAAAATACAAAAATTAGCATGGCATGGTGGTGCACATCTGTAATCCCAGCTACTCAGGAGGCTGAGGCATGAGAATTGCTTGAATCCAGGAGGCGGAGGTTGCAGTGAGCCGAGATCATGCTACTGCATTCCAGCCTGGGTAATAGAGTGAGACTGTCTCAAAAAAAAAAAAGAAATTATGAGTTTTTTTGCACTTTTTTTTTTTTTTTTTAGCTAATCAGCTGTTATTAGTGTGTTTTATGTGTGGCCCAAGACAATTCTTCCAATGTGGCCCTGGGAAGCCAAAACACTGGACACCCATTCTCTATTGGATTATGCTGGTTTGTCATATACAACACCACACTAAGAGCACCTCATCCAAAATATGAAGATTATTCTGCACTGGTACTAAAAAATATTTTCTGAAATACCTACAGCTTTGGACAAAGTCATTCAAGCCTTCTTCCCCCTACCCACCTTTTCTTTAGAAACCATATGTGGGCCGGGCACGGTGGCTCACGCCTGTAATCCCAGCACTTTGGGAGGCCGATGTGGGTGGATCACGAAGTGAGGAGATCGAGACCATCCTGGCTAACACGATGAAACCCCGCCTCTACTAAAAATTCAAAAAAAATTAGCCAGGCACGTTGGCATGTGTCTGTAGTCCCAGCTACTCGGGAGGCTGAGGCAGGAGAATGGCGTGAACCCGGGAGGTGGAGCTTGCAGTGAACCGAGCTCACGCCACTGCACTCCAGCCTGGGCAACAGAGCGAGACTCTGTCTCAAAAAAAAAAAAAAAAACCATATGTGACCCAGAATTTTCACTTTCTAGATTCTGCTCAGTGGCCCCAGCCTCTGCTTTTGAAATACCCACCCCTACAACTCACCCTAAGACACCTATCCTCCCAGGAAGGGGTCAATGGGTCTTGGGGAAAATAAAGTCTTGAGTCATAGATGTGAGTCAGCCTAACAGAGCCTCCCAGCCACTAGGAAGCATCCCCAAGGACACTTCCTCTTCCCAGAATGACATGCATTCCCCTGCACCCTCCCCACCCCCATGACTCCCAAGAAGTACTGTTAAGGGACTGGTCTTTCCTCTACTGGTAATTTATAGCACTCATGTGCTATTTAAAAAAAAAAAAAAAAAAAAAAACTTAGGTTAACGTGTTCTCTAACCAACTTAATTACCACAAGCCTCCTTCTGAAGATCGTTCCAGCTAGTTGAATATTAATCTGCAATTCAAAGAGTCCCCAGGCACAGATTGCAAGATCTTGTACATGCAAGTAATTAAGACCATAAGTAGACAGACTCCAACGAACCAGGGATTTCCTCCTAGAATGTAAGAGTGAAAAGCCTTTATGAAGTTCTGGTTACATTGCTGTCCTTTTCAGCAGCCTCCAGCTCACCTGGCAGGCAGGCTGGAACAGAAATTTAGGTTTTGCTATTTTGTGGGTCCTAGAAGAGGAGCTGTTGTAAGATAGAGGCAGAATGGTATAGAAGAAGGAGCCCTGGCCTGGTATTCCAGGCAACTAGTTTATAGCCCCTTTAACTATTTTTTTTTTTTTTCTAAGAGACAGAGTCTTGTTCTGTTGTCCAAGCTGGAGCGCAGGGGCACAATCATGGTTCACTTCAATCTTGAACTCCTGGGCTCAGACAGTCCTCCCACCTCAGCCTCCTGAGTAGCCAGGACCACAGGCACATGCCACCATGCCTGGCTAGTTTTAAAAATTTTTGTAGAGATAGGGCCTCACTATATTGCCAAGGCTGGTCTGGAACTCTTGGGCTCAAGCAATCCTCCCACTTTTGCCTCCCAAAGTACTGGGATTATAGGCATGAACCACCATGCCCTATAACTCTTTTACGGTGGGCAAGTCACTGTCCCTCCTGAGGGGCAGAAGCATCCTCATCTTTAAAAGAAGGGAGTTAGACTAGGCTGTAATTTTGTGTGTGTGTGTGTGTGTGTGTGTGTGTGTGTGTGTGTGCGCGCGCGCGTGTGCATGTGTGTTTCATCGTGAATGACTTAGTACTTAGCACAGTGCTCAAGTGACGCTGGGAAAATTGATGGTTTTCCCCTAGTGCTTAGAAAAAGGGTTGAAGGAAGGGCCAAGAGGGTAGGACTCAGGGACCCCTTCCTGACTCCTATCTCTGCTTCAACTACAACATCTCTACTTTTGTATATCTTGTATTTGTGGTTCTTTCTATGGTTTCACTAGAAGACAGGGTTCCCTGATTTTAAAAAACATTGTTGAAAACCACAGGCCACAGTGAAGTGTGTGGTTCCTGTTACCTCAACAGCCTCTGAGTTGATGACCCTGTGTTTCCCCTGGGCTCTTGGTCTGCATAGTGGACACTTCACTGTCCCATACATCCTCCTTGGAAGAGGCAGGAGGAGGTGCTGCAGAGAGGGCCTGAAACCCTGACAACCATGCCACAGCTCCATGCAGCCAGGGACTGTGCTTGATCTGTGTTTATATTGATGCTTCTTTCCAATACCCAACCCTTGCCCACCACTGCCCCCTAGCAGCACAGTGCCTAAATAAGTGCTAGGCACTTAGTAGATGCTCAGTAAATAGTCACTGACTGGGTGAAGGGGTAATGAGAATGTGCCCTCTGTGCCTTCTTTTCTTTTCTTTTCTTTTCTTGAGACAGGGTCCACCTCTGTTGCCCAGGCTGGAGTGCAGTGGCACAATCTCAGCTCACTGCAGCTTCTGCCTCCAGACTCAAGCCATCCTTTCTCCTCAGCTTCTGGAGTAGTAGCTGGGACCACGAGCACGTACCACCATGCTTGGCTAATTTTTGTATTTTTTGTAAAGATAAGGTTTTTCCATGTTTCCTAGGCTGGTCTTGAACTCCTAGTCTCAAGTGATCCACCCACCTCAGCCTCCCAGGGTACTAGGATTACAGGCGTGAGCCACCACACCCAGCCTGGGCCATCATTTCTTTTGTTTGATGTTTACCCTAGCATGCACACAGGGAAATTATTCAACTTTTCCCTGACAAGGAGAACCTAGCAGGGAATCAAAATATTTGAATTGAGGGGGAGCCATTTCACTTGCCTCTGGAATATGCTATGTGGTATAAATGTGTGACTTTATTTTCCTGAGTTTGTCCCAAGTATGGGCTTGGCTGTTGCTTAAGGCTAAACATTGCATAAGCCTCATGCTGCTAGTGATGCATGTAAACGCTGCCGTCAACATAAGGTAGTAGCCAGGGCTAGCCAAAGTGCCTGGTGACTCACGTGTGCTGACCTATGAGTCTTCCTAAGTTAGCACACTCAGTGCTGGCACGGTGGACCCTCAGCCCCAGGCAGGTCAACAGCGTGCAGCCGCTGAATCCGAACCTGAATTAGCCTTGCTGTTAGCCACTGAGCCAAGAGGGGAAGAATTCAAACCAGGCTAATAGAAAGAATGTGGTGAGGTAAACCCCTGGGTGAGGGAGAGGGAGGGGGCTTGTGTTTGTTTGCAATATTGGATCAGTGGGCTCAATTTCCTCTGCTTCCAAGGGAAAGCATGAAGGTCTCCCTCCCATTATGTGTCCACATGTGCACGCTTCCCTTTCTTGGAGACTGGAGGGGCTGCCAGCAGGGAGCTGCCCTTGGCTGTCTCCCAGCCATAAAGCCCACCTCTCCATGTTCACTGCTCTGCTCTTTAGAAAGGGCTTTTATATACAGGTTATTTAATGTCATTCGGATCTCTTATTCCTGGGATATAGACTGGAACAAAAAGCAGAATGACAGCAGCAATTAATTTTCCTGTCGAGGATGCCAGCAGCAGAGAGAGAGCCAGGCCAGAGCAGGGAGCTCAACACAACAGCAGGATTTGGAATTCACAGCCCTAGGAGTCTCTGTCTGGAATCCCTGGGCCCACCATGTATAAGTCATGCCCTTAGAGCTCAGCCACATGTGGAGAATGGGGGAAGGAGAAAGTTTGTTTACTCTCCAGACCTTGATGCTTGGCCCTGCCAAGCAGAGATTAAATGAAAATGGAATGGTTTGGCTTCTCCTCATCCCCCTCAGAGGGCTCTAGGCCAGCACTGCTTTAGCTCTGCAGGCTCAGGGAACTCAGGGAGAAGCCTGGTGCCTAGGTGCATAAAACATTAGAGCTGGCAGGGACTGAGTCCCATTCTTCATTCTAGAGACCCTGTGTTAGAACAGCAGCCAGAGCCCCGGGCTCCTGATTCCCATCTCTCCCCAGTCCCAGCCTGCCTCTCCTCTTCCTTCACAGCAACAACAAATAGGGTGTATGTGTGACTCATCTTATCTTTATCCCATTTATCTCTCTATGAGGTCAGGTCTTATTGTCTCCATTTTGCAGATGATGAATACTGAGGCTTAGAAAGATTAAATACCAAACATCGTACAGCGCCTCTGGTTAACAAGCCCTTTGTCATCTGATTCAGTTTTACTCTTACAGCCATTTCGGTGGATCGATTTTAGTAAACTCACTTCCCCCTAGAGAAAACTGAGGGTTGGAGAAGTGAAATGACTTTCCACAGCTAGTCAGTGGGTAAGTTGCACTTGAGCCCGGCTACTCTTCACTGCGTGTACATGTTAGTGGCTGAGCCAGGGCTAGAGTGTGGGTTCTGACACTCAGCCTGCTAGCACTTTATACCATCCCTGGTGGACCCCATTTCCTGGACACGATGACACTGTCCCTCAGCTCAATGAGTATGAACGCTGTGACATCATCCTTCCCACCTAAGATATGTCACTGCCCACCTCCACTCTGAAAGTCCGTGATGCTTGCAAATGTCACCAGCCACCATCTGAAAAGGTTTTTGTTTACCCACAGGGAAGCCAACTGGACCATTTTTCTTAAAACTTTCTCAAGGATTCTTCCAGCTTAACTCAAGCCTCCACACTCCTGCCTTTTTTGCTTCCCACCTTGAGAGATCGTTCCACTGCATACTTACTGGAGCACGAATCATAAGAGTATTGCCAATTTCTAATTATAGTATTGCACTTAAGTGTTTTCACAAGCATGTTTTCAAGCATTCTATCACCTGGTAAAATGATCTCCACTTGGCAGATGAAGAATCAGAGACTCACTGTTGTAAGGGATTTGCTCTGGGTCACAAAGGCTATCAGTGACTGAACCTGAACTCAATTCTGAGCTTCTGGCTCCCAGTTCTGTATTTTTCAGTTTAAGGCTGTGAAAGAACAAGCACCGACTAGCAGAAAGTGGAGGTGGGAGAAGAAGTTTCAGGAGAACAAATGCCAGAATCCCCTCCTGTCATTTCGATCACCAGGATATCCTGGAAATTAAACCATTAATTTGTATCTGTTTTTCTTTTTTAAGAGATGGAGTCTCCCTATGTTGCCCCAGATGGAGAGCAGAGGCCATTCACAGGCATGATCATAGCACACTGCAACCTCGAACTCCTGGGCTCAAGCGATCCACCTGCTTCAGCCTCCCAAGTAGCTGGGGCTACAGGCATGTGCCACCATGCCTGGCTTAATTTGTGTCTTATAGTAACAAGATTATTATTCTAGTTTCCAAGGTCTGTGTTCAAAATTTCATTGGGGTGGAATTCAGCACCAAGGACAGCACACCGGGTCCCATTGCCTGCAGAAATACGCTAGCCCTGGGTGTTGTGAGGCTTGAGAATTGGAAAGGTCCTCTCAGGTCACAGAGTCCAACCTTCACCCACTGTAGAATTCACTCCCACAATATTGAGTGCCTATCTGGCCTCTGCTTGAATACCTTTTGCAGTGGGGCTCTTACCACCCCCAAATTCAGTCCTTTCTGTTGATCCATAGTTTGCACTTAGAGACAGCATCTCCGTAAGTGCAGGAAGTCAGGGAATGGTGGCTGTTGAGAAGAGGTTCACCAAATTCTTTTTAAAATTATTAAATATTTGTGACATACAGGAAAATAGAGAAAATAACATGAAAAACACCCACCACTCAGACTGAACAAATATTAATATTCACTATATTTGCCCCAGATTCTTTTTAAGAAAAGAAAATATTACAAAAATACTTGAAGCCCCCCCTCTGTGCCCCTCCCTGGTTGAATTATCCTCCCTCTCTTTCTCCCCAGGGGTCATGTGTATGGTTGTTAAGACCCTTCATCCAGAAAGTTATGTCAGAGACAGAAGAGTTCCTAGAGACCTCCTTTTTCAATCCCTTCATGTAACAAATGAGGAAAACAAGGTCTAGGGGGAGGACTTAAGAGCTCAGGGGTGATCCTAAGCACTTTTACGGCTATTATCTTTACTTTCATTCCAGCTTTCAATGTGGGGCAGGACATGGATTGGTATGTCCGTTTTACAGGTGTTTGGGTTGTTTCTCTGACTTTTTAGCTCTCTCCCTCAGCTCCAAGATATTGAGTCACCCTTTTGCAAGTGGAAATATCAGAGAAATCACCACTGGAAAAGTTCCTCAGCCTACCCCCTTTTCCATATGAGAAATTTGAGTCATGGCCAAGATAACTGAATAATAAGGGAAATCAAATGGACTTGCCTTGTCGGAGGTCTAGCATGGGACAGAGTGGAGCAGGACTGTGGGTGCAGGAGCAGGAGGAGTAGCTTTGGTGAAGTTTAAGGCACAGGAAAGCAGGGGCTTCCAGGAACCTGGGCATGAAGGGGTGAATGGAGGGACTGGGCAGTGGGAAGGCTGGGCCTGAGCACTGAGGGCTTTGAATGCCAGGCCGTCATGCACCTGGACTTGAACCTTGATTTACAAAGAAGCCATGGAGAGGCTCTTGGCAGGGCAGTGACCTCACCAGATTAGTCATTTGGAAAGACCATTCTGGGGTGGGCAGAGGTGGGGTGAGGGAGGGGACTCGAAGTGGGGTGCTGGTTTGGGAGCCTGTTACAACAGTCTGTGGCCACCACGGCTGCTCTTTCTCCTGGTGCTGTTGGGTTGCTTGGCAGATAAGGCAACTCTCAGGCTTCACTGGCTTATCCTAGGCCATCTCCTCCCCACCCTCCATTCAGCCACCCCTAAGGATAGAAAATTTGCTTTCATGAGACCTAAGAAAAACATGACAAATAAGGAAAACCTCCATAACTCACTGGCACATGGCAGGGAAAAGACAAGCACATGGGGATGTCTAGGACTGTGGTTCAGCTCAGATGCTCTGATAGAAACAGCCCTGGGCCAGGCGTGGTGACTCACGACTGTAATCCCAGCACTTTGGGAGGCCAAGGCAGGCAGATCACTTGACATCAGGAGTTTGAGACCAGCCTGGCCAATATGGTGAAACCCTGTCTCCACTAAAAATACAAAAATTAGCCAGCCGTGGTGGTGCGCACCTGTAATCCCAGCAACTCAGAAGGCTGAGGCAGGAGAATCGCTTGAACCCAGGAGGCAGAGATTGCAGTGAATTGAGACTGCACCACTGCATGACTCCAGCCTGGGTGACAGAGCTAGACTCTATCTCAAAAAAAAAAAAGAAAAAAGAAAGAAAAGAAAGAAACAGCCCTAGACTTAAGAGAACTATTCTAGGCTCAGCCCTGGTTCATCCTGTGACCTTGAAAAAATCATTTTCCCTTTCTAAACCTCTGCTTCTTCACCCCAAAAAGGGAGAACTGGACTAGCTGATTGCTCAGGTTCTGCAGTTCTAATACTTTATACTGACATCCTCCTCCTCAACCTCTCTGAGTCACCTATGGGACTCTTGACTCTGAGGTCTGCGAACAGCCTGCTCAGCCCTGGTCCTTCATAATCATAATTGCTACAATTTATTGTGCATTTATCATGTGCTTGCACTGTGTAAAAACATTCAATTACTGCAACTACCCTACCATGTCAATGCTATTATCATTTGCATTCTACAGATGGGAGAAACTGAGGCACAGAAAGTTTTAGTAACTTGCCCAAGGTCACCTGCAGAAGCAGGACTTGACCCAGGTCCATTGGTGTCCACAGCTCATGCTCTGAATTCCTATACCTTAATGCCCAGACCCAAGCTCAGGCCCAGGCCAGGCCCCCACAGTAGTGATTTCCAAGTTCTCCTTGGTCCACTTTAAACCATGAGGCAAAAACTTGTCTGGGGCTCTCCTGGGCTTTGTGAGTGACCAGACTCCACCCCCGTCCTCACCCCTAGAGAGCTCTACTGAGGAGCCTACCTCCTGTTTGCTCATTTTAATAAGATTGTTCTCTCTCTCGAGCCTGAGTGATGACAGGTAGCCAGCTAGAACTAACTACAGTGTTAACTTTGCCTTGAAATCCTCTGCGAGCTCTGCAGCTGGAGACAGCTTGCGCCATGAGCTCATTAAGCAACAGAAGCCTGTCTCCCCACCACCAAGATGCAGGCAAGAAAACCTGTAACAGATCCACTTTTACACTGAGTCGAAAAGATCTGTGCTCACCCAATCCCCAACAACTTCCTTGGGGTTGTGGTGTGAGGGGAGGGGATTCCATTTCCCACCCCCAGTATTCAATTAGCTGCCAATTAGGCACTGAAAGGTCCCCCATCCCCCTGCCAGCCCTGACCCAGAAGAGGAGAGGACCGCAGAGCTCTCAGCCAGGCTCAAAGGCCTTTTGATTGTGCACCTGAGTTTATTCTGCTCCTTTCACTCAGGGCCTGGCTTCCTTTGAAAGTGAAATGTTTTAAAAGGAAAAGAAAAGAAAACCCCACACTTCGGGGAGGCCCACTGGGACCCCCTTTGGTTCAAACATCCAGTTCAAACGGCCTCCCAGCTACCCCCCTACATCTCCCAGCATGTCAGTCTGGGACAGCCTCACCTAGTCCTCCCACCTCCACCTCTTCAGGACCCAGCCATTGAGAGGGGAGATGAGAGAGAAAGAAAGGTGGGGCAGAGTAAAGGAGGTGAAAATGAGAGTGAGGCCACCGAGATGGAAATAGAGACAGAGAGAGAGGAGAGACACCAGGGAAGCTGCTTCTCAGCCTCCTGTCCTCTCAGGGTGGGGCTGAGCAGCAGAGTGACGACCACCATTTTAGTATTTCAGCTTCCAGGGAACCCGATGCTTGGCTGTGACAGCATCCTCTACCCGGCTCTGGAGTACAGAGGCTGGAGACCTGAGGGGCTCCCAATCCTTCCAGCCTGGGGAAGTGTCTATTTTTCCTCAGTTTCTAAGTGCCTCTTATTCCTCTCTCCTCCCTTCCTCATACCAGCCAGACAGAGCCACGAGGTACAGATGTTCAGGTTGTGCACTGCATAGAATAGACACAGAGAAACTTTCGTGGGGGCGTGTGGATGTGTGGGGGGACTCCAGCCTTCCCAGCAGCATCTGAGAGCAGCAGGGAGCCTCTCCAACATGCACTTACTGGCACACACTGCTGGCGGCTGCTCCCAATCCTAACTCTAGACATCCTCTGAGGCCAAATTTCTGTCCCCACATGTCAACTCTGAACCAGACAGGTTAGAGAACCTAGAGACTCTCCAACCAGAGTATCCTGCCCAAGTGTTTCCCAACACACCTGTGATGCCATTTCTGCCTCCAGCCTTTTGCCCATGCTGTTCTCCCAAGCTCCACCCCATCCTTTAAGCCCACTCTCCCTCCAGGCCCCACCAAGTCTCATCTCCTCCTAAAGCTTTCCCAGCCCTGAGGCTATCCTCCTCTTCCTACCTCAAGTGCCTTCACCTCTTCCTGGGGCCTTTCGCTTCTCCACTTTTAGTGTGATTTAGCCATTGTCTTTTTTCTTGTGGAATAGTGTCTCCGTCTCTCCACTCTAGGTTGTGAAGACCTGAGGACCATGTCATTTTGTTATCCCTAGCTTCTCTAACCATTTCCTGTATGGAGTTTGCTGATGAATTATTCACTGAATCAACAAATATTAATATCAACCCCTGATACACATCAGACAGCATGTTATGTCAGGGATTGTGTATACAGTGGGGAACAAAACAGACTTGGGCCCTGAAGCTGGTGCTTTTGCTTTTTTTTTTTCAAAGAGACAGTTCTCTCTCTGTCACCCAGGCTGGACTGCAGTGGTGCAGTTATAGCTCACTGCAGCCTGGAATTCCTGGACTGAAGCAATCCTTTCACATCGGCCTCCCAAGTAACTGGCACTAGAGGTGTGTACCACCATGTCCAGCTAATATTTAAAAATTTTTTTGTAGAGACAGGGTCTCACTATGTTGCCCAAGCCGGCCTTGAACTCTTGGCCTCAAGCCATCCTCCTGTCTCAGCCTCCCAAAGTGGTGTGGGCCACCATGTCCAGCTGCAGATGCTCTTGATTCCCTAGACCCCTCAGTGCTCACCTTTACACACCAGAGGCTGCCCCCAGCAAGCACCTGTCACTCCACCACAGAAGGACACACAGAGCTAGTGGGGAGCACCCAACACCTAAGCTGCCCTTCACCAAGGACAGGATAGAGAGGCTGATGGATAAATGCCCTGGCTTCCGTGCCCTTGACTGGGATAACTGAGGCAGTGGCCTTCATAGTCTCCCAGAGGTCCGGTGGGTTAAGCAGCACTTGTACTTCATCTCCCTTCCCTTCCCTGTGCACTGCCCCTTTCCCTTACCTGGCTTCCTGGAGCCACCTCAGGGTCTGCTTCTGGGGAAGCCCAAACCAAGTGCCTCCCCTGAAGGAGTTTACAGCCAGTGGATGATGATAATGACCTACCGTCAATCCTGACAGTAATTCTGCTACCTAATTAATTTACTTGCACATAGCATGATGCCTTGATCATTGACTTTATTCATTCATTTATCTCCACATTTTCTTGAATGTTTTGTTGAAATGTAGTACCGAGCACCTCCTTCTTGCCAGGCATTGAATAAGGTACTTTTGTATCATATCCTGATGGCAACCCTATCAGGCACACAAGAGCCCCATTTTATAGGAGAGATGAAGAAACTGAGACCCGAGGAGTGAATGCTTCCTCAGGTCATATGGGTGGTAAGAGGCAGAGGTGGGATTTGAACCCAGGTCTGTGTGATTCCAAAGCTCAGGGGCCTGATGGGTCAGTATCCACCTTAACCCAATGCAAAAAGCAGTGGGCACATGAGGTGGAGGAAGCAGGAAGGTTCTTGAAGCTTCTCTAAGGAGGAAGCATTAATCTGAGCCTAATTAAGGATAAGGGGGCTTTTAGAGGATGGAGAAGCCCCCCTCATGTAGGGTCTTCAGGGTCTTTAAGGAAGTGATACCGGGCAGGTGCAGTGGCTTACCCCTGTAATCCCAGCACTTTGGGAGGCCATGGCCAGATAATGGCTTGAGCTCAGGAGTTTGAGACCAGCCTGGGCAACGTAGGGAGACCCCATCTCTACAATTAAAAAAAAATAGCCGGTCATGGTGGTATGTGCCTGTAGTCCCAGCTACTCAGGAGGATCACATGAGCCCAGGAGGCCTAGGCTACAGTGAGCTGTGTCTGTGCCACTGTGTGCCAGCCTAGGCAACAGAACGAGACCCTGTCTTAAAAAAAAAAAAAAAGAAGTGACACCCACATGGAGGACAAGCGTTGTCCTTTGGAAGAGGCTGGGCCCCGCTAGACAGAATGAGGGGGTGCTGAGGCCTGGGCCACTTCTACCAAGTGAAGGTCATTAGATTCCCTCCAAAGTCCCAAACCCCTAAGAGCTCCCAGGATGTTCCAGCAGCAGAAAATGTAGATGTCCTGCTTAATGAAGCCTCCTGCTGCTGTGGGCCACGCCTGAGGTCATGAGAAATCCTAAGGGTCATTAACCTCACACCATTTGCTCAAGTGCTGGCTGTGTTCCTTGCTGGGTGACTGACGAGGCCATCAGCTCCCAGAATGGCTTTGGTCCTCCCCACACCCCCGAACCTCCTGCCATAACTCTCAGCTGCATGTGGGGACCCACCACCACCGTGACCTGCCCTCTTACGTCTCCAACTTCTGGCAAATGCAGCACCCGCTTTTAGTGACGGGTAAGAAAGATTTCAGGAATCATTGCTTGGCACCCAGAGACATAAATAACAATGAGGGGAACTATATTTAGTGAGGCCTCCGCTGCTCCTAAAGAGGGGCGCTGTAATTTAAGAAGTCTCGGTTTGTGTACAGCTGTCAGCACATTTTCTGAATCTCCTGGATGCACTGAGCTGCCCCAACTGCTCCTCCTGCCCTCACCTGGCTCCTCCCTGGCTGTGTCTTTCTTACCTGGCAGGGGAGTGCATCTCACCGGCACTGGGCAGTGTCATGAACAAATCTGAGGAGTGGAAAGACTCATTCTCTCTTTCTCTCTCTCATTCTAAGCGAGCAGGCACTGGCCTACCAGGGATGATGATGAGCTGCAGAGAGGGACTGTCTCCCTCTTAGACCAGGGTTGCAAGTCCTGCCACAGGGAAGTCCTGCTTTACTGCTTTCATGAATTCATGATGGAGCACTTAAAGTGCTTCCCATTGCTCTTAAAATCCCAGCTCCCTGCTGTGGCCACACATCACCTGCCTTCTCTACCTCACCTAGAGCCACCTTTCCCTCACAGTGCCCCCCACCCCTGCCCGTGCCTTGACTCTACCAAGCCTTTCCCCACCCCGGGACATCTGCCCGGGCCCTTTCTTCTTCCTAGAAAGCACTTCTTACCTCCCGCTCTTCCCATGGCCATCTCCTTCTCATTCTTCGGTTCTCAGTGTCCGGGTCACCTTCTCAGAGCGACCTCTCTGGCCTCCCAATTGAAAGGAAGTCCCTCTCATTGTTTTCTATCAAGCTCTTGTTTACACCTCCATACCCTTACTGCAACTTATAATTATATACTTACTTGTTAATTTATTCACTCATTCAGCAAATATTTATTGAGCATCTACTATATGCCAGACACTGTTCGAGGCGCTGGGGATATAACAGTGAATAAAACAGAGCCCCTGCCCTCATGGAGCTGACATTCTAGTAAGAATCCCAGACAGTAAACAAAAGGATGAAAGTAGGCAATATAGTGGTTACATCGTATTAGATAGAATAAGCGCTTTAAAGAAAAAAATAAAGCCAGAGGATGGGGGAGAGAGCTTGGAAAGGGTAATCCAAGAAGACTCTAAGGATGTAGTGTTTGAGCAGAGGAATAAAGGCCTTGCTTTGCTTACTGTCTCACTTTGCTGCTAGGCTGTGAGTTCCAGGACAGGACCATGGTGCTTTTATTCCCCACTCAATCCCCAGTGACTGGCACATAGCAATCAAGTCTTGTTGAGTGAATGAACAAATGACCCACCAAGCTGACCTCCTACTGCTGCAGCAGAAGTGTCGTTCCTTGGCTTCATCCTGGCAGATCCCAGGAGCATCCAGTCCCATCCTTTGATAATAACTCTCAATAGACAGGAATACCATTTGTCACTCACTCTCAGGCCTCCTCTCTCCAGGGAAACCAGGGGTCATTGTCCAGCAGTGATGGATAGAGTGTCCTCTGACTGGCAGACCCAGCTGGGAGCTCCTCTCAAAGTCCCTCCCCTGCCTGGGGACAAATGGACCATGACACAAATAACATAAATAGCAAGACAGAGTTGAGGAAGTCCCCAATCCCAAAGCGACGTGCTTCCCACCGATAGGTGGGGCCCATGTGAAGTGACTCCACTGGGGAAGTGGCGCCATGGAGAATGCTGGGTGGACCTGGGGTCTCAACTCTCCAACTCACCAGACCAATGGCCTTGGGCAAGCTGCTTTACTTCTCTGGGCCCCAGGCTATCCATCTGACCAGTGGGAATGCCAGTGTTTGCTCTGGTCAGCATAGAGGTGCTGTGGAAGCTCAAAAGTATGCTAGATGGTGCCTCACGCCTGTAATCCCAGCACTCTGGGAGGCTGAGGTGGGCAGATCACTGGAGGTTAGGAGTTTGAGACCAGCCTGGTCAGCATGATGAAACCCTGTCTCTACGAAAAATACAAAAATTAGCTGGGTGTGATGGCTCACGCCTGTAATCCCAGCTACTTAGGAGGCTGAAGCAGGAGAATCACTTGAACCCGGGAGGCAGAGGTTGCAATGAGTCAAGATCGCACCACTGCACTCCAGCCTGGGCGACAGAGTGAGACTCCATCTGAGATTAAAAAAAAAAAAAAAAGTGTGCTAGAGATAAACAGGGCTATTTCAAATAGCAAGTTTCCCACAGTATTTAAAGGGCAAGTTCATTGCACAAGAACTTGGAAGAAGGGCTACATAAAGTGAGGCAAATGCTCATTTGCTGTATTGGTTTGGAAATTCTATTTCTGCCTATCATTCAATGGCAGCTGTGAGCAGAGGTGCCCAACACTCATTTGCACCCCACAATTTGCTTTCCCCCTTTGGACGTGCTCTTCTCATCCCTGCCCTACGGATTTCCCCAGGTGACTCTGAGAGATGGAAGGCATGTCAAGGAGCATCCAGTGCTAGTGTCTTTATTTTACAATGGAAAAACTAAACGCCAAAGAGGGGATGTGTCTTCCCTGAGGCCACCCCGAAAGTCAGCAGAGGGACCTGGACTAGGACCCCAGTGTCCACAGCTCCCAGATGGGGTGAGAGGCAGGGAGGGTGGAGGCTTCCCCAGGACTCTGGTGACATCTGGATGCTCTCCTTAGGCAGGTCCCTTACCTCTCTGTGCCTCAGTTTGCTCATCTATAAATGGAGATGATGGAAGGGTACAGTAAGATACTACTTGTAAAGCACTCAGACAGTGCTTCACATATAGTAGGGCGCATTGTGTGTTTGCTGCCACTGCCCTGGACGTCCTGAATACAGCCAGCAGGCGCCAACCCACCAGGCAGCTGGTGGGCACCCTGCTCTGCCAGTAAGGAAGTCATTTGAATATCATCCTTGGTTATATTTATCATCCCCAAGTGCCTCATCCCTTAAGTAGCACAGCAGCCTCTGGGAATCTGCAGGACTTCCTGAAGGACACAGAAAGGACAGGAATCTTGCCTAGCTGGAGTAAAACCACCTGCAAACCTGTCTTGATGGGCTCTTCAGCTCTCCTCTGACCTGCGCCTAGCCCAGTGCTCTTCAGAGTGTGCTCTCTAGACATGCAGTCTAGGGGCTGTTACTGGCCAATGATGAAATAAGTAAGAAATTGAGAGTAAACGTTTAGCAACCTTTATGGTAATTTTGACATTGCTGTCACAGCCACGCACATGGTTGGAGGGTTCCTCTCATTGAGCAGAGTATAGACAAACTTGGGTGTTGTCAGATGTTCATGATGAGTCCCAGGTGGTATGAACATCACAGGAGTCATGCTCAGTGAGGACCATATGATGGATTAGAAAACAAACAAAACAAGACACTTGGTCTTTCCCCATGGAGAGTTTGGGAAGTAGTGGTCTAGCCTTTCCAGGCCCTCTGCAGCCTACCCAGGCTGTGTACCCGCCTTTCCAGGCTGCCCTGCCAGCCCTGCACGCCCCCTCCCTGTGCTCTTACCGGCCCCTCCACTCAGACTGTCTTCCCTTGTGTTCCCACCCATCAGAATCCCGTTCCTCCTTCAAGATCCCAGATCAAATCCCACTCATTACACAAGGCCATCCTAGGTAGATTAACCCCTTCCCCACCACACCCAAGCTCCCAATGCACTTTGACCTCTAGCAAGCCCAGCCTTCAGCATCTCATGTGACCTCTAGCTGCTGCACTTAAGCCCCACCCAGTCTGGACCCTACATCCAATCAGTTCTTAGTAGACCTAGGCCAAAGCAACTCCAAGCACCAGGAGCACCAGTTGGCTCCAGATGTTGCCTTTGCCAAAATGAAAGGTGGCACAACTGTGAATTCCTTTGGCTGAAACAGTGGTGGTGTGAATGCTGCTGGACGATCAGCAGAGCCAGTGAACCTGCTGGTGGGAACAGCCTCCTGCCAGGCCTTTGGGGTGCAGCATCAACTCCCAGGATGAACAGCCCAGAGGGCAGATCCCAGGTCCCTCCTGCCCCTGGCCCACGGCCCCCTTCTGGCTGACTCTCGGCTGCCCAGGTCCAAATCACCCTAACTTGCTTCACCTCTCCCTGGTGCCTGTGAACCCACAGATAAGCTGCTGGAGTCGCTTCAACACAACTCCTCTCTCACTCCTCTTTCCCACCCGGTGAAAAAGGCCCCCAGCTCCAGCATGAATAGGGCAACAGGTGAGGCAGGCCTTCATTCCAAAATGCTCCGTGGGCCCACCAGGGAGCCGGGCCTCTGCACAGCCTCCACTTCCACTGCTCCTGTCTCTGCTTCCTGCTTATTCTTAGTGGGGGTGTGGCCCACAGTACCAGGCAGAAAGTCCCTTAGGAACAGTACCAGTCTGACTGCCTCCCCACAAGCATCCTTCTCAGTGCCAGGCCCTGAAGTGGCTGCTCAGTGAGTGGGTGATGGAAAAGAAAGAACTTCCAGTGAGAACTTCCTCAGTGAGACCTAGGGAAGAACTTTCTGAGTGTGAGAGGAATTAAACACAGACGTTTAAAGGCAGAAATTAGGTTTTTGCACACCCTCCCCGCTTTTAGCTGCTTAGTGCTTTGTCCCTGTGTGAGGATCCAGGTCGAAAACACAGCAGCTCTGGAGCCCTGGAAATGGGAGGTCCGGGGCCCCTGTCACAGCCCAACCCCGCTCCAGGCAGAGAACTCCTCTGAACTCCATGGGCACAGCTTGGCACACAGTCATCTGGCCTGATCCTGTTTTTTGCCAAGGGGGACACTGACGTCTGGAAGGGTGGTGCCTTGCCCACAGCCCGTGAGAGAGATAGAGAGAGGCTCCCTCCTCCAGACCAGACCTCATGGTGGGAAGGGGAATGATGGGGAAATGGTCATGTCTGGAGTTCACTCCTCAGAGGAAATGGGCTTGGACCCCACAACTTCCAGTGCCGTTGCCCACTCCGACTGTGAATTCATTTCCCTCAGAGCCTACATGGCTGGGAAAGCATCACCAAATTCCCCTTGATCCCTACCCTCTCCCTCCCCTACCCGCCCCCACACAGCCTGAGACTTGCTCAGGGACCCCAAAAGGCAAGTGAGGGGGCCACGTCGGGGAGGGTGCAGGACCAACAAGGCTAGCCCGGTGTCTCTGCCAGCTGCCTTTGAAAGGCTCTTCCAAAGAGGTAATTCCTTTGTGCACAGACATGATTTATGAGGCTTTCCAGGCAAATTGTGGAGATAAATGGTCTTTGGGGCTGGGAAGCTTCAAAGGCAGTGATGCAAACAGATCAGAAGCTGCTGGGCCGCTGGGAGCTGGGCCTTCATTAAAAGCCTGTGGGTGGAGGGGAGGGCTTTGAGCAGAGCTAAGGACAGATAGCTTTCTGGGTCCCTGGGTCCCTGTGGGACAGCCCACTGCAGTTTGCCTCTCACCCCGAGCCTCATAGACCTCATTGCTGTATGGTATAAGGTGAAAGTGCTGGGGTCACTGAGGTACCTTTATCTGCTGGGATAAATGCCACAGGACAGAGGTTGGGGGTGGTGCATGAGTGCTGACTTGGACTCTAGAACAGCAGGGAGGACAGTGCGGGGTGCTCCTGCCGGGAGCGCAGGTAGGTGGCATCAGCCTCCGTGATCAGCACCGTCTGGAGACCTGGCAGGAGTTCCGGGAGTCTTGCTCCTCTCCTGCCTCTCATGGGTGATCTGGCTCTCTGGGTGTCAATACCTTCTTCTGAACAAAGTATAAAAGAACTCCAATGTTCCAGCTCTGCGGTGCCTCCTGGGTCCTCAATGTCCTCATCTCAGAAACAGGCCAGAGATCACCCTCGCTGTGAAGTTGTGGGCAAGCCACCTGGCCACACCTGCCCTTGGTTCCTTCCTCTGTGAAGGGGGATAACTATAGCTATCCTGAGCAGTTGTGGCTTAAATTGAACAAGATCATACCTGCAAAGTCTCTCACACTTACTGTTCCTTCCCATTATCTGTCCACACAATACTGTGGCATTCTACATCCAGAGCAGATGCTGATTTAAAAAAAAAAAAAAAGTCCCCGATAAAGTCCCTGATAAAGTCCCCGAAGTTGATAAATTTGACTTTCCCATCTTCCCACCTCCTCTCTCCTAAAGCAGGTCAATAAACATACACATACCCTGCTGAATCTGGCTTCCAGATCTGCTAATTGCCACTTGGATATTAAGAGATAACTGAGATATTAATGGCTGATAGTGCCTCAGGATGTGACTAACCCCCCCCCCCACACACACACACAGAGGCACAAACGGGGTTGTTTGCATTTTAATAGGGATTCCTGCAGCCCTTGAGGAACGGGGTCCTAATGGTGCAGTGCCAAGCAGGTGCAGTGATATTTCAAGCAGGGGCTCAGTGTTGGTTTCAATTCAGCCATCTGCAGAGAGATGCCCGGCTCTGATAAAACTGCTCCTGAATCTCCCCACTCACTCCTGAAATGTTGATGGTGATACTCCTGGTTGAAATGGACCTGGCTGCCTGGAGCTGTGGTGGAAGCTACGGCAATAGAGATGAGGAAGGTAATGAGCTGGAGCAACTGCCTTTGCTCAGGGCATTGAATGTACCCATGGCCTTTGTTCCCCCTCCTGCCCTGCTGCCCGAGACACTGCCCGCTCCCGGGCCTCCTTGTCTCTAGCCTGACAGTGGAGCACCCTCCCCAGTTTTAGCAGACAGCTTGCCCAGAGCTCCTCTCATCACCCCGTGTTCTGACAGTTTCCCATTTGCTTGTCTGTTTCTCAAACTGACTGCAGGCTTCTGAGCCCCTAACATGATAGGTGCTTGATAATTGTTTGACATTGAGCCTCTCATCTCGTAATAGCTGGTGTGATGGGAGGCAAAGAGCCCTAGATGGATACAGTCAGCTAGTTTCAAATGCAGCTCTCCAGTTTGTTAGCTGTGTGGTCACGGGCAAGTCATTCAGCTTCTCTGGCCCAGTTTCCTGACCTGTAAAATGTGGAGTGTACACAAGATGACTTCTAAAGCCTAGCAGTAAAGAAAGCCAATATATGACTCTCAACTTCACCTTTCACAATCAGGTGATGTTACCCACTGCCAGGGGATGTTTGTCAATATCTGGAGGCACTTTTGATTGCCACAATTGTGTGTATGTGTGTCGGGGAGGTACTACTGGCATCTCGTGGGTAGAGGCCAGGGATGCCACTAAATGCCCTGCAATGCACAGGATGGTTCCCCATAGCAAAGAATTTTCTGGCCCAAAATGTGCTGAGGTTGAGAAGCCCTGATTTAGTTATTTAATGCCTCTGAACCTCAGTTTTCTCATTGGAAAATGGAATCATAATCACATCTCACATGGTTTACCTCAGATCCTCTTTGGAATGAGGCAGGGTATGAATAACTGGCACAGGATTAGTAAGAAAATTAGAGGAAACAACCCATGGGAGAATGCAGCTGGTCCCTGGTAAGCTCTCGGGGTTAGGGTTTTCCCCACGTGCGTGTGCTCACTCCTCCATCCCTGCTACCCTAGGAGATGGGTGGGATATGCAGCCGCAGCCTCTGTGAATCCCAGCCTCCCCTTGGAGGTTTAAGGGAGGTATAGACGGTGTGGTTAAGTAACACCGAGTAACAAGTGTAATAAATAGATCACTAAGAGCTAATGATACATCATTATAATCCTGTGCTGTCAGCATCTTCTAGGCTTAGGGACTGTGTCAAGAGATTTGGGTTTTAATCTACCTTGGTCTATTAATATTTAATTCCAACAATCTAAGTGGCAGAAAGATAGGAAACTGAGTGATAGCTCAGCTCAGAGCTCGGGTAACCACCTCCAATTTTTCTTTTTCATACAAACACACCTCCTATCCCTGTGTCCTCTGGCCTGTTTCTCAAGTGGGGACATTTGGCAACAGGGCAGAGAATCACACAGCATTGGGACTTGAAGAGTCTCCAGCATTTACCTACCAGTGTTTGTTTGTTTCTTTCTTTTTCTTTCTTTCTTTCTTTCTTTCTTCCTTCCTTTCTTTCTTTCTCTTCCTTTCTTCCTTTCTTCCCTTTCTTCCCTTCCCTTCCTTCTTTTTTCTTTTCCTTTCTCTTTTTTTCTTTTCTTTTTTTTCTTTTCTTTTCTTTTCTTTCTTTCTTTCCTTTCTTCCCTTGCTTGCTTGTTTGCTTGCTTTTGGACAGGGTCTCACCATGTTACCAAGGTTGGAGTACAGTGGCGCCATCACAGCTCACTGCAGCCCGACCTCTCAGGCCCAAGCAATTCTCCCACCTCAGCCTCCTGAGTAGTTGGGACTACAGGCACATGCCGCCACACCAAGCTAATTTTTATAATTTTTGTAGAGATGGGGTTTTGCCACGTTGCCCAGGCTGGTCTTGAACTCCTGGACTCAAGCTACCCTTCTGCCTCAGCCTTTCAAAGTGTTGGGATTACAGGTGTGAGCCACCGCATCTGGCCCAGTATTTCTGAATGGGGACATCTTTGGCATTTTTTATTTGTATTTTATTTATCTTATTTTTAGAGACAGAGTCTCTGTTGCACAGCTGGAGAGCAGTGGTACAGTCATAGCTCACTGCAGCCTCGACCTCCTGGGCTCAAGTGATCCTCTTACCTCAGCCTCCCAAGTAGCTGGGACTACAGGTGTGCACCACCACAGCTGGATAATTTTAGCTTTTGGTAGATAATTTTAGCTTTTGGTAGAGACAGGGTCTCACTGTGTTGTCCAGGCTGGTCTCAAGTGTCTAATCTCAGTGATCCTCCTTCCTCGGCCTCCCAAAGTTTTGGGATTACAGGTACGAGCCATTGCACACAGCCAGGATACAGTTCTAAATTGTGTACAATTGTCCCTGGGATTATTTGTGACAACCTAAATTCCCCCCTCCCATTTCCAGATGCTGTCTTGGGGAGGGTGACCTACTCCAGGCAAGAACCACTGATCCAAACCTGTTTTACAGATGTAAAAACAGAGGCCCAAAGAGGGAAGGAGGCTGCCCAGGAGTACCCAGCATTGGCTCTGACCCATCCTTCAGTGCTCCCTCAGAATTGCAGCTTAGGCCTGGAAAGAGCAAGGGGCTCAGCCTCGGAGAACTTGACTTTGCTTTTACTGGGGCAAGTCAGTTGACAAATGGCCTCACTCACTGGGAAGTCACTTTATTTATCAGCTGGAATGGTTTCCGGCGGCTGCTGCTCCATCTCTGCCTCCCTGCCTACTGCTTTGTAAACTCAGGAGCAATCCCGTGACCTGTCAGCTCTCGCTGCTGCTTCTGTGGGTGGGGTGGAAGATTGGGGGCCACAGACCTTTCTGGGAGGGGCTGTGACTGCATCAGGCCTTCCCATTGCTGGAGAGGAGAAGGGAGGTGGGGGCCTTGGCCCAGTCCTTAGTACAAGCTGGGGTAGCTCAGGGGCAGTGGCTTCCAGGTTCATTTCCATCCCTTGACCTTCAATTCAGAGGCCAACTCCTCCTGCTTGCTGGGTCTCAGGATTCCTGTCTATGGAATGGGAAGGACTAACCTTCTCTCCCACCCCACCTCCAGCCCAGCATCCTCCTGCACATCTCCCTGAGAGGACCAGTGAGAACAGAGATCATGGGAAAAAAGAGTTCTCACCTGGGGAGCTTTTCAAGGGACCTATGCTTGGGCCCTACCACCCTAGACCAATTCATTTGGAATGGCCATGGGTAGATCTCAAGCAAGAGTGTTTCTTAAAACTGCCCCAGTGATGCTGATCTGCAGCCAGGCCAAGAACCACTGTCTGAAGAAGTGAATCCTACAAGCAGCTGGGAGGGGGTTCTTTGGTAGCTGGGAGAAGGGCTGGCCAGTCACCTTCAACAGCACTGCTGACAGCTCTTCTTGTGCCCCGCTGAGCTGGCTGCAGGGTGGGACCAGATGGTGGATGTGGGGAAAGTAAAGGGCAATCACAAACTAAGGACACACCTTAGCTCCTGTCTTCCTCCAGCCCAGAGAGACTCCAGGGCTAATGCAGCAGACTGGGCACAGGCACCTAAACCTTCCTATACAGTAGTGAAGGCAGAAAAGTAATGGTCGGCCGCATTATTTATTATTCCTAGTACAGTCCATAACGGCATCAAAACATATTTAGTTGTGTCCCTTTAATGAATTGTCTTCAGGGACTCTAAAAGATACTTATATCCCAGTGTTCACTGTTGTCTTCTAGACAATAACCAAAAGGTGGAACAACTCAGTGTCATCAACAGACGAATGGATAAACAAAATGTAGTCTGTCCATACAATTGAATAGTATTCTGTCATAAAAAGGAATGAAGTCCTGATACAGGCTACAACATGGATGAACCTTGAAAATGTTATGCAAAGTGAAATAAGCCAGATACAAAAGACTGATATTGTATGATTCCATTTAGAATCTAGAAATATCTAAACAGGCAAATTCATAAAGACAGAGGGCAGGTGCAGTGGCTCATGTCTGTAATCCCAGCACTTTGGGAGGCCGAGGCAGGTAGATCGATGAGCCCAGGAGTTCAAGACCAGCCTGGCCAACATGGTGAAATCCCATCCCTACAAAAAAATAGGAAAATTAGCTGAGTGTAATGATGCACGCCTGTAGTCCCAGCTACTCAGGTGGCTGAGGCAGAAGAATCACTTGAACCTGGGACACAGAAGTTGCAGTGAGCAGATATCGCACCACTGCACTCCAGCCTGGGGGACAGAGCGAGACTCCATCAAAAAAAAAAAAAAAAAAAGACCGGGTACTGTGGCTCATGCCTGTAATCCCAACACTTTGGGAGGCCAAGGTGGGCAGATCACGAGGTCAGGAGATCGAAACCATCCTGGCTAACACAGTGAAACCCCATCTGTACTAAAAATACAAAAATTAGCCAGGCATGGTGGCGCATGCCTATAATCCCAGCTACTCAGGAGGCTGAGGCAGGAGAATCCTTTGAACCCAGGAGGTGGAGGTTGCAGTGAGCCAAGATCGCACCACTGCACTCCAGCCTGGGTGACAGAGTAAGACTCTGTCAAAAAAATAAAAATAATAAAATAGAAAGAAAGAAGCTTAAAGGTTACCAGTGTGGTAGGGGAGGAACTAGGGAGTTACTGCTTAATGGCTACAGAGTTTTTATATTTGGGGTGATGGAAAAGTTTGGAAATAGTGCTGATAGTTGGTGCAACACTGTGAATGTAATTAATGCCACTGAATTACACACTTAAAAATGATTAAAATGGAAATTTGTATGCTATATATCTTTTACCACAATAGAAAAAAAATCTGAGTAAACAATAGATAATCTTAAGAGAATAAAATTTTGGGAAATAGGGCCAGTCGTGGAAAACCTAGGACCTACGCCCACCATTCACACATAAACCAGTCCCTGAATAAGGCACTTGTGGAAAATCAGTCTCTGCTCTCACCTCTTTATGGATTTTCAAGGGTGGCTGTTTAAGCCCAGGCTGGCTGCCAGCATACCGTGTCCATCTGCAGCAAGTGCTATTATTATAGGTTGTTGTGAGAATTAAATGAGAAAATTCACTTTGCACCTTTATCTCATGACTTGGCATTAGTAACTGCCTGATCAACTGTAGTTACAAATTTAAAAGCCTGTCGGTGAAGAAGACGGTGGTGAAGCCATTTGCCCTCTTGGGGACCCAGGGGCACACTAAGCCTGGACCCCAAAGTCTGAAGCAGTCAGCAGGGGAAGGGGGTGAGTTGCCCAGCCTCGAGGAACAGAACAAGCCGGGCCACACACTTCCAGGTGCCCTTCAGCCCCCAGTAGCTGCCCAGAGACAATCTAGCCACTTAAAAAATCAGCCAGTAATCCCAGCTACTCAGGAGGCTGAAGCACAAGAATTGTTTGAACCCAGGAGACAGAGGTTGCAGTGAGCCGAGTTTGCACCACTGCACTCCAGCCTAGGCAACAGAGTTGAGACTCTGTCTCAAAAAAAAAAAAAAAAAAAAAGGAAAAATCAGCCAAAGCCCAATATAATTAGGAAGGAAAGCCTGGGACAGAAAAAAAGAAATGTGTGAGGGGTGACATTCCAAGGCCAAATTGGTAAGAGTTTGCGATTCTCTGTGAAAGAATGCAAAGTCTTCTTGTAATTATAATGATGGTAGTTTTTAGTCACCTTCAGCAGAGTTGATAATTGACTCGCTGCAGCTCTGCCTCATTTCTCTGTCATTGCTGGAGAATGAGGTGTTTTAAGTGAATTTTCTAGATAACTGAAGCTTATCCCTGTGAACCCTAACATTGTTTTTTTTTGTTTAATCACTCTGGTGGGAAATTTCTCTGGAATGAATTACACACTTCTCTGCTTCCTTAATCAGAATATTCTAAATTGAATGTCACTTCTTCCTGTCAATTTGGATATGAGAGGCTATTTGCCCCTATATTAATGGCTGCAAGTTGCTTTGCTTTTTTTCATCTATAAATGTTTCCTATTTCCATAGTTTCTTACTATGACACAGAGCTCTTGCTCACATACTTTTTAGGAGCCCCATAAAACATGCAGACATTGTCCTGAGCCACAATCTCAGCACTTTGGGAGGCTGAGGCAGGTAGATTACCTGAGATCAGGAGTTCGAGACCAGCCTGGCCAACATGATGAAACCCTGTCTCTACTAAAAGTACGAAAAATTAGCTGGGCATGGTGGTGGGTGCCTGTGATCCCAGCTACTCGGGAGGCTGAGGCAGGAGAATCGCTTGAACCCGGGAAGTGGAGGTTGCAGTGAGCTGAGATCGTGCCACTGCACTCCAGCCTGGGCAACAAGAACAAAACTCTGTCTCAAAAAAAAAAAAAAATGCAGACACAAACATACACATGTGCATATACACACACACTCACATGCCAGTCTGTGTTGTGAGAAAGCAGAGTGCCAGGCTTAATAGAATTGTGTTTACATGTCCTTCTATAATCCCCTGAGCTGCCCTTATTAGAGCACTTTCGTAGGGTACCATGAATGCTGCTCCAGCATTTCTGCCCCTACTAGACTGTGCACCCCAATAGGGCAGGGTGCTTTCTGGCAGTAGCAGGTCCTTGGTAAATGTTTTTGAATGGACAAGCAGAAGAATGAAAACACCCAAGTGTTACCATGTGGACTTTATGACAATATTCTGGCTTCCTTATCAGGCGGCTAGTTTTGCTTCCTACTGGGTTTTGGCTGTGCCAGAAAGAACAGAGGTTGTTTGATAAGCAAAGCATAACTGTATGCCCTGCGATGCACCGAGAACAAACTGCCTTTTGGCTCCAACAGTTTCATACAGAACCAAGGTCTCAGGGCAGTAACTGCAGCCCCAACAAACGAAGGAAATTCCTTGTGCTGGATCCTGTGGTGGTTCACAGTGACGAACAGAGAAGAAGTGGCTAGTCTCTGTGGTATCCCTGATCTGTGCTTCGTGGCTGCCACCTTGTCCCCAAGGCCACCTCTAAACTTCACTCCTTGGACTCATCCTCCAGAAAGTGTCCCAAAGACCTGCAGTGGGGAGAGCTAGAACCAGGAGAGCTGGGCTTGCTCTTGCTGTAACCTCAGGTAATCACTTAACTTCTCTGACCGTGTATTCTCCGTCAAATGGGAAAATAAGAAAACCTAACTTACATGGTTGTTGTGAGGATTAAATTTTAGTCATGTATGTAGCACTTCTAGGATGGTGCCTGGCACACAGGCAGCTTTTAAAATGTGGCTGTCTGGCCGGGCGTGGTGGCTCACACTTGTAATCCCAGCACTTTGGGAGACTGAGGCAGGTGGATCACCTGAGGTCAAGAGTTTGAGACCAACCCGG
The DNA here is from genome assembly GCF_000001405.40 of Homo sapiens. NCBI lineage: Eukaryota > Metazoa > Chordata > Mammalia > Primates > Hominidae > Homo > Homo sapiens. Next base: position 76,793 of record NW_003315944.2, on the reverse strand, counting down.
CCAACATGGTGAAACCCCATCTCTACTAAAAATACAAAAATTAGCCAGGCGTGGTGGCAGGCGCCTGTAATCCCAGCTACTCGGGAGGCTGAGGCAGGAGAATTGCTTGAACCCGGGAGACAGAGGTTGCAGTGAGCCGAGATCACACCACTGTACTCCATCCTGCCTAATAGAGCGAGACTCTGTCTCAAAATAAATAAATAAATAAATAAATAAGTAAAATGTGGTTGTCATTATCATAATAGTCACAACATATGGACAATAAGCTATGTGAATTCAACTACGTGTGCTTGGCAACTAAAAGAGAAATGGTACCATAGATAATTCTGCTAGTCCTTCTGCTCACTGAGTGTGTGTCCCAAAGAGAGGATGAGGTAGGAGGTGCTGGACTGCTGGATACTCAGTCACTCTCTGTCCTGTGAGCCTTTTTTTTTTTTTTTTTTTTTTTTTGACACGGAGTCTTGCTCTATCGCCCAGGCTAGAGTGCAGTGGTGCAATCTCAGCTCACTGCAACCTCTGCCTCCCGGGTTCAAGCAATTCTCTTGACTCAGCCTCCCAAGTAGCTGGGACTACAGGCGCATGCTGCCACGCCAGTCTAATTTTTTGTATTTTAGTAGAGATGAGGTTTCACCGTGTTGCCCAGGCTGTTCTTGAACTCTTGAGCTCAAGCAATCCACCCACCTTGGCCTCCCAAAGTGCTAGGATTACAGGTATGAGCCACGGTGTCCAGCCTTCTGTGAGCCTTTTTCAATGTGAGTGGAGGCTGTAGCATAAATGGATTTAATTTTTGCTTTACTCACTGTAATAGCAGGTGGAAAATATAGGGTGAGACTCACTCATAACTTGGCAGTTCAGTTTGTGTGTGTGTGAATACTTGGGGCACAGATGAAGAAGGGATGAACCAAGATAGGGTAATGGGAGTTCCAGGCCTTGGTGATTCTGTCTGCTACAGGATGATAGGCAGGCTCCATGACATTGACCGCTTGACCTTGGTCAGCAGGTAGGAGGGACATGTCGGGGACTGGTGGGGCTGATCCTTCCACCAACCTTCAGCCCCCAAAGATCACATGCACTTACTGGCCACACTGGAACCTTGTACCCTTGTACACGCCCAACACTTGAACGCCACTGTATCTTTGCTTATATTGAGTCTACCCCAGTGACACCTTCCCAGTCCCACTCACCTGCCCCCTTTCCTCTCTGAGTGTCTAAACCCTAGAAACCTGGAGCACAAACAGCAACAGATAATCTCGGTGACCGGCCACTCCAGTTTGCCCAGGACTGAGGGATTTCCCAGAATGTGGAACTTTCAGTGCTGAAAGCAAGATGGTTGCTCACCCTATTAGCCAGACAAGTGAGACATCCTTTACAGCCCACTTGAGATGGCTTCTGTTTTAAGAAGCCTTGCCTGGTCTCCTTAGCTGGGAGCAATCATTCTTTCCATCCAACTTCTCCCAGAACATTATGTGTGCCTGTCCATGCCTGAACTCCACACCCTACTTTCACCCCAGAATTTGAGCGAATGAGGCTATAACTGAGGACATCTTGTTATTGTGTGTCCCATATGCATCGGGGAGGGTCAGAGTGGGAGGTGGCAGCAGGCTTGGTGACCTCTCTGGGGCTCTGCTACTCAGCCCCTTTCCATAGCCGTAGAGTGTGAATTTCTGCAACACTGGCTCAGCTATCTCTCTTTGAAACATTTAATTACATGTAAAGATCTTGAAGGCTGCCTGTTACTTCCCAGGGAAGCCTTTCTTTTTCCTGCTCCTTCTGAAGCTGGCTGCTTGGAAAGTAATGAAACTGAACTGAAGCTGAAGCAACCAGGGGGCGTAGGCATTACTGAAAGGAAGAAGCATGAGGAAGAGATGAAAAGGGTGACAGGGAGATGGAGCCAGGGGAGGGGCAGGGAGTTAGAGGAAATATTCCCAGAGAGTGAGTGAAATGCAAATGGTGAGAAAACCAATGCGTGTGGGGAAGAGGGAGAAGCGGGCAGGAAAGATAGAGAAATGGGAGCTGGAATGGGCTGGGTCCCGCAGGTCCCAAGAAGAGAGGGGTAGGGTCACAGAGGAGAGGGGTGGCAGATGGGAAAAGAAAGGGCCCGGCAGAAAGGAACAGAAACAGGCAGCCAACCAAGAGCTTAGCAAAGAGGGATGTAAACAGCTTGTGGCTCCGGAATTTCAATACAGGAGAGGGGGGCTTAGGGCAGCCATTTGGTTGGAAGAGAATGGCCGGACCAGGAGGTAGGTTCTGAAGCTGCCTTGAGGAAACAAACGCTCTGCCCTTCTTAGCCTGTGCGACTATTTGCATGGCTTGGTGGAAGAACTGATGCAGGTTATGAGGCACCAAAGCTTCCAGGCACCCCTTGCTGCCACCTGTCCGGGGAGCAGCGCTGCAAAGATGGGAAGGCCGCATGGGCATCGGTTCCTGGCCCCTGCCCCAAGGAGAGCCTTCGGGGCTCCTGATCCCTGACTGTCCCGTCTCTTGCAGGCTGCGACAGCGACCACTGGGGGCCCCACTGCAGCAACCGGTGCCAGTGCCAGAACGGCGCCCTGTGTAACCCCATCACAGGCGCCTGCGTGTGCGCCGCCGGCTTCCGTGGATGGCGCTGCGAGGAGCTCTGCGCACCTGGCACCCACGGCAAGGGATGCCAGCTGCCGTGCCAGTGCCGACACGGTGCCAGCTGCGACCCCCGCGCCGGCGAGTGCCTCTGCGCACCTGGCTACACCGGCGTCTAGTGAGTCATGCGGCAGGACCTGGAGGGGCGGGACCTGGAGGGGCGGGACCTGGAGGGTGCCTGGGTGGGGAGGGTAGAGGAGGTGGAGGGGCTGGGGCGGGGCCTGGAGTGGCTGCCCTCACCGCAGCTGCACGCCCAGCCCTGGGCTCCTTGTGGGTGGGCTGGGTGGTGGGACCAGGAGGGATAGTCTTGGCTGTGAAATCTCCTGTGAGTCTAAATGCCCAGGCCTCACCCACGCAGGTCTCAGATTCCTTCCTTCCAGGACCGCGTTGACTGGTCCTTCCTGAGACTGCCCGAGTGGGCACTCCCTAAAACCCTCCCAGGAGGCCCTTCCTGGCAGAGACAGCCCTTATCTTGAAAGTCTCTTCTGACCTTACCCAAATGATGCTGCTCACCTGGGGCCTTCCCTTCTAGGGCATTTGGGACAGAGAGAGGTGAGGGTCCTAGGCAGATACCATGTACAGATTTGGGAGGATTACTCTGCCTGTTCCTCTCCCCTACTTTCTCTCCCCAGACACCAAACAGCCCCTCATTCCAGTTCCCCAGAGAGTAGTATTGACAGGAGACCTACAAGACTGCTTAGCTGAGACCCCCTCAGAGGCAAGATTGAAGTTCTCCTCCCAACCCTGTAGCAGACTCTGTGGCCTCTCCAACAGCCTAGATCCTGAGGGGTGGCCAAGGACTCTGACCACAGAGACGTTGTTGATTGAGGGTGTTCCCTACCCCGATGTCTGGCCAGCTCCCAAGTCCTAGTGAGCTAGAGGCCAGGGCCATTGGATGAAGGCCCAAGACCAAGACCCCATGCAAATCCTGCCCCACCCTTCAACAGCACCCAGTCCCTGCAAATGAGCCTGTCATGGGAGCTGGGAGCCTTCCTGAGCCTGGAAGGAACGTGCTCCAGATTCTTCCCCTCTCTGAATCTAGGTGGATTCTTAAAGATGGGATCCATGAGCACTTCTCAGTGCCTTCATTAATGCAATGACTTTGGCCTGGCATGCCCTTCCTTCCATTCTCCTGGTTAAATTAACTTCACCTTTAAGGCCCAAGTAAAATGCCTTCCTCCTTGGGAAGCCTTCCTCAGCCTCCTCCCCAGAATACTCTTCTGTACACTAAGAACACTTAAGTCATCCCACAAGTATTGGCCCAAGCACCCTACATTCCAATGTATTCAGTCTGAGCCTTGCTTCCCCCTCCTGGCAGGGAGCAGGACTGCAGTTCAGCGGATGCTGTGCCTAATACAGATCCATTAACTGCGGAGGAATTCCTAGGGAACCCTGGAGCACTGGGGCCCTGCCACCTGATCTGAATGCTGCTGTGTCTAACACCTCTGCTTCTCCATGCAGCTGCGAGGAGCTGTGCCCTCCTGGGAGCCATGGAGCTCACTGTGAGCTGCGCTGCCCCTGTCAGAATGGGGGCACCTGCCACCACATCACTGGCGAGTGTGCCTGCCCCCCAGGCTGGACGGTAAGTGGGCCCAAAGGATCTGGGTGGGGCACTGGAGGGCTGAGCCTTCATCACTCACACATACCTTAAAAGGCTAAACTAGCCGGGCATGGTACTCGTGACTGTAATCCCAGCACTTTGGGAGGCCGAGGCCCGCAGATCACTTGAGGTCAGGAGTTTGAGACCAGCCTGGCCAACATGGCGAAACCCCATCTCTACTAAAAATACAAAAATTAGCCAGGCGTTGTGTCATACGTCTGTAATCTCAGCTACTCGGGAGGCTGAGGCACAAGAATAACTTGAACCAGGGGGCAGAGGTCACAGCCAAGATCAATTTGCTGCACTCCAGCCTGGGCAACAGAGTGAGACTCTGTCTCACAAAAAAAAAAAAAAAAAAAAAAAAGCTGAATTCTTCTCCCACTCTGAATACCCTCCCTCCTATTTATCGCCATAGGGCATCACTAAACGCTGCCAGTGGTGCCATGGACACAGCTTTGAATCCCAGGTCTGCCATCTCTAAGTGCTGTGTGGTCTGAAGCAAGTTACTCACCTCTCTGAGCCTGTGGTCTCTCGTGTGCAAAGAAATTGAATTCTTCTTGTAAGATTAGCTTTGTCTTTGGGTGTGAGCACCCACATGAGCTGCCACAGGCCCTGGGCCAGAGGTGGCAGAAAAGGCTGGGAAAGGAGGAGAAACAGCAGGTATGGATGACCTGAATTTATCTAACTTCGCCCCCTGCACTTGCACACACACACACATTCTGATTCTGTGGGCCCCAGAATCTGTATTTTAACAGGTACTATAGGTGATTCTGATGTAGCCTGAAGCAGCCCAGGTCTCATGTCTGGGAAAAACCACTGTGGGAAAGGAGGGTAAGATTTGTAACCTCATGGGCCTAAATTCAGGTCTCAAAGCCAATGTTGACCCTGAAAAAAGCCTCAATTACTCCCCTTCCCCCAAGTACAAAACTGATATAACAACAGTGAGCCCTGCCCTGCCCAGCTGCCATGGTTGGAGGCTGGCTCATGTGAGGCTGTGCATGTCCAAAGTCTTTTGCAAACTCTGAAGCCCTCTATGATAGCTTGATTTCTATCCCTGGGTGCCACAGACCCTCCACAAGCCTCCTTTTAGCCAACATACCCTGCCTGTCAGTGCCTGCCTCGCAGACCAAGCCCTTACAGGCAGTGAGTCAGCTGAAGCTGACCTTCCTGGGCTGCGTCCCTGCCTCTGACTCTCCAGTAACACGCTCCGTTTCAGGGGAAGCTCAGCGACACAGTCCACCACCTCCCCTGGGGCCTGAGGCTTTGCAAAGCCAGAGAGGAAAGGGCTGCTGAGCAGAAGCAGGATATTTTAGGAGGCTGCGAATGCAGAGGTCACAGGGACAGATGGGAGGACACCTGCAGGGCCCATCGATGCAGGCACAGTCTTGACAGAATTTTTTTAGGGCAGGAAAGGACCTTGGGGACCACTTGGTCCCACAGTATCCAAACCTGACTGCACCCCAGAGCTGACAAGGGGGTGGTGGGGGGTTAAAATACAGATTCCCAGGCTGCATCTGTGACCTCCTGGGACTGGGGGATCTCTATTTTTAATAAGCTCCCCAGATGGTTCTGAGGCAGCCAGTCCTGTCTGCAGGTCTTCATTTGGAAAGAACTGATCCAGACCATAGGACTTCCTTCTGTGTTTCACAGAACCCTAGGGTTTCTTGACGGAGAGTGGGGGCAGGAGCCTAATCGTTAGGACTCTGGTGCCCACCCCACCCCCACCTCTCCATTTTAATCTAGTTTCTATATTGAGGTGCTCTAGGTAAGATTTCACATAAAAACAGGGTTTCCCAGCTTTAAGAGATTTGAATCCCACTGGTCTGTCAATACCTTCCTTTCTCAGATGAAGAAGCTGAGGCTCAGAGAGGGTAAGGGACCTGTTCAAGTCCACACTGGTGGTTAGGAGTGAGGTGGAGCTAGAATCCAAGTCTTCTGACTCCCAGCCCTTGGTGTCTGTCTGTCCATCTGTCTGTCTCCTCTGAGGAAGAAAAAGGGACCGCCACCACCTTTTCTTCCACCCTGAACCAGTCTCTGGAAAGACCCTCTCATCTCCAACCAGCTTTCAGAAATCCACCCAGCAGGCTGGGTCCTCAGAGGCCCAGCTGCAGCAGAAAGGTTGGATCAGGATGTGGTGGGGAGAACAAGCACACAGCATCCCTTTGCCTGTAAAGGCCTCTCTGGAGACACTGCTGAGGCTCGGGTGGTTGAACAGGGGGAAGGTGAGAAGCAAACACATGGAGGGATTGTATTTCTCCCCAGCACAGCAAGAGGTTTGTTTTTCCAGATGACAGGAAACTGTCGATAGAAGCCTTTGGATTTGAGGACTTTATGTTTTTAATTTTATTGTAGACAATTGAATTTCTATTTTTGACATAGCATTTAACTTGCAGATTTGTATGAATCATTAATACCCCTTGTGCATGCAGAGTCACTGTATAATGAAGTTGCATTCATGCCTGAGGCTCCTCCCAGGGAGAGCTGGGACCAAGGAATGGATACTGGGGAGAAGGCTTCCCACTTTAGCATCTTCTGTTGCCTGACTTCCCAATGGCCCTATGTGACTTCAACCACACATTTTCCAACTCAGAGATATAGAGATTGCTTATTCACACCATGCACCTCCCCAAAGACCCAGGCCATTGTGTGGAACTGGAGAGAGGAGCTGCTAGGAACTCTGGCCCTCCAGGCCCCTCCTCAGAGATTCCTGGCCACCAGGCCCTAAGCATGCCCACAGGATATTCCGCTAGCCCAACATGAAGCCTGTTTCAGGAGGGGTCTTTGCAAAGAGCCTGGGGAATTGTTTCTCCTCTTTTTCTGGGCTCTGAGACCTTTCAAAGCAGAGAAACCAAGTCTGAGTAGTTTCATGTGAGTGGGCACTAGAGACAGAGAGGCAGGAGGAAATAGGATTGACATCCCCCACCCTTAGGAGTTCACAGTCTTACGTTGGGGACTGGATGCAGTGTGTGTGTGCCTACATGCATACACACACACACACAAAGAAAAGACTGGAAGAGAGGAGGCTGAGGAGCTGGGAAATAGGACCAGTTATCCTAGAGGGCCAAAGAGAGGTTTTGCATGGTGAAACCCTATCTCCACTAAAAATACAAAAAATCAGCCAGACATGGTCGTGGGCACCTGTAATCCCAGCTATTCGGAGGCTGAGGCAGGAGAATTGCTTGAAACCAGGAGGTAGAGGTTGCAGTGAGCCAAGATTGCGCCATTGCACTCCAACCTGGGTGACAGAGCAAGACTCCATCTCAAAAAAAAAAAAAAAAAAAAGAGGGAGAGAGTTTTTGGGGCCGAGGCCTAGCATCACAGATGCTCAGGTTTGAGAAGGAAGATTCATGGAGCCCCACTTCCCGGCCTGTGGCCTGGATCACCTTCACAGCACCCATACCAACCACAGCTCACTGTCCATTGAGGGTGTCCATGCCACCCTGGAGCATCACTGATCATTAGAAATGCCTTCAGATGCTTGATGAGGCTGAGTTGCCTCCCCTCCAGGAGAGCTGGCATGGCCTTAAGTCCTTTCACCATCTTGGCCCCTTCTCTTTTTATGTTCCACTTAGCCAAGATCCTCTTTTTTTTTTGAGACGGAGTCTCAATCTTGCCCAGGCTGGAGTGCAGTGGCACGATCTCGGCTCACTGCAAGCTCCGCCTCCCAGGTTCATGCCATTCTCCTGCCTCAGCCTCCCAAGTAGCTGGGACTACAGGCACCCGCCATCACGCCCGGCTAACTTTTTGTATTTTCAGTAGAGACGGGGTTTCACCGTGTTAGACAGGACGGTCTCGATCTCCTGACCTTGTGATCTGCCCTCCCAAAGTACTGGGATTACGGGCCTCCCAAATTGCTGGGAGTATAGGCATGAGCGACTGGACCTGGCCGCCAAGATCCTCTTAAAGTGCGACTGTTGTCCAGATTTTGACAAAGCCATTTGGTCTAACCAGTTCTGAGAGGAACAGAAAATATCACCTTACCCCATGTACAACCTTCTAGATGCCACAGCAGTCCAAGATCCCACTACAATTGGAGATACACACTTAACTGACCACAGGGCAAGTACATGAATCTGTTGAGGCTGCCATAACAAAGTGCCACAGACTAGGCGGCTTGAACAACAGAAACTGATTCTCACAGTTCTGAAGGCTGAAAGTCCAAGATCAAGGTGTCGGCAGCGTTGGTTCCTTCTGAGCCTCTTTCCTTGGCTTGTAGATGGCCATCTTCTCCCTGTGTCTCTATGTCGTCTTTTTTCTGGGTCTGTCTTAGTCTCCTCTTCTTGTAAGGACATGAGTCATGTTGGATGAGAGCCCCCCCATATGACCTCATCTTAACTTGATTACCTATGTAAAGGTCCTGTTTCCAAATACAGTCACATTCTGAGGTACTGGAGGTTAAAACTTCAGCATAGGAATGTTGGCCGGGCGTGGTGGCTCATGCCTGTAATCCCAGTACTTTGGGAGGCCGAGGCGGGTGGATCACCTGAGGTCAGGAGTTCAAGACCAGCCTGGCCAACATGATGAAACCCAGTCTCTACTAAAAACAAAAATTAGCTGGGTGTGGTGGCACATGCTTGTAATCCCAGCTATTCAGGAGGCTGAGGCAGGAGAATTGCTTGAACCTGGGAGGTGGAGGTTGCAGTGAGCTGAGATCACATCATTGCACTCCAGCCTGGGCAACAGAGCGAGACTCCATCTCAAAAAAAAAAAAAAAAAAAAGGAATGTTGAAGGGGTACACTTCAGCTCATTGCAGCAGGAGAGAAACCACAGGCCATAGCCCTCTCCTAAGCTGACTTCTCTGGCTGCTCTCTCCCCCTGCCTCTCCCCAAAAGGCTGTTCTTCCAGCCAGCAGTGGGTGATGACTCCTACAGTTCTCTTCTACTCTTCTCAGTCTCAGGATATATGGGGCTCCCACCATGTGCCACCTCATCAGGTGTCAACTTGGTTCAATTACTATTAATTAAGTGCCCCCTGTTTAAGGCACTGTACTAGGTTCCTTCACATCTCTAATCTCACTTCGTCTTTATAACCACCTGGAAGACTAGGAGTTACTACTCCCATTTTATAGATGAGAAAATTAAGGCTCAGAATGATCACCTGACTTATCCTAGCTCACCTATCTGGGAGGAGGCAGAGCTGGGATCTGAGCCCAAATCATGACTTTGAACCCAGTGCTCTTCCCACCAGACCAGGCAACAGGACCTCCAAGATATCAAATTCTCTCAGGCCCCATGAGCTCAAACCAGGGAAGAGGACTAGAGATTCGGCGGGCTTGGATGCCTGCAGTTTGGGAATCCTGAGCAGGGGCTGAAAGAGGTGCTCACCCACTTCACTAAAAAGTCTCAAGGATGCTTGATTTCCCTAGGGAATGCCGGAAGGATGCATTCTACGTACCAGACTTCTCTATTGACCTCAGAGAGCACTGGTTGTGTCTGAGAAGTACTAAAAAGGACAGGAACCTGGCCAGATGTGGTGGCATGAGCCTGCAGTCCCAGCTCCTCAGAAGGCTGAGGCGGGAGGATCACTTGAGCCCAGAGGTTCAAGGTTACAGTGAGCTGGGATGGCACCACTGCACTTCAGCCTGGATGACAGAGTGAGACCCCATCTCTTTTGGCTGGGCATAGTGGTTCATGCCTGTAATCTCAGCACTTTGGGAGGCTGAGGCAGGCAGACCACCTGAGGTCAGGAGTTCAAGACCAGCCTGGCCAACATGGTGAAACCCCATCTCTACTAAAAATACCAAAAATTAGCTGGGCGTGGTGGCGGGCACCTGTAATTCCAGCTACTCAGGAGGCTGAGATGGGATAATCGCTTGAACTCAGGAGGTGGAGGTTGCCATGAGCCGAGATCACATCATTGCACTCCAGCCCGGGCAACAAGAGCGAAACTCCATCTCAAAAAAAAAGAAAGTTTTTCCAAGAGTGTCCTTATCCAGCCCAGGACTGTAGAAGACTGAGTCAGATAGAAGCCAGAAAGACTTCTCCTCCCTTTTGAATACCTAGAACTTATAATGTGCACTGAGAGAGGCCCCCGCCATGCCTGGAGTACCCCCACACCTCCAGGAGGAAGAAGGACCCCTACTCTGACTTTTCTTTTTTTCTTTTGAGATGGAGTCTCACTGTGTTGCCCAGGCTGGAGTGCAGTGGCACAATCTTGGCTCACTGCAACCTCCGCCTCCCAGGTTCAAGTGATTGTCCTGCCTCAGCCTCCCGAGTAGCTGGGATTACAGGCACCTGCCATCACGCCTGATTTTTGTATTTTTTACTAGAGATGGAGTTTCACCTCGCTGGCCAGGCTGGTCTTGAACTCCTGACCTCAAATGATTCACCTGCCTTGATGTCCCAAAGTGCTGAGATTGCAGGCATGAGCCACCGCACCTGGCCTGAGTGACTCTTCTCTCCCCTTTTCTCACACACACGCATTCTCTCACTGTCCTCGGCTGCTTCTGCCCTTCACTCCTCCCTCCCCTCCCCGCCTCAGCCCCTCCTCTTAGCCCCCCTACTTCTGACTTGTGTGTGGAGGAGAGTCTAAGCTGAATGGCCTCCTGTTTAACTCATTACAAGTAAACTGGATGATCTTGAAAGATGACTCTGGTCTGGCACAATTTTCCTGAATAAACTAGCTTCTGCAGGGTTGGTGATTATTGGTGCTTAATAATTGTGTGTTGAACTAATTGATTAATTAATTGGAGGAACATCCTTGATCTCCATAAGAGAAATGACTGTCGGGTATGCGCAGGGCTGGAAGGGCAGCAGGAGACAAGAGCAGGCTCAGATCTGTTAAAAACCTAAGACTCATGCATGTAATTTTAAGTTATATAATACCACAAGGCTAATACTGGGGGGCAGGGGAGTCCCCTGCTCCATTTACAAATCCTGCTCCCTAAAGGCAACACTTTCAAATCTTTTAGGTATTTCTTCTGGCATTTCCCTCCATTTTTCTACATAACATGCTTTATAGCCGTTTCTTGACTTTTCCATCTTAGACAGTCATTGAATCCATTGACTTTCTGCCACAGAATAAGATTCAGCTCTGTCATACACACCCATACAAACACGCAACCCCTCTCCCACCCTCCCAGTGGAGTTATATTACAATTTGTGGTTAAATCATTTAAAAAAGTTTTAAGACACGGGATTTGGCTGTGTCGCCCAGGCTGGAGGGCAGTGGCTATTCACAGGCACAATCATAGCTCACTGCAGCCTTGAACTCCTGGGCTCAAGTGATCCTCCTGCCTCAGCCTCCTGAGTAGCAGGGACTACAGACAGGTGCCACCATGTCCAGTTTGGTTAAATTATTTTTTAATATTTATGTTAATATACATGTGTATTGTTACTAATTTATCCTTAAAACTCTCTAACAGAGCTCTCAAACTCCTCTCAATAAGGTCAGACCCATTAGAAGTCTCTCCAGTTTTTGCTTTTGTTTTGTTTTTGAGGCAAGTTTCTTAGAAGCCTGTCTCTTCTGTTCCAGTCTGAACTCTTTAACTCTTTGCTCTCCAGGCCTGCAGCATAGCTGTCATCTGGGGCTTCCTTTCACTGCTATCCTGGGATTCCTTTTACCTCTGTCTTCTGTTGCAGTCCCTAGTTCCTGGAATTCATGCCTTTCTTTTTCTTGGGTAATTCTTTTTTTTTTTTTTTTGAGACAGAGTTTTGCTCTTGTTGCCCAGGCTGGAGTGCAGTTGTGTGATCTTGGCTCACTGCAACCTCCACCTCCCAGGTTCAAGCGATTCTCCTGCCTCAGCCTCCCCAGTAGCTGGGATTACAGGCATGTGCCACCACGCCCGGTTAATTTTGTATTTTTATTAGAGACGGGGTTTCTCTATGTTGGTCAGGCTGGTCTGGAACCTCAGGTGATCCACCCACCTCAGCCTCCCAAAATGCTGGGATTACAGGCGTGAGCCACCGTGCCCAGCTTTCTTGAGTAATTCTTTTTGATGGAAAACAAATCCTACAATAGCTTTCTGAGAAAGTGTTTATGGAAGGTTAACTTTTTGAGGCTGTTCAAATCTGAAAATGTCTTTACTGAGTCCCCTACTTGAGTGTTAGTTTAGTTGGGTGTAGAATTCTAAGTTGGAAATTATTTTTTTCCTCTGGATTTTTAAGGCATTGCTCCATTGTCTTCTGGCTTCCAGTTAAGAAGTCTAAACCCTCTTAATTCCTGATTTTTGTATGTTTGTTTTCCTCTTTGTATTTTCATTTTTATTTGTTTTTGTAGAGATGAGATCTTGCTTTGTTGCCTAGGCTGGTCTCCAACTCCTGGGCTCAAGAGATCCTCCCGCCTCAGCCTCCCAAAGTGCTAGAATTATAGGCATGAGCCACCATACCTAGCCTGTTTTCCTCTTTCTAAAATCTGTTAACATCATTTCTTTATCCACAGAGATATAAAAGTTTACGATAACATGCCTTGATGTGGGTCTTGTTTTATATTTTTGCTAAAGACTTTGTAGGCCTTTTCAGTTCAGAAACCCAGGTTCTCCATCCTTCCATTCTGGGAAATTTTATTATATTTTCCATCAATTTACTCACCTCTATTTTCTCTGTTCTACTGTCTGGAACTCCTGTTAATTAGATGTCAGACCACCTGAATTGGTCCTCTATATTTTCTCTATTATTTTTAATCTCATCTCTCTATCTTTGTCTCTCTCTCTCTGGTATACTTTATAAATTTCCTCAACTTTATGTTTTGGCTCTTCTATTGCAACATTTTAATTTCCACCATTTTATTTTTAATTTTCAAGACCTCTTTCCTATTCTCTGGATATCCTATTTTATAGCACTCTGTTCTTTCATAGGTGCAATGTTTTCTTATAGCTACATGAGCATGTTCATTTTAATTATGACAGAGGCTTTTTTCCTTCTCTTTTTTTAGGTTTTCCTTGCTCCAGGCATGGTTCCTATTTCCTCTGTGTTCCTGTTGCCTATTTGTTTATTTCAGTGTTTCTCTTTCATGTGAGGGCCTATTTCAAATATCTGGTGATCCTTGGCCATCTGTTCATGTTTTACAGTGAGCCCCAGAAAAGCCAATTGGACACCTGGGGGTGGAGGGAGATGTCAGGCGTGTTGACTGATGGGACCCTCAACTATCAATATCTTTAGGTCATTTCTCTTGAGCTCCTCAGTGTCCCTAGAAAGGAACCCTCCAACCTCCTGCCACAGGGAGTTCAGTCCGGCAGTCAGCCTTTAGGAGCGCAGCAGGGAAGAGAGCAGCAGGAGAGTTCCACCCCCACCTTCATCTGTGCCTGTGTCCCTTGTCCACAGCCTGTGACACCAACCTCTCTGAAAGACTTGGACAATTCACCTGGCTGCTATTCAAGGTGGGGGCAGAGATTGGGGGTCTAATTCCCTATTTTATAAACTTTCAAACAGTCCTGTTTTGATCATACCTGCACCTTCACCTTCGGAGGGTCCCAGTGTCTCTGATTCCTGAGCTTTTTGAGGTTACAAAGGATTTCATCATCCAGCATTGTGACGCTCCCTTTGCAGGCACTTAACATTGCCCAGGAAGCAGAAACCAAAGCAGTTATCACTCCTCCACCTGCTTTTCCATCTTCCAGTGTGTGACATCCTTTGTCTCCTATTCCTCTTTTCTTTGTGGGTTTATACCTGTACCCCTTTGACTCTCATGTCAGCTGGGTTTGAGAAAGAAGCTGAGCAAAGTGCACGTCTCCATACCAGCATGTTTACTCAGCCTCCTTCCTTATGTCTTCTCAGCACTTTACTGTGTACCCATGTGAGAGTACTTACTGCCTTGTACTTAGCGGTTTTTTTGGCTCTTTCTGTGGTAGACTAGGAGGACAGGAATCAAATCGAATCACCCCTAGTGTCTCACACAGCACCTCGTATACAATAGGCAGTTCCTAAATTGTGCTGAATAACTGGATGAGCAAGTTGGCCTCAGTCTCCCATCTCCCATCTCTAAGAGGAGGGCTTTGGAGCCCTGGTGTCCAGCTGTCTGAACTTCTTCTGGGAAGTTGGGTGGTCCCTGGAGCCACAGCAGGTGTGCCATTCCCAGGAAAGTTTGGCATTTCTGGAGCACCGCCATGCATGTCTTCCCACCTTTCTTTTAGGGAGCAGTGTGTGCCCAGCCCTGCCCACCAGGGACATTTGGCCAGAACTGCAGCCAGGATTGTCCTTGCCACCATGGAGGGCAGTGTGACCACGTGACTGGACAGTGCCACTGTACAGCTGGATACATGGGGGACAGGTAAGGATAGTGTTAACTGTTATCTTTGCTGTCCATTTTACTCATATTCATAGGAGACTTGCAGAGAACAGCTCATAGCCCTCTCTCTGCCAGCCTTCCAGTTCCTTTCTCAGAAAGCACTCTGAGCTCTCCTGCCAGGGAGGGTTGGCACCTGATCCCTCCTCACCCTCGGCCTGCAGAGACACCCTCTTCTCTAGCCTAGTGGCCCAAGCCCTGAATTTAAATGGGCTCACCTGGGGGAAGGAGGTGAGCACCTGCCCCCACTCTCTACTCTCTGCACTCATAGAGGGAGGCAATGGCACAGATAATCCAAGGAAGCTGAGAGTACAAAATCACTTCATTCATATGTTTTGCACGATTTCTTCTGGAAGGGCATTTTTAGTCCTAATTTGGGTTCCACCAAAAGGATACTGGCATCAGTTTGCATCCTCTGAAGGCTTGTGGCTTAAGAGCAGACTGAAGGACGGTGCCAATGTCCTGGAATGAAACCAGCCTTGCAGAGTGGATAATCAAAAAAACACAGAACTGGGGAATTGCCATGTGTGCACATGTGCCACAGCGGGAAGAAGGAGGCCATGATGACAGGGCAGGTGCAGAGGAAAAGGGAGAAACAGCAACCGGTGTGTGTGATGGTGAGTAGATTGGAAGCTGGAAAAAGATATTTGAAACCCACAGAACCCAGGCCAAGTCTCCTCCCTCTCACTCTTGACCACATGGATCTCTTCAAGCAGAGAAGGGCCGTACAGAGGCAGCCCCCACACCCCATGCCTGGTTCTGTGGGGATCCATGTTTCATTTCTGGCTCTTGGACTTTATACTCTTCTCAGACAAAATGAGGAAACATTTTTCATCATTCCATGCCTGGGTGACATCAGAAAGCCGGGATGTAGGCTGAGTTAACCAATGAATCCCTCCATTTCTAATAGACATAATCGGGGCTCCTCCAGCTCCCACTAGAATCAGCCCCAAATCCTTAGTGATGTCCAGAAAAGAGATTGTCCATTAGCCTTGGGCTTATTTACCTCCAGCTGGAAGTCTTTTAAGCCAGATCTGATCTCTTTGTGAGCCAGTGTTCATCAACACTGTTCCCCAGCATAGAACGTGGGGTGTGGCATCTGGGGATCCATCCCTCCCTGACCCATGGGAGAGAGGGCTGAAACATTGAGTGCATGTTCCCATCCTCACCATCTCCCCAAATAAGGAAATGCTCAGGATGAGCCAGTACGGACTGGAATCAGGAAGATCCTCAAGCCAGCACAGGACTCCTTTTTCAGTCCACTTTCTCATGAGAGTGCAAACCGCCCGCTTGTTGTTGGAAATGAGCAGGCCCAGGGCTCTAGCCGGCTGGACTCCATACCAGTAGACCCTAGCTCATTGGTGCTGTCGATTTTCCCTGTCGAGATGTGCCAAATAGAGAAAGAATCCAAAATCTCTCTGCTTGTTGGAGCCTGGTCCATGATCCTGGGCAGAGAGGAACCCCTAAAGCCAAGGGGCCCTCCAGCAAGCTTTGCCAATCAACCACAGGAGGGTTCAATAGGAGGCCAGGCAGCATTTGGGCTTCTCACCTAAACGGGCTGCCTGGTGTTTAATATTTTGTAAAATTGCCTCCATTAATTTCGTAGGTGACAGCTGCATTAACCCACCCCAAATCATCATGAGCATATTAAAGTTGAGTGGGTGTAATAATGCAGGCCTCCCCGGATAGGCAGAAACCAGTGCAAATTAAACACGAAATGTAACGAGGGCTTTGCAGCTCATTTTGTAATTTAATTGAGCAATGTATCTGGTTGTTAATGGCAATATTGGACACATTAGATTGATATGGTGCAAAGGAAGGATGTTTAAGTAGAAAACTAATTCCTGCTGTGATTATCCTTCTGTTCCGCAGGCCCCATTATTAGCATGCTTTGTGTAAAATTCATTAGCCATCGTTGCTTGATCTCTAAATAAATAAGTTGTTTAAATTGTGAGTAGGGAAAAAAAAAAGAGGCTGATTAAGTAAATGAATTAGGTTGTCAATATTTCATTTCCAGATTGTTTTTCTGGGGCTGTAGATCCAGGCACCCCAAAAATATAGTGGGCTAGGGAATTGCCCTTCAGAGGAGTTTAGGGTTCAGGGCTCTGTCCAGTCCTGCTAAGCAGGAGGGAGCAGGAATGTTTGAAAAGGAACAGGTATCAGGAGGTATCTGGTTTGAGTTTTTCACCCGACATTTGAGACATTCGAGGCCAGCAAAGCACAGTGACTTCTGGAGAAATCCATTTGCAGGCTGAACAGGGGCTGGCAACTCAGATAGTGATTATTTGGGTCTTCAGCTGCTCTTTTTCCTCCCCTTCTGCCTCAGTTTCCCTCCTTCCCTTCCCCCATTCTACTTCTCCTCCTTCTGTCTTCTACTTTCCATTCCTTCTCCAGACATCACCTTCTTTCTTGCCTCCTCTTCCCTCTCTTTTCTGCTCTCTTTCCCTTCATGAGGCCTCAGATTGGCTGAAATATGACAAGATTTGCAGAAAGACAATCTGGGGTCATCTTAGCCACATGCAGGCTGCGTGAGCTTGGAGCAGTTGCCTCACTTGTCTCATGGCAGCCTCCTTAACTCTAAAGTGAGGGTGATGAGAATATGTGCTGCTCCAGGGGCTGGGGACAGGCTCTGGGGCCTGAGCAGCTGGAAGCCCCTCAGTATACGGTGCCCGGGGGTGTTGTCATCATGATCCCTGCTGCCCCACTATTCTGCCAGATCACTCCTTTGCTACAGTGGCTCTGAGAGGGGAGAGCTAGTGGCATCTTCTTGGGAAGGAAGCACTCAAGGCCAGACCCCAGTCACCGTCCTCTTCTCCTTGTCACTGTGGGCACAGAGCAGCAAAGGCACAGAACAGAGACAAGGACACCCCAGTCTCAAGTTGCCAAGGCTGGTGCCCCACACACTGGCTGCTCTCATCCCCCACACACTTGCTAGCTGGCCCTGCCACATCCACGAGGGTCTGACCACTCACCCTCACCATAGACAACTGAGTCATCCAGACACAGAATCTCCCTGCCCTGTCTGTAGAAGAATACTTCCACCCCCACGATCCTCCAAAATACATAATAAAGAAGTTAGAGCTGTATTTTTTTTTAAATTGCTTTTCCCCTCTGATTACTGTAGAAGATATACAGAAAGCCTGGAAAATGGAAACATATGATAATTAAAACACTAACTCCTTAAATCCACTCTACTATTAACATTTTAGAATTTTTCCCTTTGGGCTTTTTCATGCCTGAATTTAAGGCCAGAAGGTCAGATGGGCTCTGTTATAAGAACTGTTGAAAACAATATTAACATGAGTACTAGTGAAAATAACTAACTTTTCTAATTGAGCCCCAATTATGGTCTGGGCGCCTTTCTAAATGTTTACACGCATTATCCCATTTAATTCTTACAGAACCCGATGAGGTTTAGTGAGTATCGTCCCATTTTATGAAAAAGAAGAGGATGTCAGAGCTTTAGGTTAGTTCTCCATTATCCGCACTGTTGAATCAGTGCTGGAACAAAGATATCCCAGAACCCCAGAGGCTAGAGGCCATTTCCATTTGTCTTTGGGATGCCAGAAGTCATCCCCCTCTTTTACCCCTATTCCTCCAGGTTTAACCCTTGACTTATCCGGATCTAGTTGCTGTGACAATAAGTCTGCATCCTCTGGGAAAGAGCCCAGGGTGGGGGTAAGGGGTGTTGAGGCACATTCAGGAAACCAGGTGGTCAGCAGTGGGGGGTCACACTCGCCCACGGAGGAGCCACACCCATGGCTGTGGGTTAAATGAAGTTGAATAATTATCCTTATGTTGGGATCTCCAAGTACTAGCCCAGACACACACAGGACACAAAGGTGGTCCCAGGCTTCCTCCTTAGGGGCTCACAGGCTGATGGGAGAGACTCAGACCCTACCTTGAGGGGACCTTCTTCCAAGGAAGGGAAAATAGCCTTGTCACAGGGCATTCTATAGTCCAATGCAGGAAGACGCTTCCTCTACTCGAGGGAAAATCCGCAGTCAGGGAGGAGATATGTCTCCCAGTAGGACAAGAGAGACTGTACATCTGGCCCAAAGGCTCAAAAACCAGAGATACTGTATAGAAACAAAATCACCCCATTTCATCAAACCTAAGGTGCCACTGATCGTAAGATGCATCACTGTTTCATATGCTGCAAAGAATGAAAAACACTGGCAATTAAACTATGACATGTCACCAATTACAAGACTTATCTAATTTCAGAGATATAAAAATATCTTTTAAAAACAAGGTGGCTCATGCCTGTAATCCCAGCACTTTGGGAGACCGAGGCAGGCGGATCATGAGGTCAAGAGATTGAGACCATCCTGGACAACATGGTGAAACCCCGTCTCTAGTAAAAATACAAAAATTAGTTGGGCGTGGCAGTGCACCCCTGTAGTCCCAGCTACTCGGGAGGCTGAGGCAGGAGAATAGCTTGAACCTGGGAGGCGGAGGTTGCAGCAAGATCATGCCATTCCAGCCTGGGCAACAGAGTGAGACTCCATCTCAAACAAACAAAAAAAGCAAGGTGTTTTTAAACCTACCTAAACAGTTTTTTGTTTAATGGGTGCAGAGTTTCAGTTTGGGAAGACGGAAACATTCTGGAGATGGGTGGTGGTGATGTGGCACAACAGTGCGAATGTGCTTAATGCCACTGAACTGTACGTGGTTAAAACAGTCAATTCTATGGGGTGTACTGTCTTAGTCTGCTCATGCTGCTATAACAAAATACCCAAGACTGAGTAATTTATAAACAATGGACATTGATTCTCACAGTTCTGGAGGCTGAGAAGTTCAAGATCAAGGGGCCGACAGGTTTGGTGTCTGATGAGGGCCCCAATCTCTGCTTCCAAAATGGTGCCTTGAAGCCTGCATCCTCAGAGGGCGAAAAGAATAGAAGAGCCAAAAAAAAAAAAAAGAAAAAAAAAAAAGAAAGAAAGAAAGAAAGAAAGAAAGAAAGGGACCTCACTGGCTCCCTCCAGCCCCTTTTATGAAAGCACTAATCCATTCATACCCTAATCACCTCCCAAAGGCCACACCTCCTAATACCATTGCATTGGGTGTTAAGTTTCAATGAGAATTTTGAGAGAAACATTTAAACCATAACCTGTATATTTCACCACAACTTTAATTTTTAAAAATTATTAGGCTTGGAATCAATAAAATATGGTGGTACAAACTCATTGCTGGGGGGACTGAGCCGACCTGGCATGAAAGGCAGAAATGACTGGGGCGAACTAAACCATGGACTACTTCCTGGAGGAGGAGAGAGAAAAGGGGAGGAGGCTGTGAGCAGCGTGGAGCACACCAGGCCTGGGCCAGATGGCCAGGAGGACCACATCCTGGAGGATCTTGAAGCACAGGTGAGGGATCCTGGCCCACAGCCTCAGCCCCACTCTGCTCTCCCACAGGTGCCAAGAGGAGTGCCCCTTCGGGTCCTTCGGCTTCCAGTGCTCACAGCACTGTGACTGCCACAATGGGGGGCAGTGTTCACCCACCACGGGTGCCTGCGAGTGTGAGCCTGGCTACAAGGGCCCACGCTGCCAGGAGCGACTGTGCCCGGAGGGCCTGCATGGCCCAGGCTGCACCCTGCCCTGCCCCTGTGACGCTGACAACACCATCAGGTATGAGCTGGGAATGGGCGAGCCCGGGACAAGGGCGGGGGGTGCTCAGGTAGAGAGGAGGCTTGCTAGGATGTGGCCCCCCACCTCTAGCATGGACATCCAGGCAGGTGGGGGAAAGGGCTAGGACCTCAGCACTGAGCCCTGAGAACCACTTTGATGAAAAGAAGGGGAAGCCAAGGCCACATAGCCACAGTCAGGACTAGAGCCAGATCACTCACCTCTGTCCACCCCACCTGGCTACCTGCATTTCCAAATGTGCCTGTCTGAGACTCCACACATGGGAGCAAGGAGAGAACAAGGAGGTGGGGTGGAGCACAGCTGCATGACCCTGGGGGCTAGGATGGCAGGGCTCGGGTGCCACAAGCTCTGAGCACATTGTCCTGGAGAATATTTCCCTCCACTTGCGTGGCATCCAACCAGAGACACGGGCACCAGGGCAGAAGTAGAGGCTTGAGCTGCAGAAGGTCAGGACTCGAAGGGACCTTAAAAATCACGAGGGCCATCCAGGGCCTAAGGAGGGTTGTCCCAGCAGACCCTGGCAAGGCTAGAGGAGCAGGAACAACAGGGGCAGCCCTTTATCAGGGCCTGAACTTGGGGCCAGCCCCTCCCCCAGCACTCTGTGTCGTTTGTGGCTTGGGGACATCCGGGCAGAAGTTGTCCCTCCACCCCCCACTTCCAAAGGAGCCTGAACCTGTGAAGGCAGAGCTGTTCTGGGCTACTGCTCCCAGCTCCCCTCCCTGCCCGCTTCACGCACCAGCTGGCACTGCCCCAGGTAACAATTGAGACTGTCAGCCCTGGATGAACGCCCCCACAGCCCTTTATCGTGGCTGCCTCTTATCTGGGTGATGAAGGTCAGGGGAGCATCCCTTCTCCCTCAGGCCTACGGACAGCCCAGGGAAGACCGGCCACCCTGGGCATGGGTGCTGCTGCTGTTGGCAGGGCAGACAGAGAATCCCTCTGCTTTGCAGCCCTGTCGCTGGGACGGCCAGGACTTAGCCTGGGCCCCTCTTCATTTCCAGGCTTTGATCTTTCACAAATCACTCTGGAGCCTCGTTCACTGCAAGCAGAGGCATGTCGGCAAGTGTTAACGAGTTAAACTAAAAGGTCCTCCCTCCCTGGAGTGGAGCAGCTGGGGTGGTGTGAGGCAGAGGTGGAAGGCCCGGGAAAGAGACTGTCCAGAGAGGGTGCTAGAGCCAGTGGAGCTGGCCTGTCCATGACCTG
Organism: Homo sapiens; assembly: GCF_000001405.40. Lineage (NCBI taxonomy): Eukaryota > Metazoa > Chordata > Mammalia > Primates > Hominidae > Homo > Homo sapiens. Next base: position 55,504 of record NW_003315944.2, on the reverse strand, counting down.
AGCATTCATTCACTCGGTCATTCATTCAACAAACACTGAGCGCCCACAGGGCTGGGCTATGAGGAGGAAACCCCGAGCACCTTCTACCGTATTTCTTCAAATACAAGACAATACCAGTAGTGAGGCATAGCTTTATTTGGGTTACTACTAGGAAAATTCTATCAACTGAACCATGACATACCATTGATTGTATAGCCAATATCAGAGATATGAATTACCCAATATCAGAGATGTGAAAATGTAGAGGAGAAGTACATCTTAGAACTGATGAAATATATGTGGCTGGCCCTGCTGGGTCCCAACATGTGCCCAAGTAACTGTGACCCAGGACTATGTGATGCTGGTCAGGGAAGGCTTCCTAGAAGAGGTGGCATCTGGGCTGGGTTTGGAGAGCAGAGTGAGAGCTCCAAGGCGCTAATTACAGAAATCTCATATGGCTGGTCAGGGGACTGGGCAGCTGGCTCAGACTGTTGCATGTGTCTAAATATTAAGATTCCAGAATCTGTCGCTCCTGCTGGGAAGCTGAGGGAGGACCCTCTCCAAGACAGGAAGCAAGGCTGATGCCGGGGTCCAATGCAGGGAGCTCCTGCCACAGAAATCTAACCAAGCCCCAAATTAAAGGGTTACTGTTTTCCTCCTGTGCCTGGGCAACCATGCCCTGTATAATTCATCCTTCCTCTGAAGGAGTCCTCGATGCATTATTAATCTGAAAGGACTCCCCCTCTTCTCTCCCGCTAATCTCAGCCCATCCAATATTGATGATTATTTGCTTTACTGTCTTTAAAACGTATCATGTTTCAGGGACTGGGAGGGAGTAGCAGTTCTTCAGAGTGGGGGCTCTGAGCGTGCCCACCAGTCTACTCCCCAGCCTGGTCTCCTCTGAGTCTGCATCACCACCTCCTTGAGGGCACCAGCAGCCTGGCTTGTCCATCCCTGTGGCCTCTAGCCTCAGCATTGCACGGTGCCTGCACAGAGTAGGCCTTCAGTAAGAGGAGTCCCTGAACTCATCTTAAACAGCCCATCCCTCTAGGAGGTTCTACCCATTAGCTGACGTCAACCCTATTTTTTAAAAAAACATATTTCTCCCTTTCTCTTGGTACACTGGCCCAGTGACTGAGCCCCTGGCACAAAGTTTTTGTTCAGTTGAAGTTAGGGTTTCTCAACCTTGCCACCATGAACATTTTGGGCTGGGTAATTCTTTGTTGTAGAGGGCTGTCCTGTGCTTTGTAGAATGTTGAGCAGCATCCCTGGCCTCTACCCACTAGATGCCAGTAGCACCCTTCTTCCACTGCCCAAGTTCTGACAATCAGAAATGTTTCCAGACATTGCCGGATGTCCCAGGGTGGGGTGGGGCAGGAAAAATTCCCAGAGGTTGAGAGCCTCTGGGCTAAATGAACTCTCTCGTGCTGCGCTTGATTGTTCTTATGGACACCAGAAAACAGCTCTCTTCCTCTATGTGGATGGAGGGCAGCCCCTCTCTTCCCATGAGCCTTTTTTGGCCCATTATAGAGTCTTCTCTTGAGATTCAAGAAAAGCAAAGGAATGACTCTGTGACTTCTAATCTTAAGACAGTTAAAGTTCAGGTACTGAGTGGGGATTGGGACTTCTGAGTCCTGCCCTCAAACCTATCTCTGTCTAAGCAAGTATCCGTAATAAGGGCACTTGATATATGCACATAAGATATACGTCCTTCTTCTCCTCTCTATGCATACGTTTCCCAATCTGTCCATCACCTTTCATCAACCCAGTGGGGGAAATGTTTTCCTGTGGTCTTTGAACGTGAAGCTTCCACCCAACTCCCTGAGATAAGGAACGTGGGATCCCTAGAAGCCTAGCCTCAAAGCTCCCTGCCTTCTGCAGAACTTACAACAAAGCCCCCACCACAACAGTGTGCAAGGTCTTGAGCATCTTTCCTAGGCAGAAAAAGTAATCCCAGCCCCCAGCCAAAGAAAGCCCTAGCCACCCAGCTCCAGCCTCTCTCTGGTCTGTGCCCTTCCGGCAAGGCTGCTGCACAGAGATTGAATCCATGCCCTGGGAAGGAAGAAGTGGCTGGTGAGATTCTCCAACTCTTCATTCCCTTTATCAATTATTTGCAGCACACACAAAGAAACCATCCTCCTTTATACAGGAATAACCTTGAGAGAGAAAGCACCTGTGTGTCAGGGATCTTAAATGTCCCCTCCACAATTGGGTTGTCATAGACTAATTCCAGCAGCCATGATCGTGTATTACCTTTGAAAGATTTGATTTAGCCAACAGATGCAGCATTGATAGAAATCTCATAGCAGCTGAAAGAAAGGCAGAAAAATCCACTCTGGAAGGATTCCTGTATTGTTCAGCTTTTGGTTCCTATTAACTTGTGATTAATCTATGTCTGGGGGAAATGGGAGAAAAGAAAAAACCAGAGAGAACGGAACCAGGCTAAACACAAGTGACTGTAACTTCTGCCTGAGCCAAAAACAGCAGTCCCTGGCCTGCCATGTGACTCAAGAGAATGGGGACCACCACCAGGAAGAAGGGATGCCTGGGAGAGGGGCTGTGCAAGTCACTCTGCTGAGGGACAAAGGTTCCAAGCATGGCAATCACAGCTCTCCATCATGATCAGTCAGCTGTCACTCTCCATCCTCTTTTCAAAGGGACTTTTGGAGTTTCTATAAGATAAGTAGAGTAATCAAATTAAGAAAGTAGATATCCCATTTCTAGAAGAATTGTAGGGATATGAAAAAAAAAAAGGAATGATTTTAGATTTGGTTTTGAGCCTTCTGGTTCTCAGAGTAAAGAGTAAAATTAGTGCCTAACATATCCCTGAGCAGCCAAAGTGATGGCAGCAGAGATCAAAAGCAGGAAATGCAAAGAGTACTTAGGTCAGCATTTGCTAGCTCGTTGTGTGTGGAGTGTGCTTTTCACCAGGTGGTGCCCTCACCAAAATAAGAGCGTGTAATGGATGAGCTCCAGCGTGACCATTTGCTAGGCAGAGACAGCAGAAGCATCTATTGATGGAAGAGACAGAAAGGTGCCTGAGACCTTTTAGAATCTCCAGTGCTCAGCAGAGCTGATGGCTGCAGCCAAGACCTGCCAGGTCATTCCTAGGTTCAAGCATGTCAGTCTCCACAACCGTGACTGAGCCAGTCTCTCTACGCTAACCCTAAACCTCAAAGGAAGCTCTTGGAAAGATGCAACCTAAAGAGAAGAGTGCTCCAAAACCATCTAGCAGAGCGTCAGGGCCACCAAGGGGCACGCCTTCCCCACGATACCCACGCAGGTCGCTGTCTCCCCTTCCAGTGCCTTGGGGCTCAGAGAGGAATTTTTCTCAAACTGTAAAGGTCAGAAAGTCTTTGAACACTCATCCTTTACACCCATTCTTCTTCGTTAGATATTTACAATTTTTATTGCTTTACATCTGTTTATAAATAAAATAGATGCTCAGTTTTGGTAAGTTAGGGAATACATTTAAAGAAAAAACTTAGCATCACTCAGTTTCTCAATCCAGAGATAGCACAAAAGCCATTTTGGGGTAAATCTGTCGATGTCTATATCGTTTTCATATTTTAGATTTGATATATTTTCATATTTGAAAGATTTGATTTAGCCAACAGATGCAGCATTGATTGATAGAAATGGCTTTGTATACAAAGTGCTTATTTCACTTGACCTTATATCATTAAACATTTTGAGAAACAACTGAATACATCTCTTAGCATTCCTTCATATGGATGTCATAATTCATTTAACCAATGCCCTGTGGTGAGAGGTGGCATGAGGCAGTGGACAAAATGTGGCCAGACAGACCTGGGTTTGAATCACAGCTTTGCCACTCACTGTCTTAGCTATGTGACCTTGGGCAAGTCACATAACCTCTAAATGCCATCTGTGAAATACAGGCTCAAATACCTAATTCACAGGCTTATTTGACGATTAGAAATATATATATAACGTGCCTGGTGCCTCAATAGCCTAGTCACATATTATTTATTATCATTTAAATTGCTTCCATTTTCCACTGTTATAAATAATGCTTCAGGGAACATCTCTGTGCATAAATCTTTCTCCACAGCTATGATTATTTCCTTAGGATAGAGTCTTAGAAATGGAATTATGAGACCAGAGTCTGAATAAAAGTATTAAAGTATTAAAGACTTAAAAGTAAGTCTCCTGATATGTAGCCTCAGATTGTTTTGAAACCTTTACCAGCATTTTAAAGCATCTTCACTGTTTTGATGGAGGAAAAGTGGTGTCCAATTGTTGTTTAGACTTGATTAATGAGACTAAACACTTTTCTGAAATGATTACTAGCTACTTGCAAGTATTATTCAGGAATTGCCTGTTCCTGTCCACCCCCTCATTTTCTGTGAGAAAACCAGGGTCCCTAGAAGAGAAACAGCTTGGCTAGGCTTCACACAATTAGTTTGCTCATTAATTAATTTTCTAAATATATATTAAGCACCTCCAGTGTGCCAGGGACTCTGTTGGGCCCTGAGAAGGGAACAAGACAAACGGCTCTCCCCCACGGAGCTGCAACCTAGTGGAGAAGACAGATGATAAATCAGTAGAAAAGAATAAAGAATCAATGGAAGATAATTATATTTAGAGGAAGCTGTATTCATTTCCCAAATATTCACCAGGGCAGTGAATATGAGCCAGGTGTTGGGGATCCACCAATGGTCCAGCGGGGCAAGGTGCCAAGGCCCCATGGAAGTTAGCAGAACCAAGACTTGCCCCAGGTTCTCCCTGCCAGCCCAGGGCATGCTTCTCTTGACCTTATCCCCAGAGCTGGGCTCCAGAGCAGGCAGGCCAGTGCCACAAGGAATCTAAAAGGCTTGTCTCTACCACCCAGCACTTCTTTGGTGTGTTAGTTTGAGCTGCTCCAGAAGCAGATACCAAGAGCAAGAGGTTTACTAGGGGAAGCATCTGTGAGGGAAAGTGGGGAGGAAGCTGAGGAGGCTGGGACAGCTGACAGATCACATGTAAGGAAGGAAGGAAAGTTGGGAGAAAGAGTCTTAACCCACAGCACGGTTCTAAGAAAGTTTGCCAGGATGGGGTATCTTAAAGCCAAGGTAACCATCAGAGGAGTCCCAGATCTCCCAAGAGTGTGCCCACCTTAGTATCCCTGCTGTGTTCCAGCTGGAAGTGGCGCAGGGGAAATGTGGCCTCTGGATTTCAAACTCAGCACTGGGGCCATAGGTCAATTATGCTCCCGCAGAAGTTCTGAACAGCACATGGTTACAACTGGCATCCCGCTGATCATGAATAGACATTGGCTATTGGATCAGATGGCTGCCAGCTAGAGGTTGCCCTACTCTCTGGAGGTCATGCCAGGGATCCCCTGCCTCTAGCCGAATGGTCCTTTCTCTAGCCTAAACAGGAGATGGAGAAGAGCTTGCTCACTGTTAAAGAGCCTGGCAAAGCGTAGGTTGGGGTTGCTCTCTCCAGGGCAGACATTGCCAGAGAGAGGAGGCCACATCTGGCCCAAAGTCTTGTTTTCACTCAGCCCAACATTCATTGAACACCTACAATGTGGAGAGCCACTGGGGTATCATTGCTACCTTCTTGTCCTGTTCCCACACTAGGCATTCACCTTAGGTGAGGGATGGATGAAGCCTTGGACTGCATAGTCTATAAGCCAAGGGACTAAAAGGCCACTCTCCATTTTGGTTTCCATGTGTCTGAATTATAAAGAAGGCTTGTGTGGGAGTCAGAAGACCTGTGTTCTAATCCCGCTCTTGACTTCTCCTTGCTGTTGACTTCAGGGTAGTTATATAATCACCCTGAGCCTCAGCTTCTGGGTGCTAATGAGACCATGTGGCCTTGGCATCTTCTGATAAACAGAAAAGGCATTGAGCAATTTAATCCCAGAGGTCCTTTGATCCTGCTACCCTAGGCAAGCCAGGCTTGGGGTAGACAGAGGGCGGGGACATGGCTGCTTCCCAGAACAAGCTGTCTTCTCACCCTTCTCTCATCTGTGCAGCTGCCACCCAGTAACTGGAGCTTGTACCTGCCAGCCAGGCTGGTCTGGTCACCACTGCAATGAATCCTGCCCTGTTGGCTACTATGGCGATGGCTGCCAGCTGCCTTGCACCTGTCAGAATGGCGCCGACTGCCACAGCATCACTGGGGGCTGCACTTGTGCTCCGGGCTTCATGGTAAGATGGGAGGGGCCTCCCGTGGCCTTCCTGACCTCCACCGGGCCAGTTCCCCTCACCTCCTGGTGCAATCAGGACTGTGGCCCTGCACCCAGCTGCCTCCTTGTGTCCGCCTCAGAGACAGACTTCATGAGGGGAGAGCCCCTGAAGCTGTTCTCAAAGGGCCAGGGTTTGTAATACTAAAAATAATAGGAGGAGGGGGTCTTTCCATCACCCCCAACTCTGAAGGTTGCCTTCCTTTGTGCCCAGCTCCTGCCTGTCCATATCCTTATGCACACAATATTTTTACATCAGAAAAACCACAATGTACAGAGACAGTTTTGCATTCTGCTTTCTTTCACCCACATTGCTATGTTGCTGCTTAGGCTTCTTAATTATCATTTTAAATGGCTTCATAACACTGCAGGAGCAGATGTACCCCCAGTTTATTCAGCCATTCTCTTACTGCTGAATATTGTTTCCAGTGTTAACAGTGAATGTTGCAGTGAGCATCTTCATACAAATAGCATTCCCTCACCGCACCCTTGAATTATTTCCTTAGGGTGAATTCCCAGGGTCAGTGGGCATAATATATTTACGGCTCTTGATGGATGTTGCCATATTACTTTCCTCAAGTGTTCTATAAATCTACACCGCCACCAATTGTGTATGAATGTACCTATTTCAGAATAACTTTGCTAAGGTTTTCTTAATTTTTGCTAATTATGTAGGTAGAAAATGGTTCCTCAATGTTGTTCTAATTTGCATTTCTCTGATTACGAGGGAGAGTGAACATCTTCCCTATGTTTGTTTACAATTTGTATTTTCTCATGAATTATGCTGGTCTTTATGAGGTTTGTTTCTGGGGAACTTGACATTGGAAGTGGAATCCTGTTCAAAGGCAGGGCATGCCCAGCAGGCTCAAGGAGCCAAACACTCAGGGGTTCTCTATGGCCATGTTTAATTGTGCTGTAGGAAGTGGTACAATTGTGCAGTTGAAAGAGTGTGGCCTTTGGAACCAGACCTAGGTTGCACCCTGGCTATCCTACTCACCAATTGTGTGACCTTGGACCAGTGATTCAACCTCTCTTCACTTCTGTTTCCTCACCCGTGAAATAGAACACCTGCCTCGCAAGGTTGCTATCAGGTGTCAAGATGGGATATATAGAGTGCATTCTAGCAGGCTTCTCAGGCAGTAGTAAATTTTCTAAGCACCTGTGGTCCTTGTTCACTTGCAGGTTCTGATTCAGTCAGTCTGGGATGGGGCCTGAGGTTCTGCATTTCTAACAAGCTCCCAAGTGATACCAATAATGCTGGTCAGTGGTCCTCACTTTGAGTAGGACGCTGATATGTAGCCATGGGTCTCAACTTGGGCTGCACAGTGAAATCACTAGGAAAGCTTTATAAACATCAATGCCTGGGCCCCACTCCCAGAGATTCTGATGTATTTGGTCTAGGCATGGTCTGGCTGAGGCCAGTGTGCTGCTAAGATGGAGATCCACTGATCCACAGGGAATTCTTGTAGATCAAGCGAGGGTTTGCTTGGTGACAATGTCTTTTAAAGCCAGGTTGCCCCTGGTCTGCAGAGCAAGGCCCAGAACAAAACATTGTTCAAACTGAAATGTGGCTAGTTCTGAATTGAGATGTGAAGTGGAAAATACACATTGGATTTCCAAGACTTAGTATGAAAAGGTGAATATAAAATACCTCAATCATTTTGTTATATTGATTACATGTTATATATTTAAAGTATTGTGTGTGTGTGTGTGTGTGTATATATATATATATATATATATATATATATATTTTTTTTTTTTTTTTTTTTTTTAAGAGTCTCACTTTGTTGCCCAGACTGGAGTACAGTGGCACAATCTCGGCTCATTGCAACCTCCGCCTCCTGGGTTCAAGCAATTCTCGTGCCTCAGCCTCCTAAGTAGCTGGGATTACAGGCATGTGCCACCACGCCTAGCTAATTTTTGTATTTTTAGTAGAGACAGGGTTTTGCCATGTTGGCCATGCTGATCTTGAACTCCTGGCCTCAAGTGATCCACCTACCTTGGCCTCCCAAAGTGCTGAGATTACAGGCATGAGCCACCACTTCTGGCCTAAATATATTTGTTTAAGTAAAAACACATTACTAAGATTATACTAAGATTAAAAAAAAAAAAACAGTTACAATCCCCCTTCTTCCTCCCCAGTGCAGATAAAACTGGGTAAAAATGAACTCTTTGGCATCTTTGAAAGAGAAGGAAGTCTGGTTTTCTCTTAATTTACCTTTGTTAGTGTACATTTTTTGTTGTAATTTCCACAGTAAAATGGAGGTGCCCTGGGTTTTGAATTTGGGTAGGAGAGAATAATTGTTTGGGATTAAAAAATCTCACGTAGCCAAGTGGTCAGGTGACTGCACCACACTGCTCATGGGTGACCCCTGTCCCAGCTTGGCTTCTAGCATAGCTGTAGGACTTTGGGCATCTGTGGATGGGGTGTATACAGGGAGAGAGAAGAACCTATTAACTTCTAAGATGGTCCACTGTATGGACTCCATGGATCAAGTCAGGAAACACTGTTCTGGGGGAAAAGGGGAAAAGTAGGAGCAAGAAGGTATGTGTATACATAGGAGTGGGAAGCTCATTGAGGGTTTTACGGTCTGGTCATATACATTGTCTGTGTGTCTGCTGGGGGTCTTTCCTCCCTGTTCCCCCTTCTTTATCCCCAGTTGCCTGCCTACTCATTTCTCCTCAGAACAAGGGAAAACTGGGGCCCCAGAAAGGCCTGGGAGACTAGCATCTGTTTGCTCACTGTCCCCAGTGCTCCAACAGTCTGGAGGCCAGGCCACTGCCTCTCTTCCTTGCACCTGAGATGCAAATGACTTCCTGTCCTTGAACTTTGGGGCACAGGTGCATGCCAGAGTCATCTCACTGTGGAATGCCCCCTGCCTGGGGCTCAGGGCTAATACAGATTGTGAGTCAAGCTGCCCTGGTGAGACCCAGCGAATTCCCATCCATCTCCTCCCACCCAGCCTCGTTATTCCTGGAAAGGCTCCTCTGGGGCTCTGTTGGATGTTGGGCAGGGGCTGCAGGAGGTGATTACAGAACAGTTCATTGTTCTCAACCAGCATGACTCACTCCTGTATGCATCAAGCCCTGAGGGGGAAGCCATTACTCTTGTCCTCACTCCAGCTTCTGAGTGAATGCAACTTCCCACAATCAGCCAGTTCTGGTCAAAGTAGGAGCAATCAGCAGAGCAGACTCAGCAGAGACTCGCCTCAAGATGTCCCGCAGTCAGTAATAATTAGCAATGCCTTTGTTGGTTGCTTGGTTTGTGAATGTATGTACGCGCCTTTATCCTTGAATGATTTTAGGATAGGTAGTCAGTTAAGGACTAATTAAAGGAGCCCTTTTCTGAGTGTTTGGAGACCTTCATTCTAGGCTCAGTAATCTTGGACATGTCGCTTTACCTTGCTGGGCCTCCATTTCCCTATCTGAACGATGGGAGGAGTAAATCAGTTTTGCCTGCTATTGGATGTGAGTATCCCCCATGACAGTGGATGTGAAACCGCATCCTCAGCTGTCCCCTCCCACCCCAGCTCTCCCTGCCCGGGGTCTTTAGGGAGGATATTGGGACAGCTTTATGAAAGTAGACTCTAGGGGCTGAGAATGGTCTCGGGCTCAACATAAACGTGAGGAGTGCTGATGAAGTAGTGCAGAACCACACCTGTGAGCTCAGTGGCATGCCTGCCCTAGTCACGTGGTCTCCACCCCCGAGAGCACAGGGACACGGGGCAGAAGCAGGTCCTGCTTGGGGCTCTGGATTGGCCTTCACACACTTCCACTTCCTTCCCAGGACATTGGAAGTGGAATCCTGTTCACTGAAATGTGAAATACTGGATGTTTCCTCTGCTAGGACTTAGGGGGCAGGTGGGGATGTGGAAAGACTAATCAGACCCCCATCCAGGAACCTGTGTTCTAGTAATAAGCACATTCACACTAGCAGTGAACACTCACTGAATCCTGGCTGCATGCTTCGTCTGACTTATGCCTCACAAGGGCCCATGGAGATGCACTTTCACTTTCCTCAATTTGCAGATGAGGAGCTGGAGTTCAAACAGGATTAGCGACTTGCCTGGGATCACAAAGCCAGCGGTGGTGGGAGACACTGAACTCTCATATTAGTTGATGAGCTTTGATTGAAGGGTGACCATGGAACCAGACAAATCTAAGTTCAAATCCTAGCTCTCCAATCCCCACACTGACTACTGGCAAGCCACTTATCCTGCCTGACATGGAACTTCCTCATCTGCTAAAACAAGACTTTGCTTATGAGAATTAGGAACATTATATGAGAAGTTCAAAGCCAGTGCCTGAAATACAACAGACACTTGGTGAAATGGCAGCAATTACCGGTAAGCTATGAGAGTAGTGGGGGAACGTTGCTTCCCCCATGCCCGTGATACCAGTAGGAGGGTGTTGGGATGAGCTGTACCCACGGATACCTGATGGATCAGAGCCATGAACGTGCACAACTGCTGTTCTAGGCAGGTCCACCCAAGCACCTGTGGGTCACCCTGAATGGTCGGTCTCAGGGGGCACTGTACGAGTGGACAAGCCTCTCAACATTTGGGGAAATGGAGATAGAGATGGGGGTGGGAAGAGAGCCTGGGCATTTTACATGTTTGTTTGGCAGCAGTGATAGAATCACTTGGGGTATGCATTGGTAAATTGCACTGTGGCTGCCCAGTGGGGGCAAAGAGCCCTGGACCAGAAAACAAGAAATGAGTTTGTAGCTTTAGCTCTGCTAACTTTCTGGGTTTCTATTTCTCATCTATAAAATGGGAATGAAATTCCCTGCCCATCGGAAACAGTGGTGTGGGAGCTAGTCATTCCAGTGGGAGTGCTTACAAGTGGAAACGGCATCGTTTCAGCACCTTGGACAGCCTCATGAGCCAGGGATTCAAGGCTACTCTGTGCCTTCTTAGAATCCAGGGTCCTCGCCCAGACAGAACACCAGGGTGAACAGGGATGGGAGAAGGCAGAGTGAGGGGTCATATGACACAGTGGTCAGGCCAGCAGAGTCCTGAAATACCTGTCTTTGTGAGGATGATCCTATCCAGGAGGTGAGGACCTTTCTTCACACCCCGCTGAGCTAGGGAATTAGCTGAATTGTGGATGAGGGGACTAAGTGGAGCTGTCCATCCACTTGCAGGTTGGCATCACATCACCCCTCTCTGTGGCTCCCCACTGCCCACCAAATAAACCTCAAATCCCAGGCCTTTGTAATATGCCCTCGAACCTAGTCTACCCTAATCTCATCTCCCACTAAGTCCTGCCACAATCTGTAGCACACATAACTCATTTCCTCCCCACACACAGTACAGTAGTCCCCATTATCCATGAGGGATACATTCTAAGACCTCCAGTGCCTGAAATTGTGGGCAGTACTGAATTCTGTATGTACTACACAATAAGAGATTAACAGTAATAACTAATAATAGAACAATTATAATAATATGCTATAAAATTTATGTGAATGTGGCCTCTCAAAATATCTTTAAAAAAAATTTTTTTTAGAGATAGGGCCTCGTTCTATTGCCCAGGCTGTAGTGTAATGGCACAATCATAGCTCACTGTAACCTCAAACTCCTGGGCTCAAGTGATCCTCCTGCATCAGACTCCTGAGCAGCTGAGAATACAGGCATGTACCACCATGCCCAGCTATTTAAAAAAAAAAAATTTGTAGAGATGGAGTCTCACTATGTTGCCCAGGCTGGTCTGGAACTCCTGGCCCCAAGCAATCCTCTCATCTTAGGCTTAAAATATCTTCTTGTATTGTACAAGCCTACTTTGTTGGGGTTTTTTTGTTTGTTTGTTTGTTTGTTTGTTTTGAGATGGACTCTTGCTCTGTTGCCTAGGCTGAAATGCAGTGGCGTGATCTCAGCTTACTGCAACCTCCACCTCCCGGGTTCACGCAATTCTCTTGCCTCAGCCTCCTGAGTAGCTGGGATTACAGGCATGTGCCAACACATCCAGCTAATTTTTGTATTTTTAGTAGAGACGGGGTTTCACCATGTTGGCCAGGCTGGTCTTGAACTCCTGACCTCATGTCATCTGCCCGCCTCGGCCTCACAAAGTGCTGGGATTACAGGCTTGAGCCACTGTGCCCAGCCACAAACCTACTTTAAAACCACAGTTGACCTCAGGTAACTGACACTATAGAAAGTGAAACCAAGGATAAGGGGGCACTACTATATGTTCTTTGGGGCCTCTGTGCTTTTTCTCAAACCTCTCTTTCTTCCTAGAATGCCCTTCCCATAGTCCCTATCGCATCTATGAAAATCCTTCTCAGCCTTTCAGGAAATCAAAGGCTGCCTCTTCCATGAAGCCTTCCCTGAATACTCCTCTCTTCGGAATTAACCATTCCATCCCTTTGTTTCCACTGTGTGTGGCTCATACTCAGGTTCTATCTCCCTAAGGACAATAACATGTTTCCCTCTAACCCTGGACCTCCTAACAAGCCTACAATGCCTACCACACAAATATCTTGCTCAGCAAACTCCCTGAAATGAATGAAATCCCTGGTAGACCCAATGCCCTTAAAGCAGAAGTTTCTGGAACATTCCTGAGCTTTACAGTAAGGACATTCATGGCATTTCCCAAGAGGCCTTGCCAGTAGGGCTGGGACTTGACTCTACCTGTTGGCTTCTCTGAAATTTATGTAAACAGATAGCTACAGTGGGACTGGAGCAGCTGACCCCTGACACACCATCTCCAGATTCTTTGAGCAGTGGCATGAGCTTCTGCCTTATGAAATTTTGTGTAGTGGTTTGCAGAGACTCTGGTGCCAAATTCTCTGCCTTCGAATACCAGCTTTGCTGCATATTAGCTGTGTGACATTGGGCAAGATATTGTACCTCTCTGTGCCCCTAGTTTCTTTTATTTCCTTTTGTGTGTGTGTGTGTGTGTGTGTGTGTGTGTGTGTGTGTGTGTCTGTGTGTCTAAGCCTCACTCTATTGCCCAGGCTGGAATGCAGTGGTGCGATCTTGGCTCACTGTGCAGCCTTGACCTCTCTGGGCTCAGGCGATCCTCCCACCTCAACCTCCCAAGTAGCTGGGTCTACAGGTGCACGCCATCATGCCCAGCTGATTTTTTTGTAGAGATGGGGTTTTGCCATGTTGCCCAGGCTGGTCTCGAATTCCTGGCCTCTCATGATCTGCCCATCTTGGCCTCCCAAAATGTTGGATTTCCAGGCGTGAGCCACTATACCCAGCCTGCCTCTAGTTTCTTATATAAAGGAATAATAACATAGCCTTGTAGGATTATTGGGCTGACTAAATTAATTAGCAAATATAAAGTGCTTAGAATGTCTAGCATATTAGTAATCTTTCAACAAGCATTAGCTGTTATTGCTGTTGATGATGATGATGATGCCACTACTGCTGCTGCTGTTGTTATTTACACCAAGGGGTCTCTCACTTGAAGAGGATGACTGGTCCTGGCCTGAGTGCCCTGTTTGGGGGTAGAGGTGGAAATGGGGGTGAGAGAAAGGAAGCAGTTAGTTGAATCTTTCCCTTGGCTGGGAACAGCAGGGTTGCGAAGGGCTCCTGGGTTCCCAAGAGCAGCCACAGAACCGAGAATAGACTTCCTGCTCACACGGGGGAAGAAGGCTGATTTCTCGGCTCCACCATGCTCCTCTGCTGACTAGGCTTCCTTTCCTTAATTAAGGCCTCACCTAGGCGGCCAGACTGATGGAGCCTCCTCCACTGCTGTAGGACTAATTACTGCCACCTTGGTGCCTGCAGTGAACTGTCTGTGAGGTCACTGCCAGGGCTGCAAAAACTTGATTTCTCAGACCCCCTTCCGGCTGCCTCCTCCCGCATGGGTCCTGCGTGTCTGGAAGATAAGGGGCCCTCTGGCCATTCCTCAGCCCAGATGCTCCCTTTCAGCTCCACTGTGATGGAGACGGGAATGCGGGAAGCAGAGGAGAGGGGCTCCAGTGTCCCCTCCCATAGGATTTGGGGCCCATATTTCTCCCCAGGATGACAGCATTTCTATTACCTTAAAGGGCTCATCTATTTATGCTGCAATTTTTTGAAGCCCTGTCTGCCATTATTCAACCCTGCATGCTGGCGAGGGGAGCAGGCACTCCATCACCCAAATGAACAAATTTGTTTCTGCATTTTTCTCACCTTTCTCTGTGCCACTGGTAGGTCATACAGAAACCTCAGCTGTTCTGACCAGGGAAGGTGGGAGCGGGGCGCAAGAGTTATGAAAATTCAGATCAGTGGAGCAGTGATTGAATTTCCCTCCAAGGTTTCCAATGTCCTTTAAAGACGTTACGCTCCCCCGGCCTCCCCCAGCTGGGCAGAGTGCGTGTCCACCTCTTGGGTGGCTCCTAAGCTGGAACTAGGGAGTGAGAGAAGTGTGACCAGTAGAGAATGCAGACTGAAAATGACAGCCAGGTGACATGGATATCATGTGTGTGCATTTTCTTTTCTAATTGTTTCATTCTTCATCAAGCTGAGATCTACAGGCTGTTAGCCCTAAGAACAGAAAACCAGCTTCTCATCCCCTCACCTCCCACTATTGACTCATTTCCCAATTACTGTAGTAAAAGATTTTCCTGAATGCAGCACCGGGAATGAGGAATTCATCCTCTAGCTGCCATGCCTGTGCGAACAGAGGAGTACAAACACTGCAAAATAGCAGAAATGATCATCCAAAAATAAGACACACACACACACACACTCCAGTACCCAAGTCCTAGCTCTGTTATCACCTCCTATGTGGTCTTGTTGGAGTTACTTAAGCTTCTCAAGCCTCATTTTTTCATCAATAAAACAGGATAATTAATGGCACTATGCTGTAGTGTTATTCTGAGGATTGAATTAGATAAAATATTTAGAACAAAGCCTGGCACGTAGCGAATGTTCAGTAAATGTTTGTCAGGGTTTATTATGTGGTTGTGGAGAGAAGACACACTGCAAGCAAAAGGACATGGACTTTGGAATCAGACAGTCCTGGGTTGGAATCCCACATCTGTCACTCAGTAGCTGTGTGACCTTAGGAAACACAGCCTCTTAGAGCCCGTTTCTCATTGGTGAGATGGATTAATAATGCCAGCCCTTCGGGGTCGGTATGCGCACTGAGCGAGATGCAGGGTGTAACGCTGTAAAACAGGTGTAACACTGTAAAACAGCTTCATAATGGTGGAGCTGGAAGAATGCTCAGGGCTTCCACAGTGCACAGCAAAAAAAAAACAAGGTCAGAAAGGGAAAGTGAACTTCCCTCAGGTCACACAGCATATTGTAACAGAGCTGGGATGGAATACAGGCGACATGACTCCCAGCCTACTGTTCTTTCCACCTTTACCTCCATCTCATGAGCTTCCTGTACCCACAGCAGACACGTACTGATGTTTCCCTGGGCAGGGAGGGATGGTGGGGGTGGCAGGTCGGTGGGGGCACAAAGGGAGTCACCAGGGGGTTAAGTCATGTTGTCAATTAATTCACAGAGCAAAGTAGGGAAAATTGGTTTTATGTCACTAAGATGAGGCCAGCCTTCCCCCTCTGGGACCCCACTGTACAGCTTATTAGGGAAAACTGCTGACTCTTCTACTCTAAAAAATAAACATTTGCCATCTCAGACCACCCTCTTGCTGTCATGTTCCTGATGTCCTTATTATCAGTACCCTCATTACTGGGGTCTGGGCTGGGGCTTTGTCTCAGGCCTAGTGGCCGCAGCAATCTCTGTGCAGCAAAAGAAGCTATTGGAGCAGATCTGCGGCATCTATGCTTTAAGTATACCCGGTTTTCTTTTTGTCCAAGTCTTCAGCATAGATGGGGCTTCTGCTGGCTCCCAGTCCTAGCCAGAACCCAGGGCCTGGGTCTGACCTCACCAATTCTAGAGGGCAGGGATAGGGCCACAAATCAGAGAAGCCTCCCTGAAAGGTCTGGAGAAAGTAGACAACCAAATGGGGGTGATGATGGCTCATATTTTGCAGTGGGCCCTAGGCCAGGCACTCTGTTCTATGTACATTGTGTTTAATCCTCACAACAACCCTGTAGGGTGGGGCTGTAGCATCCCCACTTTGCACTCTGGGATTCTACCCATCCTTCCCAACAGCTTGTTTCATTGGAGCTTTACACCAGCCCCAGGAGACAGGGGGTCAGCGTTTGCACCCTCATTGTGCAGAAGAGCCCACAGGCTCTAGTCCCCCCACAAAATCTGCAGGCCTGGAACAAAGAAAGCTCCTGCTAGCCCTGCGCTCAAGCTTCAGTGCCCCAGCTCCCCAGCCCCCTAGCCCAGCCCCTCCCAGCCACCTCTCCCTTAGTCATTAGTGCCGATAATTCCATCTGCAAGAGTAATTATCAACCCCAGGAGGGGAAGGGATTCCTGCCAGAAGATGTGATTATGTCTGGAAAATGAAGGATATTGCAAAAAAAGGTCATGAATAAATTATTTCAAAGTGGGGCTAATAAGAAAACTAACAATGGGGGTAAATGCAAAAAACAGAAAAAACATAACAAAAAATCTATTTAAAAGTTATCTCCCAAAAACACTAAAAAATTCATATTCTTGCTTCTCCTAAAAGTTCTGAGGAGGGAGATATAATTCCCTGAGACAGGCCCAGGGAAGCCAGTCAGGGGCTCCCTGGCCATGAGGCACAGGTGTCGAGGAGGGTGTAGGGAGGGAGTGGAAGGAAAAGAGTGGGAGCAGAGCAGGTGGGCCCTGCATGCCAAGGTGGGGTCTTGTGCTTAAGTCAGCAGGCAAGAGGGAGCCACTGCCGTCTCGAGCAGGGTTGTGACAAAACAGTACTGTATTTGACCTCCATTCTCTGTGTCGGGAGATGGTGATGTCACAGAATAAGAACCAGCACGCAGGCTTGGTGCAGTGGCTCACACCTGTAATCCCAGCACTTTGGGAGGCCGAAGTGGGTGGATCACCTGAGCTCAGGAGTTCGAGAGCAGCCTGGCCAACATGGTGAAACCCCATCTCTATTAAAAATACAAAAATTAGCCGGGCATGGTGGTGGGTGCCAGTAGTCCCAGCTACTTGGGAGGCTGAGGCATGAGAATAGCTTGAATCTTGCAGTGAGCCGAGATCACGCCACTGTACTCCAGCCTGGGTGATAGAGCATGTAGTAGGTGCTCAGTAGATGCTGGATCCCATCCTCCCCAAATGTCTTCACTGGAGGCTGCTTGGCAGAGTGGGGAGAGCATGGACTTTGAGTCAGGGAAACCTGAGTTTGCATCTCAGCCTTGCCATTCACCTCCTGGGTGGCTTAGGGTAGGTTCACCCTTTGCTCGCCTCACACGTGGATGTTTCTTGTAGGACGGTTGTGAGCATGAGACAGGGCAAGCTCTACAAAAGTGTTTGGCACAGAGTAGGTAAATCATAGCCTCTTCTTGCACCTGCAGTGGGCCTAGTTCCTGTTGGGTCATATGTAATAATAAAACGCTGAAAGCATCTATAGCACTTACTCTGGGCCAGGCACTGTTCTAAGAACATTACATATATTAACTTATTTCATCTTCACCACTACCCTTGGAAGAAGATACTATTGTAATTCCCATTTTGCAGATAGGGAAACTAAGACACAGAGAGGTTAACACCTTGCACAAGGTCCAAAAAGCCCCAGGGCCAAGACCTGAACCCAATAGTCAGGTTGCATAGTCCATGAGCTTGACACGCCCGCCTGCCCCTGCCTGTGAGCTGCGGGTAAACCCAGAGTGATCCTCACTGCCCCCAACAGGATGAAACCTTAACTGTGGCCTTGGGGGTGATGGAGCCAGGAGAGCTGAATTTGGAAATGGCTGACAAATGATGGGGGAATCAGGCACCTGTCAGGCAGCTCAGGGGAGGTGTCCGTTCCCCAGGTGGTGGCAGGAATGGAGTGCCCAGTCACCACGCTGTCCATCCGTATCACTGTTCTCCAATACAAAACACTCATAATAAACACCATCTCATGTGCTCTCACTGCCCTCTGAGGGCTGTGATGGTGCCACCGACATTTTACCAATAAATAAACTGGCGTGGCAAGGTTACATAGTCTCTGGGGCATCTCAGCACTCCCCAGCCCAGGGCTGAGCCCCTCCTCAGGCCCTCACTGCTCCCCAGGGTGCCCCCTCCCACCCCATCTCCCTCAGTAGCTCTGCTCCCCTCTCCTCCCTCAGGCCTGCAGCCCCACACCAGGTCTGCCCTGCAGGGAAGTCTGCCCTGAGCTCCCATCAAACTTGCCCCTTCCTGGGCTTGGGTGCCTTCATGGAGGGCACATTCCAGGCCCGTGTTCTGTGTGGTGAGGCACTCTGTGAGAACTTGACTGAGAAACCTCTAGGGCCAGAAAAATCTAGAGGAAACTAGCTTTAAAAACCCAAGGGGCTGGGCACGGTGGCTCACGCCTGCAATCCCAGCAGTTTAGGAGGCCGAGGAGGGCAGATCACTTGAGGTCACAAGTTCGAGACCAGCCTAGCCAATGTGGTGAAACCCCACCTCTACTAAAAATACAAAAATTAGCCAGGCATGGTGTGCGCCTGTAATCCCAGCTACTCGGGAGGCTGAGGCAGGGGAATCACTTGAACCCGGGAGATGGAGGTGGCAGTGAGCTGAGATGGCACCACTGCACTCCAGCCTGGGTGACAGAGTGAGACTCCATCTCAAAAAAAAAAAAAAAAAACCTGAGAGTTTATATGAGTTGGGGAGTTGGGGATGCGGATGGACCAGAGGACACTGGACAGTAGAGGCAGCCGTCCCCACCCCAACTCCTTTTTTGTTCTCTAGTAAAAGCCTCTCCAGTGTTAAATTCTGGGCTGTCTTTGCATTCAGCCTATAATTGTTTTTATAATGACTCCACAATCAATAAGCAATTGGATTTGCCAGAGTCTAGACTCTCAGCCAGAGAGGAAGGGCCCAGGCACCTTTCTAAAACAGGCTGGAACACTGAGTCACTCACCTGCTCTAGGGGGCCCTCTTTTATCTCCCAAGCAAAGTTCATGCCTGTCGCTCAAGGCCATCCTGGCTGGGCCCAGCCTGACCTCCAGGCTCCTGCTGCTGCCTCTCATCACCCTTCCCTAACCCCTGAACTCCAGCAAATCCAAACTGCCTTACCCTGCAGCCCCCCAACCCACGTGTGGCCCCACTGCCACGCCTTTGTTCAGTCTGCCCATTCCCTCGAATACCCTTGCTCTCCATCCCCCTCAGCCACATCCTGCTGGTGCACCCTCCAGTCTCCATTCAGTTGCCACCTCCTTATAAAGCCTTCTTGCTGTCTTCCCTATGGGACAGAGCCTTTCCACAGGACACTGACATACCCACTCTGGTGGCACATTGTGGATGTTTTTCTCCCATCTACTAAACAGAAAGCTCCAAGGATCTGTCCATTTCATCCCTGTGTGCCTACTCTATTCCCCACCCTGCCACCTCCTAACCCCCAGCCTATCCAAGCCCGGCACAGTCCCCTGCACAGAGTGTCAGTAAATATGTGTTGAATAAATGCACAGATAGTTTAGAAGCATCCCCTAAAATGTGAATGCACCGCATTTTACTTGGACCCTAGTTTTCTTTATTAGCCTCTGCAAGACCCTCTGTCCCCCACAGTCTGGCTCCCACCTAGGACACTGTCACCATCACTATTGTCAGACTCTGGCTCTGCAGGCCACTGCCCCAAGTCCACACTACACAGCCCTCACCTAGGGCGCTGGGCTCTTTTACGGTACACATGCATGTATACCCTATAGATCCAAGCCACCCCTCCCTGACTTTGACCCGTACCATGCTCAAAGCCACTATGATCAAATCACCGTTGGGGCTTCATGGCCAGGATCAGCCCAGATGTCTGACATGCAGATGCTAAGCTTGCCCCACAGCTGTCACACCACCAATACATATCACACACACATACCAAACTCACATACTACATGGATCACGTAGGGGGTGACCCTCTAAGTTACCATGCAAACCAGGACACTGGGACAGCAGGCCCAAATCCTATCCCTAACCTGCTCTCCATACATGCAGAGCACATGTACATCTAGTACCTCTGACACACATAGGGCTCACGTGTTAATCACACGAAATACATCAGGAATATATACCACCGCTAGCACACATACACAAGCTCACCAAAACAGCCTGCAGAACATGCACGTGGAGAAGTTGCCAGCCTGTGCCCCTCCCTGCCTCCATGGTCCACATACATACTCCTCTAAATGCTCAGAAAGACCTCCCCCAACACCCAACATAGGTTTTCCCAGAAGTTTAGAGGCAATTTTTTTGGCACTTAAAAATGACAAGGTTTGGGTGGAACGTGGTGGCTCATGCCTGTAATCCCAGCACTTTGGGAGGCCAAGGCAGGTGGATCGCCTGAGATCAAGAGTTTGAGATCAGCCTGGCCAACATGGTGAAACCCCGTCTCTACTTTTAGTAAATTAGCCAGGCCTGGTGGCATGTGCCTCCCAGCTACTCGGGAGGCTGAGGCAGGAGAATCGCTTGAACCCGGGGGGCGGTGGTTGCAGTGAGCCGAGATTGTGCCACTTTACTCCAGCCTGGGCAAAAGAGCAAAACTCCGTGTTAAAAAAAAAAAAAAAAAAAAAAAAAAAAAAGCCAAGTTGTTTTTTTGTTTTTGTTTTGTTTTGTTTTGTTTTTAGCACTATGGATATCATGAAACCTAACATAGATTGATTAGGGTCATATGCTGTCAATGATTGCCCAGAAACCCCTGAAGACTGAGGCCCAGGATTTGCAGGGAAGCTTCATTCTGTTCTCAGAGGGAGCAGGTCCCAGCAGACCTGTAAGAGATGCTCTGAATCCCTGTGGCCATAACCATCCTCACCCCCAGCCCCTCAGGAACCACAGAGCTCTGGACAGGGCTCAGCGCCAGGGAAGCAGGGAGAGATGAGGCCAGGCACGGGGAATCAAAGCTGCAGCAGGAAGCTCCTTCCTTCTAAATAAGGGCAGAGACCTGCCTGGATGTGGGATGCTGATAGCATCTGAGGTCAGCAGCAGCAACACAGCACCGCCACCACCACCACCATAGTCATCATCATCATCATCATCAAACCAGCTTTCTCTCATTCAAAGGATATACATTATTAAATACTAACTCACTCCCACTGCCTGTTATTCCGCCATCTTAGCTTTATACCCTAAAGTCTTGAAACCTTTTGTACTTCAGGAGCTTCCTAACAACATAAGATACAAATGCCCCCTAAGAGTTCCCTCCATAAGCCCCCATAAGCCATTTCTGCCTTCATTGTCAACACATATTTAACAACAAATGGGTAGGACAGGAGATTATGAAATTACACATCACAGGCACCTGGTAGCAAGCCTGGCACGTTGCATGGGCTCAGGACATTTGAGTCCCCATCATTTCCAACCTGTGTGCAGTCAAGGCAGCCTGGTCTAGGGGAGAGAACTTGGGCTTTGGAATCAGTTGCCCCTTCCCTTTCCCATGCTGTGACCTGGGGCAAATCGACCTCTCCGGCCTTGGTTTGCAAACCCTCTCTAGGATAGTTCTCTCTCTAGGAAGGGAATTCTCTCCCTGCAGGGCTGTTATAGAACAAAAGGAGATAAGAGGGAAAAAAAAAGTGCCTGGCACAAGCCTGTCACCAAGGGGCAGGGGCGTGAAAAATATGGAGTTTCCTTTCTCCTGTCATCAGCACTAGGGATGTGTGGGTCTGCCCTAAGCCACAGGGCCAGCCCTGTCTGGAGGGGTGAAGGGGTGTGGTCATTGGTTAGGACCAGGGTCCTGCTCCCCACTCCCTCCTGGGGCTGGCCATCATGCATATACTGTGCAAACATCTCCAGAGATTTTAGATTTTGGGTCTCCTAGTAAAGTACAAATACCTCTCATGAGTTTGCTCAATAAGTCCATATTAGCCAGTAATGCCTTCTCTAAACTCGGTACAGAATCTCAGGAAAGAGAATGGTTAGAAAAGGAGAAGGGGCTACAGGTAGCACAAGAGCATCAATACAGAGGAGAAAAGAAACTGCTCCACAAGAACTGCAACTGAGTCCCTAGGAGCACCCTGGATGACTCAGCCAGTAAGTGGCACGGCCTCAACTTGATCTAAAACACCTTTTCTTGGCCACATGGACCGCCTCTTGGGTCTGAATTTTTTTTTTTTGAGATGGAGTCTCACTTTGTCACCCAAGCTGGAGTGCAGTGGAGCAATTTTGGTTCACTGCAATCTCCGCCTCCCGGGTTTAAGCTGTTCTCGTGCCTCAGCCTCCCAAGTTTAGGCTATTCTTGTGCCTCAGCCTCCCAAGTAGCTGGGATTACAGATGCCTGCCACGACGCCCAACTAATTTTTGTATTTTTAGTAGAAACAGGTTTTCACCACGTTAGCCAGTCTGGTCTCAAACTCCTGACCTCAAGCAGTTCACCTGCCTCAGCCTCCCAAAGTGCTGGGATTACAGGCATGAGTCACTGCACCCAGCCAGATCTCTCTGAAATGTTTTGGTGTCTGTTTGGGAACTGTTGGAAGGTGTCTGTGCTCCTCCAAAGAGGCCCCTTGAGATGTCAGAGCCATATCACATATTTGTGCAAATTAGAATAAGTTACCCCTTTCTCAAGACATTCTACTGACATCTGCCAGAAAACTGATGTAATATATACACAAATCTATAATGACTGTCATTTGAATAAAACCTCTAGATTTGTGCAGTGCACACCCTACACAACTGCACAGAGTAACCTCAGATCACTGGCAGCCTATTCATTTTTGATAGACATAAGTGAGAGTGAATACTACATGGGGCTTCCAGTCCTAACCTTTCTCCTCCTCCCACCTGCATGGGAGCCAGACAGAATGACTCAGCCCCACAGGCTGTGGACATTTCTCCCTCAGCATAGGAAGGCAGGGTCAGGGATGGATATGACAAGTGGCCTCCAAGTCTCTCTCTTTCTCATCCCTGTGGCTCTCTGTTCCTCATACCTTATGCAGACTTTCTTTTCCCCAACATGCACCTGCTGTCAGTTGCTGCTTTATCAGTGACGCACCAATTAGGTCCAGCGAGGTTTGCTCTGCGTTGGAGAGGCTGCTGTGGCTGGCATTTGGACAAGCTATTCTGTTTGCCTTGTGGGCCACGTGTCACTCTTTCTCCCTAGGAAATTACAAATAAGGCTCCCCACTTGGGAGTCCCACTGTCCTAGCGCTTAGAGTTGGGAGTGGGGTGTGACTGACAAGGGTGGGCAGGAGAGTGCAGCAGCCCAGGGCTGGCATTCTGCTTGACAAGGAGCAGGCACTTGCTTGGCAAGGGGCTTTGTAAACAGTAAAGCATGCAACTCTTGTGTGCTGCTGGCATGGATGCGGCATTGGACACCAAAAGCAGTCCCCATTAGTAGCTCCGGAACTCCAGGAATGGCTGGGGTGATGAACAGAAGCAACCAGAGCCACTACAGGCCGCCTGCAGAACCCATGGAAGTAGGGAGGGACTAGCCTGTGCCCCTTTCATGCCACAGCCTCATTTTATGCCCCACCCCGTCTAGCCACTAGACATTACTGACAAGCTCTATTCCACTCCCTGTGTATCCCCTGACCTCGCACAGTGTCTGACACATACTGGCACTTAAGAAACATTTCCTGAATGTCTGAATAATTCAACCCATGTGTACTGAACACAAATGACTCAATCCTTATCCTCATGGAACTTGCAATCAAGTAAATGAGAGCTGAATTTTTTAAATGATTATTTCATTACAACTGTGGTAAGTGACACAAAGGAGCAGTAACAGGGAAACTTGCCCTGGAAGTGGGAGGGCTGGGGGAGAGTTAAAGAGGGCTGGGCACGGTGGCTCACGCCTGTAATCCCAGCACTTTGAGAGGCTGAGGCAGGTGGATCACGAGGTCAAGAGTTCGAGACCAGCCTGACTAACATGGTGAAACCCCGTCTCTACTAAAAATACAAAAATTAGCCAGGTGTGGTGGCATGCGCCTGTAATGCCAGCTACTCAGGAGGCTGAGGCAGGAGAATCGCTTGAACCCGGGAGGTGGAGGTTACCGTGAGCTGAGATTGCAACATTGCACTCCAGCCTGGGCGACAGAGCGAGACTCTGTCTCCAAAAAAAAAAAAAAAAAAAGTTGGGAGCTGAAAGGGACCTTAGGTCTCATCTAGTCTAGTGTAATGGTTAGCAAGACCCAGGGCCTATCACAGTGCCTTGCTTGTCATAGATGCTCAAGAAACACAGATTGAATGAATGAATGAGGAAGTCACCTTGGGCTAGTGCTTTTGCCTCACTTGAACCTATGTACTCTGTCCCCAGGTCCAGAACCCATTCTTGCCTTGAGTCATCCTACCCCACCTACTCCTCCAACAAAAGGATAGCTGAGCCAGGCCAACTTCCTTGGTTGCTGGTCCCAGAGTGATCTCTGCTGAGCTCCCACAGGCTGGCAGGCTCATGCCACCTTGGCCTGTATCTAGAGAACTCAGTTCCACTCCATTTACACTGCCTCCTACCCACAGAGCATATTTAAGGGGACTAGAAGACAGACTCACACAATTGCCTCCCTCTTTTGTGTGAGGGAGGGTCAACCACTTTCCATCCTCCTCCAATTAGTCCAAAAAATACTCATTAACCTCCTGTCCATTGCAAGGAAAACAGATGATCAACATGAGAAGCTCAGCTGTTGATTAATTTTCCCAAACAGGGCCAAACTACAAAGCAGCATATTGCAGGGGAGAAAATTCAATAAACAATATTTGAAACAAATTTAATAGAACATACAACTCATTACCCACCGGGGTCTGGGCCTGTGCCATCATGTTATGCATGGAGGCAGGTGGAAGGTAGAGGAGCGATTTGCATCTTTAGTGGGACCAGCGTCGAGGGTTTGTTAGTAGTGCTTTCAAATCAAGCTCAAGATGTTAATAGCCAGTACTGCATCTATAATTAACAGGCCTTTGGATGGGAGGAAGGGTTCACATTCATTCTGCATTCACAGAAAAAAGATGCTGAACAGGACTGGCAGGCATCCCCAGCAGAAGCATGGGGACCTGCCCTGTAGGTGGTGTGGACTGGGGAGATGGGGATAGATGAAGATAGAAAGACACCCAAGCATCAACTTCCAGGTGCTAAGAAAGGGTCAGAGCATCTAGGCCTTGGTGGGTGGTACTCCCTCAAGATCAGGGCCATGTCCTCTGGATGTCTTGCTCTGTGCTTAGGTGGCAAGTGCACTTTCCATATCAACAGGGATGGCACAGGCCAACCCAGAATTCCCACATTTAGGCTGTTAGCATCCTGTGACCCAAATGGGAGCTAGGAGATCTGAGTTCCAAATGAATGTTCACCTTGCATTGGCTGTGTGATCTTGGGCAAGTCACTTTCCCTTTTTTGGCCTCAGTTTACTCACCTATAAAACAAGGCAGCTGGACCAGGTGATTCCCAGTGTCCCTTTCAGCTCTAGCATCATGGGCTATCTACCCACCATTAGGACAGGTGTGTGACCAGGCCGAGGCCATGCATTAGCAGAGCAGGTGGACCACAGCTGGTGGGATTCTTAGAAGCCCAAGAGGGCTCCCCGTCTTTGGCCCTCCTTCCTACCATTCCTCACACCTTTGGGTTAAGACCCCCAGTCCAGGCAAGAAGATGCTCAGAGTCAGAGCTAAAGGGCCCTTAGAGATCACATAGCCAGTGGTTCCCAGCTGGACACTTGCAAAGGCTGCAGCAGGTTGCCAAGAGCAGTTTGGTACATTTCACAAAACCTACAGGAAATCCTGTATTACCTGTGATGAAGTTAACTGAAACACCAAGGTTTTTCTTTTGCTTTTAATTAGAATTAAATTAACTCTATGTGATATCCCTGGTTAGTGTGTGCTGATCAGAAGCTCTGATTGGTCATAGGTGACATCATAGGAATATCTAGATCATGACTGGTGGACAAGAGGCTGCCACTAGAGTCACATGGCATGTGGCCACTGGCCAAATTGTATTTGTCCAATATATGACTGGCCTTGGACACCAGCCCAGAGTGACTGCAGTGTCTTTCAAATGGAGAGGGCTTTGTAGGCGGAGAATACTAACAAGGGTCCTTAGTGGTGAGAAGTTGGGGAGACTGGTTTCAATAGCCTCAGATGATTGATAAAGAAACCAAGGCCTGTACATTATCTTGCATTAACATGAATCTATCGGAAGAGAAGATAGACTACTTCTAGCAGGAATTCCGGATGGTGATTTTAGGGGAACAACCTCAATAAAGGACCTTAGGGGACAGGCCTGGCTGAGGGAGTAGGCAGAGTTGCTAGGCTAAGCAAAGCACATGACATGCCAAATGCAAACTCCCCAGCTCACAACCCTGGCTCTCATCCTGGCCTTTTCTCCAGTGTGTGACAAGATCAACTGACATGAACTGAGGGCTGGTTTGGGTCAGGCTCTAGGCAGGAGGAGGCAGGTGTAGACAGCACAACCCTTGCAGCCAGTTCCCTGGGAGCAGTGGCCTGCAAGTCCCAGCTCTGCCTTGCGGGCCCACTTTGGCTCATAGTGGATTTGATCATCTCTAATGTCTGTTCAGCTCAGAAGGTCTTGTCTCCCAGAGTGGATACTCTAGAGGCCAACTGGGTAATTTTTGCCTGTGCTTCTCACTCTCTGGTAGGCAGAGTTGGGCAGGGGGTGATGGGGTGAGGCATGGAAGCATAGACCAGGATCTCCTGGCTTTCCTTTCTCACAAGAGCCCCATGGAGGCTCAGAGTCAAGTGTGTTAGCATGGGGCCCATCCTTAGACTAGACAATATTCTGTTGCCTGTGTGTGATGAGAACCACAGAACCCAGCCTACCAGGGCCCCTCACTCACACATTATTTACAAAATTCCCATACTCTGTGCCAGGTACTGGGGAACCCAGACAGGTAAGGCCCCTCTTCTCATGAAGCTTCTAGTCTCTCTGGGAGAGGCAGAGAGTAAATAAGTGGACAAAGAAACATACCTGGATGTAGGCATGAGTATACCTGTGTGGGTACTGCCTGGGAGTTGCCCAAGGCCAGAGACTGGGTCCCAGTCTCTTCTGTGCCCTTGGAGCCTGCAACATGGCTAGCTCAGAGTTGGCCCTTACTCAGCAAACATTTGCTGAATTGCCTGGCATACAAGAGAAAGCATATGGAAAGTGCCAAGTCCTTCTGCTCCTGTCCACAGTAGAAGCCAGCATGTACACACAAACATCTCATTTCAATTAAACATTTATCAAGGATCCATTATGTACCAGCAGGGGCCCAAGCTCTGAGAATCTAGACATGAATGCAATCAGATCCATCCCCACGGAGCTCACAGGCCTAAGGTGGAGGAAGGCACTGAGCCAACCACAACCATCCAGTGCTAGGATGAAGGTTGCTATGTATGCACCCAATTCCCACCAGGGCAGGGCTGGTGGGCTGGAGAGGAGTGTCAGGGAAGACACCCAGGAGAAAATGTACACAGACATACCCAAGGCAAACACCCACAGAAACACACAGATGTATACACTGACTGCCTGAGCACGTGTGGACATCAATGCCAACCCATGTAGACTTGGGTCCCACACAGACCATCATGATTAAGGCTTGTTTGTTAGTGGTCCCCCAAATCAAAAAGGTATCACTACACCTTGGGCCAGGGGATATGCCGGGGTGGGCAGAGCTGATAGTCTAATCTGAGATAGGCTCGTGATTGGCTTGCTATGAACATCAATCACCGGAGACTGGCCAGTCAATTATACACCAGGCCTCACCCTCAGATCAGAGGCTAGAAGTTAGGGAATTTGACAAAAAACTTTAACAGTTAGTGTAATACTTGTGCTTGTTGAGGTGTTAGAACCTGGTATGCATTGGTACTGAGGCCAGGGGGCCGGGACAGTGAGGTGGAAGAGCAGAGTGCTCAAAGTTAGCTGTGCCAAGGTTACACTCCTTCAGGGCAGAGCTGTGCACTTTAGAAACTCTCTGATTCCCCATTTGGACTTTTTGCTATTAGGAGCTGACTGGAAAAAAAACACAAAGAGTTTCTTCTCTTCTCCCACTCAACAACAATCAACACAGAAGACTTCTGTGATCAGATGTGTGGGGATTTCTCCCCAGCAGCAAGCAATCAATCAATTCTGCAGCAGACATCAGCTGGGTGCCCTCCAATTCAATTCTGACACTATCTATCTGGAGATAGCGTCAGATCCCACAGGTGGAGGGCTCAGGCCCCAAGACTGCTCACCCTCCTGCCTTCAGATGCCAGTCAAAAGCTCCAGGCTGTTTTGCCTTTTTTTTTTTTTTTTTTTTTTTTTTTTTTTTTTTTTTTTCTTGAGACGGAGTCTCGCTCTGTCACCCAGGCTGGAGTGCAGTGGTGTGACCTCGGCTCACTGCAATCTCCACCTCCCGGGTTCAAGCGATTCCCCTGCCTCAGCCTCCCAAGTAGCTGGGACTACAGGTGTGCACCACCACGCCCAGCTAATTTTTTTGTATTTTAGTAGAGACAGGGTTTCACCATGTTGGCCAGGATGGTCTCAATCTCCTGACATCGTGATCCGCCTGCCTCAACCTCCCAAAGCGCTGGGATTACAGGCCTGAGCCATCACGCCCAGCCTTGGCTGTGCTTCTAATTGATGGGCTATAAATCGGGGTTCCTGCAACTCCCTCCCTGGGTTCAATTAACTTGCTAGAGAGGTTCACAGAATTCAGGGAAACACATTTACCAGTTTATTATAAAGGATATTACAAAGGATATGGATGAAAAGATGCAGAGTGCAAGACATGTGGGAAGGGGTATGGAGCTTCCATGCCCTCTCCAGGTGCACAATCTTCCCGGAACCTCCATATGTTCAGCTATCTCCAGAAGCTTTCCAAACCCTGTCCTTTGGGGTTTTTATGGAGACTTCGTTACATGGGAATCATTGATTACATTGCTGGCCTTTGGTGATCAACTTAAACTTCAGCCCCTCTTCCTTATACCTTCCCCCTTCAGCGGGTGGGGCTGTAAGTCCCAACTTTCTAATCCTGCCTTGGTCTTTCTGGTGACCAGCCCCCATCCTGAAGCAGCCATCAGTCATTAGCATACAAAACGACCTCACTTTTGGCCAGGTGCAGTGGCTCACACCTGTAATCCCAGCACTTTGGGAGGCCGAGGTGGGTGGATCACCTGAGGTCGGGAGTTCGAGACCAGCCTGACCAACA
The DNA here is from genome assembly GCF_000001405.40 of Homo sapiens. NCBI lineage: Eukaryota > Metazoa > Chordata > Mammalia > Primates > Hominidae > Homo > Homo sapiens. Next base: position 26,269 of record NW_003315944.2, on the reverse strand, counting down.
TGGAGAAACCCCATCTCTACTAAAAATACAAAAATTATCTGGGTGTGGTGGCACATGCCTGTAATCCCAGCTACCAGGAGGCTGAGGCAGGAGAATCGCTTGAACCCGGGAGGTGGAGGTTGCAGTGAGCCAAGATCGTGCCACTGCACTCCAGCCTGGGCAACAAGAGCGAAACTCCGACTCAAAAACAAACAAACAAACAAACAAACAAAAACTCACTTTGGAGATTCTAAGGATTCCAGGAGTTGCTTGGCAGGAAACTGGATGAAGACCTTATATTTCACAATATCAGAGGAACTGACAAATGCAAAGTGTTTGGAACAGTGGCCCTCAGGGAGTGGTCATTCCGTCCTCCAAGACCATACCTGTAGTGTGTGGTGATAAAAGTTCCAGCCTGTGTCAGCTGTGAGGGGGAACAGGGAGCCAGCCCAGAGAAGGTGATAAAAAGGTAAACAAGGTATTCTTTCCCTAAGAGATGCTATATCTTTGCACTAATAGCTTGTATAGTGCTTTCTACCCATCAGGCACTATTCTAACTGCTACACAAACAATAACTAATTTAATCCTCTTAATCCTATGAGAAGAGGACATTTTAATTCCCATTTAACAGATGTGGGAACTGAGGCTCAGGGGATGTCGTAAATTGCCTATGGTCACATGGTGAATAAGCTGTGGAAGCAGGATGGTACCAGAGTCCACCCTCTGATCCCTCACCCCTGCTGCCTTTCAGGATGGAAGATCTGGTTCTTTCTCCTTAACCTTGGCACTAACACACCAGGGGTCCTGGATAAGCCACTGCCCCTCTCTGAGTCTCCCTTTTCTTCTCTGGGAAGCAGAAAGCCATCTCAGCCCAGTGGCCTCCCAGGACTGTCGCAAAGACCAGGCATAGGCTTCTCTGGGAGGAAACTGACACGGCATTGTGGGGAGCAGATGTGTCGAGCTTGGCTTCTTGCATCCTGTCCCATGGATCACGGCCAGGGCAGGAGGCCTCTCTGAGCCCCATCAACAGACCTGCAACAGGGCTCACAGGCAACCTGAGGCCTTGCAGGGAGATCAGGGTTTGGGACACTAATGAGGACACTGGGAGAGAAACCCCTTCTGATAGCAGATTCATGAAGAGAAAGGCATACGCTGTGCCTGCAGTCTGCACCCAGTCCAAGGCCCTCAGAGGTCAGATTCTTATGTGCTATTTATCATCTTGGAGAAATTGGAGTTTTCTGGGTAATGGGAAAGCTGACAGACTCCAACTGGTCAGGCCTGCTGGGGACTGGTGGGGGAAAGAGCAGGAACCGTGGGGCCTTCGGGGAAGGACTCCACACTCCCTGCCCCCAAGGGCGAGACAGAAGCAGAAAAGGGCTGGAGAGAAGCCTCTCCGTGGCAAAGACCCACACCCTCGGTTCTCTCTGTGGCCCACATAGGAGTGAAGCCAGATGCCTGGACCCTTAGAGTTGAGAAGGGAGCTCCTTTATGCCAAGCCTGTCATTTCAGAGATGCGGGAACTGAGACTCAGAGACGGGCAGTACATATCTGGTGTCACACAGCTAGTGGGGCCCAGACAAGCTCTGGTCTCCCAGCCCAGACAAATTTATTATCAGGATTCCCACGGAAAGCTTAGGTGTAAGGCCTGAGACGCTGGCTGGAGACACTCCCTAGGGGCTGGAGGTGGGAATTCAACATCCAGTGACCACTTGCTCCGGCATAGACAGCCCCACAGTAGGTTCCTAAGTGGGGAAGCATGTCCTGGGGGACTCAGGGAAGAAAGCCTGAACTCCCTCCCCTGGCATTCTAGACTCCCAGCCCCACTTTTACCTATCTCCTTCACTCCTCCCTTCAGCCACCCCTAGCACATTCCCAGCTCATACTCCTCTGCACTCTTGTCCACAACCCTCTTCCTACCTGGATCCCCTTTACCCCACTCTTCTCTGATTAAATGCTCCCACCCCTCAAGGCCTCTGAAGCCTCCATTCCTGGTCTCCTACCCTGTAACTTGCCCCTCGTCCAAATTGTTTAGTGGAGCTAACAGCATACCCACTTACCGGTAGAGTGGACGCCCAGATTCACCCCTCAGGACAGAAGCACTCATTCTTCCCCAGCTGCCAGAAATTTAGTGGCTCGCAGGTGAGGCCCTCTATAGACATCGCCCTCCAAGTTAGCCAACTCACCTGAGGAGTCATGGCCCCTTCCCCCATCCCAGTGGATGGCCAGTGATTGATGGAGGCATAAAGGATCTCCCTCCCTTTACCCCCATGTGGGACAACTCCAGGGGTCATCTCAGCTTCAGAGCTTCCTGCCAGATCAGCAGAAGTTACTGTAACTGTGCCTTGGTTCAACTTTTCCTCAGCCTCGACCGCCTCCCTTATCCCTTATCGGGATTATTCTCATCGGGATTATTCTCAAGAGCTCACTAATCTCTATCTCAGAATGTTTTCCAGGGTAGCCAGTTTAGGATCCCCGGTAATGTAATGGTTAAGCAGCCAGCCTGGGTTCCAGCAAGGAGCAACTGGGTTTAGTTCTGTGACCTTGGCAGAGTTAAGTAACTTCTCCATGCAGTTATCTGTTAGGTGAGAATAATGCTGAGGCAGTAGCTTCTATCTCCTATGAGTGCTGTGACAATTAAATGAGATAGTGTGTATGGCACATGATATTGAGAAAGGACTCAATATGCATTAGCTATCATTTACATTTAACTTCTCTGAGGCTCAGGCAAATGCGGATAGGATATTACTACTCGTGTCATGGGGTTATGGGTGAGAAATAAGATTGGGAGACAATGGGTTAGACTTGGTGCTTCTTCGACCTAATACAGACTTTGGAGTCAAGGTCCCTGGTATTGTGGTCTGGAGGCCTGACCCCTCCAATAACTGAGAAGGATTATATTAGTTTTCCATTGCTGCTGTAAAAAATCACAATTTAGTGGCTTCAAACAGCACAAATTTATTATCTGACAGTCCTGAAGGTCAGAAGTCTGGCATGGGTTTCACGAGGCTGAAGCCAAGGTGCCAGCAGGCCATGTTCCTTCCTGGAAGCTTTAGGAGAGGGTCTATTTCCTGCTCGCTCACAGTGTGGACAGAATTCAGTTCCTCTGATTGCAGGACTGAGGCCCTCATTTTCTTGGTAGCTGTAAAAGAGCTGTTGATCCCAGATTCTAGAGGCCACTGCATTCCTCAGCTCGTGGCCCCTTCCTCCATCTTCAAAGTCAGCACAAGCGGGTGGAGGGCTCCTCATGGTGTATCTCTCTGACCTACCTTCTTTGGTCATCTTTTACTCTTAAGGACTCATGATTATATTGAGCCCACCTGGATAACCCCTGAACGCCTGACATTCTCTCCATCTCCAGGTCCGTAATCGCACCTGCAAAGTCCCTTTTTGCCATGTAAGGTAACATATTCACAGATCCCAGGGATTAGGACATGGACATGTTGGGGGCAGCAGGGGTCATTATCCTGCCTACCACAGCCATCCAACATGGAGCAACCTTTGATCCAAAATTCACCCCCTCCCTTTCCAGGGAGAGGTCTGTGCCGTTTCCTGTGCAGCAGGGACCTATGGCCCCAACTGCTCGTCCATCTGTAGCTGTAACAATGGTGGCACCTGCTCCCCAGTAGATGGCTCCTGTACCTGCAAGGAAGGTAATGTGCCCTCTCTCCCAAGCCCATCCCTGACATATGAGCACATTCCCCAGGTGGTGCTGCCAGCTGAGGGGTCTCAGGTGGGGCTGCCCCAACCCCCGCCCCCACATGCAAGGTCAGGGAGCCTATATTGGTTGGGTTCCAGGCAAGAAAACCCATGCCAGGAATTTCAATAGCAGGAATGTAATGAGGGGATTCATTGCAATGTTGTTTGAAGAGCTAAACAGCACACAGGGAAAGTGTGCAACCGAGACACGTTAACACCTGTGGGAGAAGCTGCTATCACTCTTAGGGTTGGAGGGACAAAAGAAAGCGTTCCCAGAGCCTGGGAGTGAGGGCCACCTGGTAAGAGGTGGGACGTGGAGAGAGGGGCTGCGCCACCACCTGAGGCCCCAGGCAGAGAAAGAGGGAGAGGACACACCTGTCTCTCCTGCTCCCGCTCTCCAGTCTGTGGGCCGGTCTCCTGCAGGCAGCCTGGCTGGGAGCCAGCTGAGGGGGAGCCTGGGATGTGCAGCCTGCAGGGGTCAGCCCCCACCATGAACAGGGAAGGGGAGAAATGGTGTGGTAGGCAAAGAGGCCAGTGACCAGCCTAAGAATGGAGAATCAGACGTCCCTCAAACAGAGGGTCCTGAGATAAGCTGCCAGACTCCACCCTGGGCAGAAACAGCACTCCCCACCTGAGCTGGTGCCTGTTCCAGGTAGGATCATCTGCCTGCAGCACAAACAATGAGCACCCGGAGGCAGGAGACCTGGGTTCTAGCCCCAGCTCTCCTAACAGCTCTGTTGTATTTCTGAACTCTGTGTGGAATGTGTGTTCTAACCCAGCCCTCAGGAAAGCAGTGGTTTGGGTGGAATGCTGTGTGCAGAGCTGGGGGGAGTGGGCAAAAAAGACACACTGGGCCTGGATGGAGAAGTGACAGTCCCTTTCCCTCCCCTCAGGGTGGCAGGGCCTGGACTGCACCCTGCCATGTCCCAGTGGGACGTGGGGCCTGAACTGCAACGAGAGCTGCACCTGTGCCAATGGGGCAGCCTGCAGCCCCATAGACGGCTCCTGCTCCTGCACTCCTGGCTGGCTGGGAGACACCTGTGAGCTGCCTTGCCCGGTGAGTGCCAGGGTGGGGAGGGACAGGTTGGGCTCCGCATCCCCTCACGCCCTTTCCCTGGTGTTAGTTCGTCCACAAGAGTGCACAGAGAACAGCACTAAGCTAGGTGATGGGACACTTGGATTTAGGTCACAGTCCTAGTCCTAACCTCTCTGTGGCTATTTTACTACTTTGGCCCTCATCCCCCTCGTCTATAAAATGGCAAATACTTGGCAGATGTGGTGACATGGCATCACTTTTCCCGTGCTGCTCTTGGTAAACATTATTGACTCTGGCACTTGAGCTCAAATGCAGCTTCAGATTCCTTCACAACCCAGTGCTACAAGACAGCCCTTACTAATCCATGAGAGTTGCCATTCGTTGGTAGATAATGTTTAAGCTTCCTTCTGGTTCCAACAGTCTGTACTTTTATGATCAGAGTGTGTGGTGACTAAAGCAAGCACTGTTCAATAATAACCACCCAGACTTAATCACTTCATCTTATAGGTCTGAGATACAAATAAGTTAAACCCACTGATATGATATTGCTGGATGAGCAATGCAGTCCTTAATGAGCAATTTGGAGTCCTGCAATCCTGGGTTCAAATCTTGGCTTTGTCACATCCTTTGTTACCTTGAGCATGTTACTTCACCTCTCTAACCTTGTTTCTCATCTTTAAAGTGGGAATACAATGGAATCATATCATGGAATTGCTGTGAGGATTAAGAAAAATTAAGTATATGAGGCTCTTGATACCTAATGAGCATATAAGAATTGGTGACTACCTTCTTCCCCGGCAACAAAGAATAAATCATAGTCATTCCTCACAGATGATCAATGTGTTACAATCTGCAAAGTGCACTTTCATTTACAGTTTTAGTTAATGATCATTACAGGCCTTTGAGCTTGACCACTGAGAAGTAGAGCAGGAGTATCACCTCCTTCTCAACCTCATACTCCTGTTAATGCAGCCAAATAATTCTTCAGAGTGTCTTCATGGCTGTGTTATCCCCACTTACAAAACGTGTCCCCATTGTGCCCCAGCCCCAGTCTCCCTGCATCTCTGTGGGGTTCTGGCTCAGTTTTGTCATCAAGATCCAGTAGATCTCACTGGACCCTCCAAAAGTAAAAATTAAAGAAAAGATCCATAGAAGTACACAAACCTCTGGAGGTTTGGGTCTGATCATTTTTCTCTCCCTGTCTTCTCCACAGGATGGCACATTTGGGCTGAACTGCAGTGAACACTGTGACTGCAGCCATGCTGATGGATGTGACCCCGTCACAGGCCACTGCTGCTGCCTGGCCGGATGGACAGGTAACCTTCCCTTGCTGTGCCACCACCCAGGTACTGTGAAACTGGGTTCTTGGTATCCTACTTCTCTTGACCGTTTTCTTCTTCAATACCTCTCTTCTTGATCCCTGAGTATGCATCTTTCCCTTTATCTGCTCTGGGTTCCAGTTCTCCATTCCATTTAATTCAAGTAAATATTTATTGAACATCTATTAGGTATAAGCTCTGTCCAAGGCACTGGAGTCACTCCAGTAGGTCAAAAGCTGACATATGGTTGGTGTAAGTGCTCAATCTAGAGAATATGATGGAGAAGGGGACAAGGGCCTTTCTCCTTAGTCCAGTCTCAGAATCCTGGTCCTTATATCTATCCTGTCAGCCTGCCTCCTAAATACAAGGTGAATCCATCTACTTCTCTCCATCCCACTGCCACCACACGGTCTGCTGGGTACCATCCCGCATCTGGCACTGCCTTGGCCTCCGCTCTTGCCCAGCTGCATTCATTCTGCACCTGGTGGCCAGAGTCAACTTTTCAAACCCAGATCTGCCATTTCAGTCCCTGTTCAGAATGCCTCAGTGGCTTCCCACGACTCTTACATAAAATTTTAAATCCTTACCATGGCCCAGGGCCCACGGGATCTGGCTCTGCCTGACTCCACCTCACTCTGTTCACTTTGTGGCTCACTACATTCCAGCCACCAGGGCTGCAGTCTACTTCTTCAGGAAGCCAACCACCTTCCTGACTCCAGGCCTTTGCACATGCCATTCCCTCTGCCTGGATCATTCCTTCCCCTTTTCACCTGATAACTCCTTGTCTACCAGATTTCAATGTAAAGCTTTCTTCCTCTGGGAAGGCACTTCCCCTGCTACAATACCCACCCCAACCTGACCAAGACAAAAGCACTCCCTTTATTAATTCTTCTACCCTACACTTTTCCTATTGTGGTACTTAAATCAGAGTTCAATGACAACTGTGGTAACTGTTTATTATCTGCCTCCCTAATGTGGCCATCAGCTATATGGAGGCATCTGCCTTATTCACCATTGTATCCACTGCCTGCCACACACTGAGATATGGATAACACGGTAGTTAAGAACCCAGCTCTGGAGCAAGACTGCTGGGGTTTATGACCTTGGGCAAGTCATTTAACCTCTCAGGGCCTGAACTCTCCATCCATAAAATACAGATAATTATCCTTGCAACTACAGGGTTGTTTTGAAGCTTAAATGAGTTACTACCTATAAAGTGCTAACAGTGCCTGGCACATAGTAAGTGCTCAGTAAAAGCAGGCCATGAATACAGGAAGTGCTTAATAAGCATTTCAGAAGTGAACCTACTAGCCAGTCCCAAGGTGATGAGCAGCAAAGAGAAAGAAATATAGTCATTTCTGGCAGTATAGGTTCTCAGATAAATAATTAACACCAGGTTGCTGCACAGCCTGTGTTCATAACCAGAAAGTTTCTAAGCAGCCAAGAGCCAGGGACATTGCTTCCTCTGCAGTATCTCCAGCCTGGCTTCCCCTGCCCTGCTGGCTCCTGCCCGTCAGTAAAGAATAAGGCTCAACCCTGGTCACTGGCACCCTAGAATCTCAGCAGGAGCCAAGTGGAAATCAACTTTAATTTTTCATTGCCTTAATTTTGAGTGAGCCAATTAAGATTTTAATGACATCTAGTGCTTAAAAATTCTGTCTTTGGTGAACCACCTTTCAGCAAGGCCTCTGCTGTTCTAAACCTAATTTCCCCAAATGTGGTCCTGAAGTCTTTTCAAAGAAGTGATTGATGTCCTGAGGTTTGTCATGCAGAAGGGGGCCAATGAGAGACAGAGATGGGCCTCCCACTGAGCCCTCCCCACTCACCTCTGCCTCAAGAAAAATCTGTGCCTAACTTCCCAGTCCCTGGCACACCGCTCATTCCTTGGCTTGGCACAGGTTTGGGGCTGCCCTGAGCTGTGCATGTGTCTCCCCTTAACCCTCATAAGCCATAGGCTTACTGACAGTTGGCATTTTGTCTTATTCATCTTGCCCTGCACATAATATGTGCTTATTAAATGTTTACTGAAATAAACTGGAAGTTGGCCTATAACCATTCATAATTTTTCCCCTTAAAGTGGGGGAGGCTTTAAAGATTATCTCCACCAACCTTCTCATGCCACAGATAAGGAAAAGGAGTTGTCTGGGGTCTCAGGACATTAGGGCCAATAGGATGAAAGACTCAGGATTGTATCTTAAGGGGGAACCATTTATTCAATCAACTAGCATTTATTGACTCAAGCAATTACCAAGCCTTTATATTGGCAGCTACCTTGTGCCCAGCACCATGCCAGACTCAGCAGTAAATGGTAAAAAGCAACAGTTTCTGAGTACCTACTGTGTGCCAAACACTGTTGGGCACCAAAGATGCAAAAATGACCAAGATGGCATCCTGTCCATAAGGAGCACCTAGGTAAGCAAAGTCAGAAGTGGCAGTAAGCCATGGTACCTGTCTTCAAATTGCTGGCAGGGGAGACAGGTCTTGTGTATGAAGCTTTCAAGTAACAGGTAGAGACAAAGCTGTATGCTGCTGATTATCAAAGAGATGCTTGTCTCCCTGGGCAGACATCCAAGAAGGCTTCCTGGAGAAGGAGGGCCCTAAACGGACCCTGAAGGATATGGGCTGCTGAGTGGCTACTGGCTTCACTGCATGAACTAGAGATCAACATGTATGGATTCCTAGCCTAGGTTTACCCACCAATTTAGATGTGGGGGTGGGGAGGAGTCCTGAAAAATAAAGCAAGGGGGTTCCCTAGAGTAAGAAAGGAAAGGACCTCTGAGGGGGACTATCCCTATCCAACTGTAGCGAAAACTGGGGCCCAGGAAGGTAACTGAAGCTGCTTCTTCAGAAACTACAGCTGGGAGCCTCCCACAAAGGCCAAGGCCAGCCCCTTTGATCATATCAGTAAGTTGCTTCTGGAACTGGGCACTCCATATGGGGAAATCCTTGACCCTTCTTTCCACTTAGATCCCATGTCTTAAGCTCCAAGAAGGTCTTGGGACATATAAGAACCACAAACAGCCCCACTCCCACAGAAACAGGCCCAGAATATAATAACTGCCAAGTCCTAGAACCCAGTGGGACTTTGCAGCCACCTTCAGTCTGAGAATAAACATGGTACACTCATGGTTCTCAATCTCCATAAATGAGGACCCCTTTTGACATGAAAACACTAAGGATTCCACAATGAGAGTAGCTATACTTTTAATAGCCACTGGCTGGGATAAACACAATAGCAACCAGCTGCCACGAATTCAGTGGTGCTTTCACATACACTGTGTTTTATGAACACAGTAATACCTATAGTTTTAGGAGAGAGCACTGTCTACGTGTGACACATGTGCCTTGGTCAGCTGGCAAAGAGTGCCTGGTGTGCAGTGGAATTGGAGGCCCTGTGGACAGCAAAGCTCCACCTCAGTGCAAGGAACAGCTTTGTCCCTAGGCCTGTGGTCTGAATCCTGGGTTTCCAACAACCATAGGCAAAAGAAATCCTAGGCCAGCACAGTGGCTCACGACTGTAATCCCAGCACTTTGGGAGGCTGAGGCGGGCGGATCACTTGAGACCAGGAGTTTAAGACCAGCCTGGCCAACATGGAGGAACCCCGTCTCTACTAAAAATACAAAAGTTAGCCAGCTGTGGTGGTGGCTTATACCTGTAATCCCAGCTACTCGGAAGGCTGAAGCAGAATTGCTTGAACCCCGGATGCAGAGGTTGCCATGAGCCAAGATCACACCACTGCACTCCCACCTGGGTGATAGAGTGAGACCCTGTCTCCAAAAAAAAAAAAAAAAAAAAAGCCTTATGGCAGATCACAGCTTTTGTTATGCCCAGGAAAAGGAGAAACTTGAAGATGGATCCAAAACCTTGAACAGTTTTATGGTTTCCACTTTCCCAAGCTCCCTCTAGTCAATCTATGATGCCTGTCCAGGGTTCACCTCTTGGGCACCTGAACCACCACTGGGAGAGACCCCTGTCAATGGGTAAAATATGGCAAATATGGCTGCCAGATCCCATTCCCTGGGGAGGAAACCACTTGCCCCCCCCCCCACCCACACCCCACCTACCCACCCGCAACCATTTCCCAGAGAGTGGCATCTGAAGCCTCTACCCTGCTGCAAAACTGAGACATTACAGGGAGGGAGCACAGATGCTGGGCTAGACTGAGGAACAGGAGGATGAGTAAAGCCTGTTGCATCTCCCTCCCTCTCCCCTCTCCGGTGGTTCCACCCTCCCTCCCCTCTCCTCGCCAGCCCAGGTGGGCTTGTACAATTCCAGTCTGCCTCTAAATTGGTCCCACTGCTCTCCTGCTGCTGGTAGGGCTGGCTCTGTTCACTGGGCATGAGTGTCTTTCTCCTTTCTTTCTCTTTCCCACAATCACTGTCCTTATAACAAGGCAGACATGATTTTTCAGCTAATTCTGCCCCTCTCTGAGCCTCTGATATTCACCTGCTGAAGCCAAGCCAATCTCCTGGGCTCACATGTTCCATTTCCCTAATGCATGTCAGACTGGAAGCCTTTCTGCCTGGGAAGAAAACCTACCCCAGAGCTGGGGCATCCAGCCTCAGGCCTTTTAAAATTCCTTCTTCACCTTCAGGCTGTAGGGAACCTAACAAACATTTCCTCTACCTGAGCCCAAAAAGACTATTATAGACTTTGTTCCTTTTTCTTATTGAGAAATTCCATCCATTCCCCCATAAGCCTCTGTCAAACTGAGGGTCATTAAATCAAATTGTTGGGTTACAACTAGCATTTTAAAAGCTGAAATCGAATACATCATAGTACAGAGAAAACATCAGAGTCCAACATACATAGTGACAGTAAATGTAATTTTTGCAAAGTACTGGTTTCTATTGTATGTATGCATGAATGATACACATACTGCGCTGAGGAGTCTGGTCAGAAGAATCTGAAAAGATCCTACCTACTCTCTGAGCCCCTCCCTGGGTGGGTTGGCAGGGACCCAGCAGCACCAGTGGCTCCTGGGCTAACATGCGTGGGCATATGGCTCACTCCCAGCTGGCACTTACTTGCCCATAGTTGGTTCCTCCCGGTCCTGTTCTTGGATGCCATACAGAAGAGGCCCTTGTGATCTGGTCCCTTCTTACTCCCACAATCTCATCTCTTGCCGTACCCCATTTTGCACTTTGTGGTTCAGCCACACTTGCTATTTGTAATTTCTTTCAAGACATGATTCTTTCTCCTGCCTCCTGCTCTTTGTACATATAATTTCATTTGCTTGGTCAATTCCTCCTCGACTTTTAGAACTCTGGACATCACTTCTTCCTGAAAATCCTCCATGACCAGCCAAGCCTCAGCCGGGTTTCTCCTCTACATTCCTGGATGCACTATGCTTGCCTCCACCTCTTCATACTGCACTGTCCCCCTTCCCTCCATTCTTCCCTTCATCCTCACCTCTCTTACCACTGACCCGAGTCTGCCTCTGGCCCACAGGCATCCGCTGTGACAGCACGTGTCCACCTGGCCGCTGGGGCCCCAACTGCTCTGTCTCCTGCAGCTGTGAGAATGGAGGCTCCTGCTCCCCAGAGGATGGGAGCTGCGAGTGTGCCCCTGGCTTCCGAGGACCCTTATGCCAGAGAAGTAAGGCTAATCCCCTGACCCCGAAGAGCTCAGAGGGCTAATCCTCCCTAGCCCTCTCCAGTTGGAACTAGCCATGGCCTGAGAGAGGCTGGGCTCTTGAATCAGCCCCCATCTCTTCCTTCCCTCTAGTCTCTCCCTCTGCAGTTCTGTCCCCAGGTTTGGGGCCCAGCCCAGCTACTCAATGGAAACAGGGCCACACCACAGCTCTTCTCTGCAGAAAGGGATGCGCCCTCCAAGATGAGGGAAGGATGCAGGTCTCCCCATGTTTCTGAGAAGTGTGGAACAGGAAGGGTAGCTAGGCTGGCTGGGGTCTCTTGGGCTGCTGACCACCATCTTCCCTTCACCCTCAGTCTGCCCCCCTGGGTTCTATGGCCACGGCTGCGCCCAGCCATGCCCCCTCTGCGTGCACAGCAGCAGGCCCTGCCACCACATCAGCGGCATCTGTGAGTGCCTCCCAGGATTCTCTGGAGCTCTCTGCAACCAAGGTACTGTCTCCAGTGGGAAGGTACTGGGTGGGGAGGTGAGAGGTTCTGGGAGGAAAGTGGCAGGGAAGGAAGGGCTTGGGGATTTTCATCATACGCTATGGAGGTAGCTCCTTCCCTCTTCAGGACTTGGGCTGCCTTTATGAGAATTGAGCCCCACATGGCATGAGACAAAGGCCCTAACACAGTTAACAGCCTCACAGAAGTGAAATGATTTGTCTGTGATTTCGCAGCTAGCAAGTGGCAGAAACAAATTCTGATTCCGACATGCATGCTGAAGGGATGAAAAGTGAAACAAGCACAGAGATCTGCATCAGAAGTGGCACCATGTGGTCTGTGCCGAGTGCCAAGGGTAAAGGCAGAGAATGCTGTGGGAGTGCAGAGGAGCTGGCTCTGGCTGGAGATGGCAACTTCCAAGCCCTTCTCCCCGTCATATTCAGGCCACCATCCCTAATCCCTCCCCATATGCTTTCCTGACTTGACCTCAGAATCCTTCACAATACCGACTCCAAGAACTGCTACCACTCAGCAGGAGTTGAAAAGAGATATAAAGCTTATTTGCATTGGTGTTCCACCCTACCAGCTCTTTGTGGGGGAAAAACCCTGATCTGTAACATCTGCAGATTTTTAAAATATAAATATTCCTACCACGGCTGATTTTAAGGTACCAATGGTTTAACATCATTCACAAAATTCCCAAATATTGAACAACCAGTGAGAAGGTAGGAGCTGCCTCCACACATCATTGCCTATTGCCATCCCTGGCTTTCTTAGGACAAGACAGTGTGGATTTGGGTGAAGGCTCCATGGACCATGCAGGACTTCAGCTGGGCCTTAGCTTGAAAGGTGGAAAAGGAAGAAAAGCATTCTGTGTAGAGGAAGCAGCTTGGGCAAAGCACAGAGACATGGGCATGCTACAGGGAACAGCTGATGGATATGGTAGCTGGGGGTGGGAAATGGGGCTCAGAAGGTAGGCTGGGACCTTCAGAACAGGTTTGAACACAAGGTTACAGAACTTGCATTCTAACCTGAAAGGAGTGAAGGGAGCTTAGGGTAAGTTAAACTTAGGGCTAAAAGCAACTTCAAGGTCATCTATGCAAGAAATCTCATCTGGACTCTGCTTAAATACTTCTGTTGACTGAGAGCTCACTACCTCCCAGGGGAACCCATTCTTTTGATGAATAATCACTGCTGAGCTGGGCTATTTTTGCAAGTGTGTGGGCTGTTAATATGTATGAATAGAAAGTTTACTACATGATGCTTTGAGGTCATGAGAAGTTTGAGCCCCAGAGAAACATATGTGACAGTTTCATTTACTTGCAGCCCTCCTAGGATGGTTTAATCATAACCTGACATGTCGAGGTTCACTTATTAAACACAGGAGACTAGGCCATCAATACAGATAGTCTAGGTCTAAATTAGGACCCATGCAGCCCGAGGAGTAACTCTCAGATGCTGCGTTGTCTGATTTATCGCCCACTGGCCTAATGAGTATTTCCCACATATAGATCTAATGGAGTTTGCTATTAATGGCAACTGCCCTGGTTAAGTCTTAAACCTTGTAAAAAATTGAACTGACACCTTCTAATGACTGGCTTTCCAGCAAGTTACAAATTACAGACACTGCTTACGCAGAATCATTAAACACAGATTAAATATAACCAGATGTTTTCTTTTCACCAGCCCCCCTTCTGTCCACTGCCCCTCTCTTTGCCTTACTCTTGATTCAGCTAAGAAGTCGACCAATTAATGGATTAGATTGATCATATTAGCAGTTCTGTGGGTAAATTTGTTGGCCTCATGTATGTGAGAAAGACTTCAAAGATAAGACTCTTGTTAGAGAAGCTCAGAGTTCATTTTGGGGGTAGGGTAGGGGGAGCAGCTCTGGCACCCTACTCCCCACAGAGGGCCAGGACTTGGGGATGGGTTCCCCAAATCAAGCACCTCCCAGAGGTAGGAAAGAAGAGGCTGGGCAGCCTGCTTTTCAAAAAGCTGGAGCCTGAGCTGCAAACAGGTGAGATGCATGTCACCCTCTTGGCACTGGAACTTCCTGGAAGGGAGCCAAGGTTTCTGCCAGGGGAAGCATGGGGCCCCAAATCAGCCAGCCTGCCACAGCTACTAACCATGGTCCTAGGACAGTCGGTGAGGGTTCCCATTCCCACCTCAAAGATGAGGAAACAGAGAGTTTGCTCAAAGGCACTTAGCCAGCAAGCAGTACAACTTCCTAGTTGTGTGACCTTGGGCAAGTTACTTAACCTGCCTCAGTTTCTCATCTACAAAGCAGAGTTAATGATAAGGCATAATAGTGAGACTATATAATAGTATTCCAAGAGTAAGTGAACTAAATACAGGCATACCTTGTTTTATTGTGCTTCACAGAAACTGCATTTTGCTTGTTGTTTTTTGTTTTGTTTTGTTTAAATTAAAAGTTTGGCCGGGTGCAGTGGTTCACATCTGTAATCCCAGCACTTTGGGAGGCCAAGGCTTGAGGTCAGGAGTTCGAGACCAGCCTGGCCAACATGGTGAAACCCTGTTTCTACTAAAAATACAAAAATTAGCCGGACATGGTGGCGCGTGCCTATCTGGGGAGGCTAAGGCAGGAGAATCGCTTGAACCTGGGAGGAAAAGGTTGCAGTAAGCCGAGATTGCACCACTGCACTCCGGCCTGGGCAACGTAGCGAGACTCTGTCTCGAAACAAAAAAACCAAAGGTTTGTGGCAACTCTGCCTTAAGCAAGCCCTGTCGGTGCCATGTTTCCAACACCACGTGTACACTTCGTGTCTGTGTCAGCATTTTTTTTTTGCAATAAAGTGTTTTTTAATCAAGACATGTACATTGTTTTTTAGACATAAGGCTATTGCACACTTAATAGACTACAGTATAATGTAAACATAACTTTTGTATGCTCTGGGAAACCAAAACATTTGTGTGACTTGCTTTATTGCAATATTCACTTGCAGTGGTCTGGAACCAAACCCACATCTCTGAGGTATGCCTGTATTTGTGAAGCACATTGAACAGTGTCTGGTGCATTTAAGTGTCATGTGTATGTTTGTTGACTACATAAAGAAAACTTAGACCTAAATCCAAGGCTTTGGACTGGAGAGTCTGGTCCACCATTGCCTGTATTATTTGTCTCAACTACCAATCACGTCCAGGAGAGGCACTGAGTAGATTCAGATCCTAGCCACTAGCGGCCCACCGTCTGGCTGGGGAAGAACTACCAATATGAGGCAGTGTGGTATAAAGCAGAGGGTTTCAGCCCAAGATGTGAGAGACCTGGGCCCTGGGGAAGTCATGTATCTTCAAGAATCAACACCTTCCCATCATTCTCTGTGCTGCTCTCCAGGATCGACTTTATTTTGTGGCGATGGGGAATCCACTGAGGCTCTCTAAGCAGGACATAGGAGTGCCATGAAGAAAGCTGTGCTTTAGAGAGCTCAAGCTGTAGAAAGCAGGTGGGGGATGAATTGCACAGGGAAACAAAAGGTTAAATACTCAATGAATACTCAAACCTAGTCCTAAAAGAGCTTTGCAGCCTGACTGAGGAAACCAGCTCTTCCTCCAGGGACCAAGCAGTGACTCCTCCAGGAAGGTCTGTGACCAAAATCCTCCAAGTGACTCAAATTGGAAATACCAGTGGTGGAGAGGGCCTTGTGAACTCAGGAGGGCTTTCTTGAGGAAGATGTTGAGCTGAGAGGCTTGAGCAACAGGTCAGAGGAAAGAGGCAGGCAGGGACAGACATTCAGGGCTGGTCCTTTAACAGTCAAACCGCAGGCAGGCCTGCCACATGGCATTTGTCCCTCTCTGTCCAGCTGTACATATTCTCTACCCTCGTGGTTGTGGAATCCGTGATGTTGGTGAAAGTGGTAATAGAAAGCAGAAGGCTGTGGAACAGTACAGGGAGCACTGGACTGTGAGTCCAGAAGTACAGTGCTCAGCCTCCCACTTCTCATCTGTGAGACCTAAGTCAGGTGATTCTACCTCCATGGGCCTCAGGCTGTTCTTAAAGGCAATCATAATAGAGCCTTCTGAAGAATGCAGCTGTAGGCATGAGAGGGGCAACTCATTTATGTGCAAATGGAGAAGGGTGACAAGGGTACCAAGGCGGGCGTGGTCTCCATCCAGATCCATGACCCCTGGGTGATCATGGCTGTGGCTTGGGAACTTCTAGGGATGAGGCTGTGGGTGGAGGTCAGAGGAACACAGGTGGGAGGATGGGTGCCAGGCTGCCCTGTGCCCACAGTGTGTGCTGGAGGATACTTTGGGCAGGACTGTGCCCAGCTCTGCTCCTGTGCCAACAACGGGACCTGCAGCCCTATCGATGGCTCCTGCCAGTGCTTTCCTGGATGGATTGGCAAGGACTGCTCACAGGGTAAGCTGCTGCCACCTGGGAATGCCCCTACCTGGGGTCAGGCCCAAAAATTCTCCCTTTGTTGCCCAAAACCTCTCTGTCCTGGTGCCTCCACTTCCAGGGATGAAATCTCCTTCTGCATGTAGGAATGAGCCCCATTTAGCTCTATAGCTAACATGATGGATTATTAGGATTGATCATTGGTATTAACTGCTGGTATCAAAGGTACTGATATTGTTGATAGTACCATTAATGCTATGAATTCTGAGACTTAACACTCCATTAGCACCTGCACAAGGAGCAGCCCGAGTTTGGATGGGGAAGAGGTGGTGCAACAGCATGCTCGAGTTTGGGAGTAGGGAAGTGAGATGAGGCCCGGGCAGCCACCTCAGGAGGGTGCAGTGCCCTCTGGGTGGCCCATGTGAATGATGTCCTTGAGGCTGTTCATGTAAAGTGCACCAATCTGATGTGAAGGGAACAGCCCCTTTCCAGAAGCCCCCAAACTAAGGACAGAGACCCTGTGGAGCTCCTTGTCTGATGGGTGAGACCTAGCCAGTACCCTTGGGGAGGTCCTAGTTAGATGGCTGAGGGAATTTCCATTCTGATGAGGAGACAGGCTCCATCATCAGGAGCTCACCAACTGAGAGAAGAGAGCTCCTGCCCTAGGAAAGTCCCCATTCTCATGGGGAAACACACACAGTACATACACGGTAAACCACAGTGTTTACCCGCATGCTCCAAATCAGTCCCCTGAGAGGGGAGGCTCGGGGGCCCTCAGAGTCCTGCTGAGTCAGTCATCAAAGACTTGGAGAGTGGGCAGAGAATCTGGGCTTAATGGGAATCCTGGGTAACTAAGCCAAGAAGTAAGTGCAGGAATTCTGGGAACAGTGCATGAAGCCCCTGAAAGCCAGGAAATGTCAGCCAGGTCCATCTTGGCATCTTGGCTCTGACATGTACTCCCCCTTCTTCTCCCTCTCCGTCTGCCCCTCTCTGCCTTCCCCTCACCCTCTGCATTTCACCGACATCCCAGCTTGCCCACCCGGGTTCTGGGGCCCCGCCTGCTTCCACGCATGCAGCTGCCACAACGGGGCGAGCTGCAGCGCCGAGGACGGGGCCTGCCACTGCACCCCTGGCTGGACTGGACTCTTCTGCACACAGCGTAAGCCCCACCTCCTGGCCTCCCAGCCACTTAGAATACCATGCTGCGGCCTACTGGCCACTGTGGGCATTGTCCAGACCAGCAGGGAGGGAGGAATGCAGGCAGCCCCAGGACTGGTGGTACCTGACTCCTGCCCCACGAGAACTGAGGAGCTCTGCAGGGGCAGCTCCAGACCTGACTGGATTCAGGGGATTGACAAGCCCAAAGTCCTGGAAGGTCAGGGCTGCAAGGTACTCCAGCAATCACCAAGACCAGACCTTCCTTGGACAGTGGGGCCCAGAGTGGGGAGGAGCAGCCTGTGTCCACACAGGAAGTAGACCCTAGCCTGACCTGTGGTTCCAAGGCCCCTCTGTCTTGGAAAGGCAACGATCACCTTGCCCCTACCACTTCAGCATGAAGATCCTGAGCAGGGAGACAACTCTGGTGCAGGGTCTCACTAGTCTTCATCCCATGCTCAGCAAAAAAAGAGACAGAAGACAGGTCTGGTTCCTGCTGTCCCCCTTGTCCCCACCCAGCAGCAACTCTCGTGACTGGAAATCCTGTTTCTCTAGGCTGCCCAGCAGCATTTTTTGGGAAGGACTGTGGGCGCGTATGCCAGTGTCAGAATGGCGCCAGCTGTGACCACATCAGTGGCAAGTGCACCTGCCGCACAGGCTTCACCGGGCAACACTGTGAGCAGAGTAAGCTGCCCTGACCCCTGATCCTGGGTGATGCTGCTGGGCCCTACCCTCCTGCAGAGGATGGCTCCCACTTCAAGGTCCACTCACTCAGGGCTCTGTACCCCTTGGTCCCTTGACTTTGGGGACAACTTCCAAGGAAAAATGCTGAGGAAGGTCATGCCTACATTATTGTTTGAAGAATTTCTCCCTTCAGTTGGTGGGGGCATTTAGGGCAGAGGTCATAGCAAGTAATGAGAGAATAGTGGGAGGCAGGATTTTTTTTTTATTATTCTTTAAAGTCCCTATGGCATTCAGATTAGGGCATGGCAGGTGGAAGATACTGCTTAAATGTGTTGCATGAGGAGGAAGTAGGGGTGAGTGGGCCCTGCTCACTCCTCCTCTGTCCCTGTGTCCCCCACTCAGTGCTATAAATGCTCCTCAACAGGAGCTAAGGGAATAGGCTTCACTCAGTGGGAGGCAAAACAGGCTTATTGCCATAGCTGTCTAAACATGGAAGGGGAGGGGTGGAGAGTGAGTGGGTCCTCTACCCTAACTCTTTGTGCCACACAGGATGTGCCCCAGGAACCTTTGGCTATGGGTGTCAGCAGCTATGTGAGTGCATGAACAACTCCACCTGTGACCATGTCACCGGCACCTGTTACTGCAGCCCTGGCTTCAAAGGAATCAGGTGTGACCAAGGTAATACACACGTGGCAGAGCCCCGGGGTCTGTGGAAAGGGCCCCATGGCAGCTCTAGGGAGATTCCAACTCGAACAGCTGGATTTGATGATACTTCCCTTTATTCACATTTGTGAGGACAGCAGGAATAGGGTGGGCTGCAGAGGCTCCAAGTGCTGAAGAGGCATAAGGAGCAGGCAGTCTCTCAGTCACAGCCTCCCTAGGCTCACCCTTGGCAAGTTTCCCATGAGCCAAGCAAGGGTAGCCACAAGCTAGTACTATGGAAAGGCCACCAGACCAAGTTAGAATATCTGCCAAGTTCTGGTTCTGCCTTACCCGCCAGGTGTCCTTGGGTAGGTTATTTGATTTTGCTAGGCCTGTTACTCCACATGCAAAGCGGGAAGAGTAGATTAATCATCTTCCCCCATGACACAAGGTTACTCTGAAGGCCGAGGAGCCCAAAGGGGCTCAACCTTGGTTCTAGCACTACAGTCGGATGACACCTCATAGGGCCTAAAGGGGATGGAGTCCCAGGGTCCAGTTGTGAGAATCACGTTGAGACAGTATGAGTAAGAGATTCAGCGGGGTGCCTGGCCCATAAGTGAACACTCCAATAAATGCTGGCTTTGTTATATAAAAGCCTTTATAATGTGCTGCAAACATGTTGGTTCTAGATGGGGGATGAAAATGGGCTCTCAATTATTCACATTACAGAAAAGGAGCCAAAAGACAGATTTCCGTTGCATTCTGAGGATAAATCACTGAGAACGATATTGCAGCACATTTACCTCCCTAGTGATGTTGGCCAGCTCAGTTCAGCCAGCAGCCAACAGTCAAGGAGAAGTCTAGACACTGTGGGCCTGGCAGGACAGCCTCCTAGACTAAGCATCAGCATGGAGGGTGGGGGCAGCCCTCACATATATAACCAAGAGGGGTCCTGCGGGCAGTCATCCTGGAAATAACAGCACAGTACTTAAGAGCCTTCCTTGCCAGTCTATCACTTGGTGCTCACGACTGGGGAGGGTGGGGTTATTGTCCCCATGTTACAAATGAGCAAACCAGGGACTCTGAGCCACACAATTAGGAAGCAGGGAGAGGAGCTGTGTTCAATTTTTCCTGACTCCGCCAATTATAGGTTATGTAATCTTGGGCACATTACCTAACCTTTTGATAAATTGGTTTTTTCATCTGTGAAAGGAAAATACTAATCCCTTCACAGGGCTGAAGAGTAAATGAATTAATATCTGTTAACTCATTTTTGGAACAGAGTAAAATAATATTTATTGTTTCACATCGACAGTCACAATTGCTCCTTGTCATGACCCTGAGACTCCATCCCCTTTAGGGATGAAGGCACAGTGAGGGCTGGGGGTAGTCACATAGGGACTCAGGAATCGGGCCAAAGCCAGAACCAGATCTCCTAACATTAGAGGGGTTACACGCATCTGAACCCAGGCCCAGGAGACCTGAAGCGCAAGAAGGCCAGCCCCAGGCTCAGGCCCTCCCTCTGCCCGCAGCTGCCCTCATGATGGAGGAGCTGAATCCCTACACCAAGATCAGCCCAGCACTGGGTGCAGAGCGGCACTCGGTGGGTGCTGTCACAGGCATCATGCTCCTGTTATTCCTCATTGTGGTGCTGCTGGGCCTATTTGCCTGGCATCGGCGGCGGCAGAAAGAGAAGGGCCGAGACCTGGCTCCCCGTGTCTCCTACACACCTGCCATGAGGATGACCAGCACCGACTACTCCCTCTCAGGTAAGGGCCATGCTCCTGGCCTCCCTCCTCTTCCCCTCCACACACACATACCCCAGGAATGGTTGTGCCTGTAGGGTTGGCTGCTGTGGCTGAATGTGGAAGCTCAGTCTCCCCTAGAGTGACAGTGGGGATGGGGAGCAGGAGCCTACCTAGAGAAGATATCTGGGGTTCCAAGGGAAAATTGTTTCCTGAGTCCCTAGCTCTGAGCAGCTGTGGTTGGGAGCCTCCTGCCATTTTCCCAGAGCTTCCCTATCCTTCTCACCAGCCTTCGGCCTCAGGAGCACCCACACTAACCAGTCACTTTCCTAAGCTCTCCAGAGGACTGTCTCCCCAACCTGATGCCTGTACCACCTCAGGAGGCTAGACCTTGGAGCCCAGTGCCCAGAGCTCATCCATTTCTGTTTCCCTGGTGAACGCCTCAGGACAACCCTCCTTCCCAGTTCCCAGTTAGGAGGGTCCTATTAGTACAGCGGAAGGGGACAGTACCTGACTTGGGAGGTCTGAAAGTTTGGACAATGTCCCTCTGGCAAGTGTGCCAGAGCCCAGTGCATCCATGAATGTGGTTAACAGCTCCAATAGGCATTTTATTTGGGAGTCTGAGTGGGGTCAAGATGGGGCTGCTGGGCGATATCCTTCCTTTCCCCTGAACCCTGGACTGCTGCCTTGGAAATACGAAAGGTTTTTTGCTTCATATTGGCTAAACAGTAGAGGCCAAAATGCTCTGAAATTGCCCTATAGTCCTGGGCTATGTGAGGCTGAGCCTGTCTGGGTGAGCACAAGGTGACAGCTCTCTCCAGGTAGCTCCATGGCACGTGGCTCATGGCTCATCTGCAGCCTCCTGCATCTTGTGCTTAGAAAACCCAGATCACTTCAGCCCATTCCTGCTAAGTGTTGCCTTCTGTATGTCCAGCTTCATGCTAGGCACTGCAGGATAGACAGAGGCAGGCCAGTGCACACCATGCCTTCAAGGAGCTCCTGGTCTACATGCCACACTACAGCCAAAGCAGACATCCCACACACAGATTTGGGGATTTTCTTCTATGACTATACTGAGAAGGCTGGCTAGGGTTTCCTATGCCATTCCTCTGGTATTCCCCAGCCCTATGGAGAGGTTCTGGAATCCTTAGGAGGGAAGAGCAGAGTCAGAAGTGAGGTTCTCTTTATGATCTCATTACCAGGATGTGACCCTAGAAGGAAGCAGGTGAGTCCAGCCCTAAATAGGGACTCAGGGACATGTAAGGCTATCAAAGCAAACATGCCCCATCCAGGCTCCAGTTGATAGTGCCTCCCCTTGGCACAGGTGAGCCTATCCTGCATTCTGCATGCTGCAGGGAGGACCAGCGTAAGGGAAGGAGCAAATCAGGCTCTCCAGATTTCAGTAGGAGTAGTGGATGCCAGGAAGCTTGGGGGATGGGGTACTTGCCTGTTTGTCTTTGCAGGGCTCTCTCAAGGCTCCCAGCGCAAGCATTAGTACTGGGGGTATCTCATGCCAGGGGCAGGGGTATGATGGTATGTGGCACCTTGTTCTCTTCCCAGATTTGTCTCAAAGTAGCAGCCATGCCCACTGCTTTTCCAATTCCAGCTACCACGCACTGGCATGTGGGGGGCCTGCCACCAGCCAGGCCAGCACTCTGGACAGGAACAGCCCCACCAAGGTACCGGGCCCCTGATTCCCCAGCCCCCACTCACTGCCCTCTCATTTAACCCTCACCTCTGCCCAGGAAGGAACTGCACGCCCCCCGCCACATGGAGGGTCCATGTAGAACTGACCACCAATACATTAAAAGCAACCTTGCAATCCGTGGTACACGTAAACACTCTGTGAGGCATGTAATGGAGCCAGCATGTTATGTGGAGTGCCGTGTAACCAACCCACAGCATCACTCAGTATAACATATACCCCTGTACCCTGTGTGTAACCAACTGGTACCAAGTCATGTAATCATGTATTTGCTTTATCACCTATAATCATGTAGACACTTTTGCCACATGTCAACACGTAATCAAAACACTAGACCACCTTGTAGGCTGGGCACAGTGGCTCACGCCTGTAATCCCAGCACTTTGGGAGGCCGAGGCAGGCGGATCACAAGGTCGAGATATTGAGACCATCCTGGCCAAGATGGTGAAACCCCATCTCTACTAAAAATACAAAAAATTAGCTGGGCATGGTGGCATACGCCTGTAGTCCCAGCTACTTGCGAGGCTGAGGCAGGAGGATCGCTTGAACCCAGGAGGTGGAGGCTGCCGTGAGCTGAGATCACGCCACTGCACTCCAGCCTGACGACAGAGCAAGACTCCACCTCAAAAAACAACAACAACAACTAGACCACCTACCACAAATCACTGCAGTATGCTACCAACACAATGTGTGCAAGTGGCATATTATAGAGTAACTACTGTTATTCAGATAACCACCTCACAATGTTTCTTTTATCTGAACCTATCCATTTCATCAGTACCCACTCATAACCGTTTGTTGCAGTCTGAATCAACAAGGGATGTGGAACCCAAACTTCAGCCATAGCCAATGTTCTGTGGACACTGAGTTCTGTAGGTCTTCATGGCAGGTGTGCACCCTTCTGGACAGGACCTTCCCTGACAGCTTCCAGCATAACCCTGGCTGTTGGCAAGATGTCCTCTTATAGTCAACAGGCCCTTGGGCAAGGATGTCTCAGCACCTATGTGTAGATAATACATAGGGAGCTCCCTTAATGTGCCCGGACCCATACCAGGCAGAGTGGGAAACAAGAAGTGAGGAAGAACAGCCCCCAAGGACAGGTCTGAGAGGCTCATGCTGCATACCTCTGGACACCCACCTGTGCCTGTGCCCATAGACACAAAACAGTGGGGAGCAGGGCCATGGTGGGAGTGGGAATCTCAGGACTCCTAGCTTCCCATAATATCCATTCAGGGACAAAAGCATGGCTTTCATAGTCCACGGCTATGCCCTAGAGATCTAGGAGTCCTTTCTTCCCTGTCTGTCCCATGGAGAATGACCATCAGCCTACAGACCTGGTCCAGCAATAGTAATATAGATACTATACAGCCTCAAGGGCAACCACTATCAAGCCAACACCCCAAGGCCACTCTCAGCCTCCACCCTCTTTTGGTAAGGGGCTGGAATTACTGCAGAGTAGCCAACTTGGTGACCCTCTGGGTCACCTCAGCCCAGGGGCCCAGAGTGGCTCTCTGTGGTTAACCAGTCTAACAGATAGGGCATCTGCAGCAGAGGCAGGCAGCTGTGATGACATGGAAAGGACACGGCACTGGGAACTGAGTTCCAGACACAGCTTTGTCACTGACTCGTGTGTGTTCATGAGCAAGGCACGCAAGTCAGGACTCAGGTCGCCATCTGTGAAATGAGGATAACCATCCTTGCCTCATATGAAGGGCAGCTGTGAAAATGCAGAGAATGGAAGGACTACAATATAAGCCTCAAGACACTCTGTTCTGAAGCTTTCCTTTGGTCGCAGGAAAAGGAAAATCTCACATTCAGCCCCAATCAGGATCAGGTGGCAGAGGTGACAGTGATATTGCAGGCAGCCTCAAGACTTCCCTCTGTGCTGGAGATGGCCTCATGTTGCAGCTGAGACATCACCAGAGGCCCCTCTCCTAAAGCTCAGCCCCACCCCCCAGCTAATCTGCTTCCTCTGTCAGGGCCAGCTTGGCTCAAGCTACCCCAGGAGGCCTGGGAACCCTACAACTTCAGCCCAACAGCTGGGGTGGGGTATGTTCTATTCCCACTAGCATCAACCACACCATGGTGGCCTGTCATGGAACACCTAGCTCGCCCTTTCTCTCAACGGCCTAGGACCCAGGTGGGTCAGGATTATTACAGGGTGTGTGCACTGAAGCTACGCAAAGTGAAGACTGGGGAGGGGTACCTGGGGCACTAGATATTAACTGGCTCTCCTACTCTCCAAACAGCTCAGTAACAAGTCCCTTGACAGAGACACAGCAGGCTGGACCCCCTACAGCTATGTGAACGTGTTAGGTCAGTAGTGGTGTGAGTCTGGTCCCCACCATCATGTCCCACCCTATTCTTCTTCCATATTGAGAAGCACCCAGCTTGAAGGGACAGGGTTATGAGTTCTGAACATGGTTTCCCCCAGGGAGAAATTTTGGCTCTCACAAGCAGATGAAGCCCAAGAATCCCTTTCCATTACTATATTAGGGCTAAGTCCCTGCTATGACCCAGGGACCATAAGGGAGAAAACCAGGGCCAGGGTGTAGGGATTCCAGATGGAAGCAAAAGACACACTCACCATCTGGATAGGAACCTCTGCTTGACCCAGGCCCTACCAAGGTGCTCCTTTCAAGGGCTTCTTCCCCCTGCCTCCTCCCTGGTGGAGGAGCACTAATTCCTGCAGAGGGAGGGAGGGAGGGAAGGAGAGGGGAAACAAGGCAGATGACCTTGGCTCTAACAGAGCCCCTGGCCCCGCTGGCCCTGGCCCCTCTGGATGCTATACACAGAGGCCCCCAAGTCCTCCCAGCCTGCCTCACCCTGACCCTGGCCCACTTGTGTACTTCCTACCCCCTTCCCCTGCTATACCAGGGCCCTGGGAATAATGGCTCCTCCCTGTCATTCCTCTCACTAGACTCCCATTTCCAGATCAGTGCCCTGGAGGCCAGGTACCCGCCCGAGGACTTCTACATTGAACTTAGACACCTCAGCCGCCCCGCTGAGCCACACTCACCAGGTCAGACCCCAGCCCTACCCTCCACCCCCTCATGCCAGACCAGACCCAGCACCTGCCCTAATCCCCATCCCTGCACCTTGACCCCCACCCTGTGGTCCCAGAACTCTCCCTTTTAAGCCCTCTTCCCTCCCAACATGTCTACCAGCTCAATCCCCTATCTAAAGATGGAAACCTGTCTGGATCTTCCCCATCACCCATTCTGTTCCCATAGTGAACGGTGGATGTGAACAAACAGGCTATTTAGGGTGGAGAAGATACAACAAAACTGCCCTCCCTACAGGCCACAAAATACAATCCTACACCTTTCAAAAATGACTTGGGGATGGCGACATCTTTGGGGTTCTCTGGGCCCTGTTGGAGTGGATAACAGGGAGTTAGCTCTCTGGCCAATAAAGTCCAATGTCTCCCAGAGACTCCAGAAACCCCAGTGGCCCAAGCCAAGCTTTCTCAAATCACAGGGTAGGGTTGTCAAACAGGGATCTGGAGAGGCTGGGGCAGGATGTATCAACCAACATCACCTGTACTCATGTACTGAGTACAGCCTGGGCTGAAATCTGGTGGCTTGGGAGACACACACACAAGAGACTTGGAAAGTTAGCCCTGATTATGGGAACATGTGGGTAGGAGTTACAGAAGGTATCATGGGAACAAGTGCAATGAATGAACAGAGAATGTGGCCTCCCTACAATGTGGCTCCTCTGGGGCACCCTGGGGCAGGGCCTTGGTATACCAGACAACTCTAGGCCTGACCTCAGGCTCTAGGTGGCTTCTAGAACTCTAAGGAAACTGAGCTGCTCTACCAATCCCTGCAGGTCCCTGGGTCCAGTAATACCAGGAAGGGTGAATGTTCT